>NC_000007.14:44482666-44785696 GCF_000001405.40 Homo sapiens | reverse complement strand
TTTACTATTGTTATTCTTTTTTTCTGAGACAGAGTCTTACTCTGTCGCCCAGGTTGGAGTGCAGTGGCACAATCTTGGCTCACTGCAGCCTCCACCTCCCAGGCTCAAGTGATCCTCCTGCCTCAGCCTCCCAAGTAGGTTGGACTACAGGTGTGTGCCACTATGCCCAGCTAATTTTTGCATTTTTAGTAGAGACAGGGTTTCACCATGTTGCCCTGGCTTGTCTCAAACTCCTGGGCTCAAGCAATCCACCCGCCTCAGCCTCCCAAAGTGCTGTGATTACAGGCATGAGTCACCACACTCGGACTCTCCTGATTTTTTTTGAGTGCACAGTTTGTGTTCATTTGGCCATGTCCTGTATTCAACTGCGCAATAACTCAAATTTAGCTCTGGTATGGGTTTGGGTCCTACCACCAAATGTAAGGTCAACATTTCCCACAAGGCCCAGTTCTCCAGGTTCCTGGGGTGATTTTGGTCCCTGAGGTGATCATCTTGGCTTCTGATGCCAAAGGCAGAATTGCAGGAGGTGAGGATGAAGCAGGAGGGAAAACAGCGGCAGCTGAAGATGAACCCTCTGCCCAGGGCCAGAGCAAAATGAAATGTGGGGCTCCTCATCCAAAAATTAACAAGAATTGAATTTCAAGACTGTAACAGCAAAGCATTAAACCAAACACGAAGCCCTTCTGAGCATGGGGTCTGTGCAGCTGCACACTCACACCCAGGACGTTGGCCTTGCCACTGCAGTCAACCTCTAGGTGCACCAGATGCAAGAGAGTTTGTACCCACTCACCCACTCTTTCCCAAGAGCCATCGCCCACTGCTCAAGGGGGAGAGTGGAGGCCAGTCCAGAGACCGAAGAAGCCTACGTGAGGTACAGATGCTGGAGTCTGAAGGTGGAGAAGGAGTGCTGAGAGGAGCCCTCCTAACACAAGGGGCCTTGCAGTGAGAGCCTGAGAGTGCCCCTGGGGAGGGGCATGAGTGAGACCTGGGGGCAGAGCCAGAGTTCTAGTGGGAACTTGCTGGACATGTCCTACACTGGCCACCATGGGGGCTGTGACAAGAGAACTGAGGCCTGTCAGGGTGAGTACATTCTGCAAGCAAGGAGCAGTGTGAGAAACACCACAGGTGTTCCCAGGGGTTGCACTGATTGCCAGGCAGCAGCCATCTCTCATTGGAGAGGGAAGGGAGAGCAGCAGCAGGCTACCCTGCTAGGGTGCAGGTGCACAGGGCTGACTGCAACAAACCCTGCAAACACGGAGATGCCAAACCAATAAAGGAAGGTGTCTGCCCTCAAATAATGTGAAGCCTTTGGTGAACTGAATTCCACAGCAAAGTCCAGACCCAGCTCCCTGAAGACTAGATGGGCTTGACCCCAACACTAACAGCCTGCCAGAGGAAGGTGTATGCAATTCTCCAAGCAGAACTGCTATTTACTTCAGTCTCTGCTATTCCTTTTTTTTTTTTTTGAGATGGAGTCTCACTGTGCTGCCCAAGCTAGAGTGCAGTGGTATAATCTCGGCTCACTGCAACCTTGGCCTCCCAGGATTAAGCAATTCTTCTGCCTCAGTCTCTCAAGTAGCTGGGACTACAGGTGTTTGCCACCACACCCGGCTAAGTTTTGTATTTTTTAGTAGAGACAGGGGTTCACCATATTGGCCAGGCTGGTCTTGAACTCCTGACCTCACGTGATCTGCCTGCCTCTGCCTCCCAAAGTGCTGGGATTACAGGTGTGAGCCACCACGCCTGGCCTCTGATATTCTTTTACACACAAGGTCTAGCATTTAATGACAAATTCTTCAGCCTGGCTGCCTTCAAACTGGGTCATCAACTCTTTCCTGCCTTCAGATTGAAACTGAAACATTTGTCCTCCCCATGTCTTCAGCTTGCTGGCCTTTGGACTGGAACTCATGCCTTCTGCTCTCCTGGGTCTCCAGCTTGCTAGCTCACCCTATAGATCCCTATATATTCTCTTTGTCTGGAGAACCCTAATCCAGACACCCCAAAAAACAAGATAATGTGATCCATCATTCAGAGAGGCAACAGTCAATAGAAGCAGATCCAGAGATGGCCTACATTCTCAGAGAGACATTGGCCATGAGAAATGTTTAACAGGATGCAGTGCAAAGAGTGTACAACATGCATGAAAAGGGGGGAGCCTGTTTGCCTGTTTGCCATGTGTGGATGCAGTGAGAAGGCACTGCCTCTATGAGGATACTCACTGATCTACAATGGGCATGATCCTTAGAAAAGCAGAGCTGATATGGCTGGGCACAGTGGCTCACACCTGTGATTAAAGCACTTTGGGAAGCGGAGGCAGTCAGATCACAAGGTCAGGAGATGAAGACCATCCTGGCTAACATGATGAAGCCCTGTCTCTGCTAAAAATACAAAAAAAAAAAAATTAGCCGGGCATGGTGGCCTGTGCCTGTAGTCCCAGCTACTCAGGAGGCTGAGGCAGGAGAATCGCTTGAACACAGGAGGCAGAGGTTGCAGTGAGCAAAGATCACACCACTGTGCTCCAGCCTGGGCGACAGAGCAAGACTCCGTCTCAAAAAAAAAAAAAAAAAAAGAAAAGAAAAAAAGATAAAGCAGAGCTGATATCCCCCTGGAGCCACAAATGTTCACCACGGGTTATGAGTGTGTTTCTGGGTGGTTGGGACAAGTTGGGCCAGCATATCATCTGGTGAGACCCGATTCAGAACCAAGAACCCTGTCTAAGCCTTACTTGGAATTCCAGAGAGGCGCCCTGGCTCTTGGGGGTGTCCTTCAGGCCTGGCTATTCCCGAAAGGCTGGGGCTGCAAAGCGGTAGCAGTTGCCTCCTGGCCTCTAGCAGTTGCTCTCCCTGCTTGGACCCCTCTGCCATCTGCCCTCACTGCTTCATTTGATTCATTTATTGGTGTTTGACAGGCAAAGTTCTATGTTACCTGCTGTTTCACTGGAGCTCAAGACAAGTTCCTGAGACAAGATTCAAACTCAACAAATGTCTCCCTTTCCTTTCCTTACCTTGGGCTGGGCTCATTGTGTTGGTCTCCCAGCTACCATCAGCCCTGTCCAGCAAGGCCCTCAGCTGAATCATCATTGATTCTTGGCTGGGAGAACACACTGGGCCATGGCTCACACCTCTCCCAGAGGTGCTGAATGTAACTCTTCTCTGACTTGGGGTAAAGCGAAACCTGAGGTTCCCCATTCCCTAAAAGGTCTCTCTCTTCTGATTGCAGTGGAAATCTCCATGGGTCCCTTCCCTCCTTAGTCCTATCCAACTGCCAATGGAGACTCACAGCAGGGATGCCATAGATGAATCCCCCAAACCCCATCCCACAACAAAACAGTGATTAGGGGAAATAACCCTACTCCAGCCAGTTAACCAGAAAGCATCCCTCCGAGACAGTCAGTGTGAGTGGCCTGGTCAGGCTGGGAGGGAAGGGGTGTCCTGCTGTACAATTTGTTTTCACATTTCAAACCTCTGTTCATTCAGTGGATATGTATGAGCCTGGGTACACCTTCCTGCTTCCTCCAAAGCCTGGTGCCGGCAGGCTGAGAGAGGGGGCGCCCCTCTCTGAAGTGCCAATCCTGCTCTGAGACTCAGGGTAGGGGTGTGTAAAAAAACACAGGGTGCCAGGTGTGGTGGCTCACATCTCCCAGCACTTTGGGAGGCCAAGGCAGGCGGATCACGAGGTCAGGAGATCGAGACCATCCTGGCTAACACAGCAAAACCCCGGCTCTCCAAAAAATACAAAAAATTAGCCGGGTGTGGTGGCATGCACCTGTAGTCCCAGCTACTCGGGAGGCTGAGGCAGGAGAATTGCTTGAACCTGGGAGGCGGAGGTTGCAGTGAGCCGAGATTGCCCCATGGGGGACAAGAGCGAGGCTTCGTCTCAAACAACAACAACAACAACAACAAAACACAAGGCATCTAAACACAGGAAATAACAATGAAGAGTCAGTGATCACATGGATGGATGCCTATGCCTTCTGACAGATCGGCAGCACTGCTCTCTGTTTTTGCTAACAATACCTTAATTCCCTTTAGAGAACCCCGTGCCCGGTGTATGTGGTCTGGGTGGAGCTGACCTCATTTCCAGCTCCAGAATGGAGCAGTCACTTGGCTTTGGCCTGTAAAAACTTTGGTGTTCGGTTCAGGATGGGCACAAACCCCAAATCTTGACTAGGTGAAACTTCTCAGGACTTGTGCTGAAAATATTGGGAAAGAGACCCCGTTTCTCCTGAGATTGCTGGATGTGGTCCTCACTCCAAAGTGTTCAAAGGCCTTTTCCCTGGCTGGGTTGGTGTGCCAACCTCTCCTGGTGCTGTGCCACATCTCTCTGGGGCTGCCTGGGCTGTGCCACCTCACCCTGGTGCAATGGCACTTCTCCCCAGGGCTGTGGCACCTCTCCCAAGACCTCACTTGTTCAAGTGTTATGAAGAATTTCACAACAGCAATGGCAGAGCTTAACCTGAGCCCAGCCCTTCTGAGAGAGAGTCCTATGTGACTGCCAGAATCGCCTGTCTGAAGTTGGGCCTGCATCCCACACACGTGCAACCTGAGGTGCAGCTGAAGACCCAAGAGGAACCACCACCCAGGGCTAGTGGTGCTTCTCTGCAGCCCTCTTGGCTCTGGGACCCTGTCCCCCAAGTCCCAACTGTCTGGGAGTCCTGGCCACAGCCTTTCCTTGGCCCCATGAGGTCCCCGCTGTCTGGGTTCCACCTCTCAGCACTGTGCTTGACTGAGGCCAGAGGGAATGTGGGGCCTGCCCCAAGCCCTTGCCTCTCCCAGAGACCACAGCTCCGGCTGACTAGTGGCTGAAAGCTGTTGTTTCCAAAGTCCAGTGTTGACAGGAGGGCAAGTTTCCAATCAGTCACTCTGTCATGACCAGAATTGGAATCCATGTGTCCTTTTAAAAGATGTAGGGGCTGGGTACAGTGGCTCATGCCTGTAATCCCAGCACTTTGGGAGGCCGAGATGGGCAGATCATCTGAGGTCAGGAGTTTGAGACCAGCCTGGCCAACATGGTGAAACCCTGTCTCTACTAAAAATGCAAAAATTAGCTGGGCATGGTGGCACATACCTGTAATCCCATCTACTCGGGAGGCTGAGGCAGGAGAATGGCTTGAACCTGGGAGGCGGAGGTTGCAGTAAGCCGAGATGATGCCGCTGCACTTCAGCCTGAGGGACAGAGTGAGATTCCATCTCAAAAATAAATAAATACATAAATAAAAATAAAAAAAGATGCAGGGTTCTGTACCAATAAAAAATTTTGGTTGTAATCAACAGAAATCAACTCTAGCTAAATTAGACCAAAAAGGAATTTGTTGGAAGGCTCTCTCTCATAACTCACAAATACAGTGGGAAGCCAGGAGACTCACGCTTAGAAAATGGGCAGGAACTAAGGGAACATACACAGAAGGAATTGGTGGCATTATCCTGGTGATCAGTGTGGGATGGATGAGGTCCCCTGTTCCGGACATCCTACAGCCCCATTCACCACCCGACTGGCCTGCACCTGCAGCATCCCCACCTCACTACACCTGAGCCCAGGCCACAAGCCTGCCATAGCTGCTGTTATGGGAAGGCCGAGCCCCAGTCCTCTCATACTGGAGGTGTCTATGTGGACAGGGGTCCAGGCAGAAGAAGACTTACATATGGCAAATGTCTTTCTAGACTTACATATATGCTTTTTGGTTTCTTTGTTTGTTTGTTTGTTTGCTTGTTTGAGATGGAGTCTCGCTCTGTCGCCCAGGCTGGAGTGCAGTGGCGCGATCTTGGCTCACTGCAAGCTCCGCCTCCTGGGTTCACGCCATTCTCCTGCCTCAGCCTCCAGAGTAGCTGGGACTACAGGCGCCCACCACCACGCCTGGCTAATTTTTTTTTTTTTTGTATTTTTTTAGTAGAGATAGGGTTTCACCGTGTTAGCCAGGATGGTCTCCATCTCCTGACCTCGTGATCCGCCTGCCTCAGCCTCCCAAAGTGCTAGGGTTACAGGTGTGAGCCTCTGCGCCTGGCCTGTTTTTGAGACAGTCTCGTTCTGTCACTCAGGTTGGAGTGCAGTGGCACAATCTTGGCTCACTGCAACCTCTGCCTCCCAGGTTCAAGTAATTCTACTGCCTCAGCCTCCCAAGTAGCTGGGATTACATGTGTGAGCCGCCACACCCGACTAATTTTTGTATTTTTAGTAGAGATGGGGTTTCTCCATGTTGGCCAGGCTGGTCTCAAACTCCTGACCTCAGGCGATCCACCCGCCTCGGCCTCCCAAAATGCTGGGATTACAGGCGTGAGCCACTGTGCCCGGCCTTTTTTTGTTTTTTTTTTGTTTTTAATCAATAAAAATAATTATGGATGTTATTTGGTATTTACAAATAATATGTAAGATGCTGCGATGGTTAATGTTGAGTGCCAACTTGATTGGATGGAAGGATGCAATTATTCCTGGGTGTGTCTGTGAGGGTGTTGCCAAAGGAGATTAATATTTGAGTCAGTGGACTGGGAGAGGCAGACCCACCCTCAATCTGCATGGGTACCATGTAATCAGCTGCCAGTGTGGCTAGAATAAAGCAGGCAGAAGAAGGTGGGAAGAGCAGACTTGCTGAGTCTTCCCTCCTTCATCTTTCTCCCATGCTGGATGTTTCCTGCCCTCAAACATCTTTGGCTTTTGGACTCTTGGACTTATACCAGTGGTTTGTCAGGGGCTCTCAGGCCTTAGGCCACAGACTGAAGGCTGCACTGTCAGGTTACATACTTTTGAGTTTTGAGACTCGGACTGTCTTCTTTGCTCCTCAGCTTGCAGATGGCCTATTGTGGGACTTCACCTTGTGATCATGTGAGTCAATACTCCTTAATAAACTGCCTTTCATATATACATCTATCCTACTAGTTCTGTCCCTCTAGAGAACCCTGACTAATACAGATGCTAATTTTAAAAACTGTCTTTTTTTTTTGAGACGGAGTTTTGCTCTTGTTGCTCAGGCTGGAGCGCAATGGCGTGATCTCAGCTCACCGCAACCTCCGCCTCCCGGGTTCAAGTGATTCTCCTGCCTCAGCTTCCCGAGTAGCTGGGATTACAGGCACACACCACCATGCCTGGCTAGTTGTTTGTATTTCTAGTAGAGACGGGGTTTCACCATGGCCCGACTGGTCTTGAACTTCTGACCTCAGGTGATCCGCCTGCTTCGGCCTTCCAGAGTGCCGGGATTACAGGCTTGAGCCACCATGCCCGGCCAAAACTGTCTTTATTTTCTAGAGCACTTTTGAATCTTGTATGTGTAATTTTACCATTATAATATCATTCAGAGTGGCTTCACTGCCCTAAATATCCTCTGTGTTCCACCTATCCCTCCCTCCCTCCCCACTAACCCCTGGCAACTGCTGATCTTTTTACTGTCTCCAAAGTTTTGCCTTTTCCAGTATGCATAGAGTTGGAATCACACAGTATGTAGCCTGTTCAGATAGGCTTCTTCCACTTAGTAAAATGCATTTAACATTCCTCCTCCATGTCTTTTCACAGCTTGGTAGCTCATTTCTTTATGGTGCTGAATAATACTCCATCGTCTGGAGGTACCAGAGTTTATTTATCCATTCACCTACTGAAGGGCATCTTGGTTGTTCCAAGTTTTGGCAATTATGAATAAATCTGCTATAAACAACTGCATACAGGTTTTTGTGTGAACATAAGTTTTAAACTCATTTGGGTAAATATAAGGAGCGTGATTGCTGGATTATATGCTTAGTTTTATAAGAAACTGCCAGCCAGGCACGGTGGCTCACTCCTGTAATCCCAGCACTTTGGGAGGCCGAGGCAGACAGATCACCTGAGGTCAGGAGTTGGAGACCAGCCTGACCAACATGGAGAAACCGCGTTGCTACTAAGAATACAAAATTAGCTGGGTGTGGTGGCGCATGCCTATAATCCCAGCTACTCAGGAGGCTGAGGCAGGAGAATTGCTTGAACCTGGGAGGCAGAGGTTGCGGTGAGCTGAGATTGCGCCATTGCACTCCCATGCTGTTTTTTTGCACTCAAAAAAAAAGAAAAGAAAAAGAAACTGCCAAACTGTCTTCCAAAGTGGCTATACCATTTTGCATTCCCACCAGCAATGATTTCCTGTTGTGCTGCTGTTTTATCTATTTATATATTTATTTAATTTTTGTGTGTGTGAGAGACAGGGTCTTGCTTTGTTGCCAGAGTATAGTGGTGCAAACACGGCTCACTGCAGCCTCGACCTCCTGGGCTCAAAGGATTCTCCTGCCTCAGCCTCCTGAGCTGGGACTACAGGTGTGTGCCCACCATGCCTGGCTATTTTTTTTTTTTTTTTTGAGACAGAGTTTCGCCCTGTTGCCAGGCTGGAGTGCAGTGGCGTGATCTCGGCTCACTGCAAACTCCGCCTCCCGGATTCAAGTGATTCTTCTGCCTCAGCCTCCCGAGTAGCTGGGACTATAGGCATGCGCCACCATGCCCAGCTAATTTTTGTATTTTTAGTGGAGATGGAGTTTCACCATGTTGGTCAGGATGGTCTCGATCTCTTGACCTCATGATCTGCCTGCCTCGGCCTCCCAAAGTACTGGGATAACAGACATGAGCCACCGCACACAGCTAGCTAAGTTTTAATTTTTTTTTTTTTGAGACAGAGTCTTGCTCTGTTGGCCAGGCTAGAGTACAGTGGCATAATCTTGGCTCATAGCAATCTCCATCTCCCAGGCTTAAGTAATTCTCCTGCCTCAGTCTCCCGAGTAGCTGGGATTGCAGGCGTGTGCCACCACGCCCGGCTAATTTTTGTATTTTTAGTAGAGACGGGGTTTCACCATGTTGGCCAGGCTGGTCTTGAACTCCCAACCTCAGGTAATCTGCCTGCCTCAGCCTCCCAAAGTGCTGGGATTACAGGTGTGAGCCACCACGCCCAGCCCATTTGTTTTGTTGTTGTTGTTATAGAGATGAGGTCTCACTATGTTTTCACTTCCTGGGTTCAAGCAATCCTCCTGCCTCAGCCTCCTAAGTGCTGGGATTAAAGGCGTGAGCCACCTTGCCTGGCCTATTTTAAATTTTTATTTGATTTTTGGTTTGTTCGTTTTTACCATAAGTGTGTATTTACTATACAGAAGCAGCATTTCCCTGCAGGTTGCAAGCAACTGAAGGTTGAATGTGACACTTCATTATGAGGTGATGGCCTGGGCATCCTGGCTAACTCCACTGCTGATGAGGATGGTCTTTCTGTTCTCACTTTGGGCTTTTGTGGGGACAGTTGGGAAAAATGCCAAGGGAAAACACAAAAGAGCAGGCCGTGATCCAGATCTCTCTGCAAAGAGAAACTGGAAGAGCAGGTTGACTTAGGGACCAGGAGCGAGGAGCCCTAAGAATCCTTCTGCTTCACCTCCAAGGCTCTGTGATCCTGTGCGGCTTCCATCAGGATGAGGTTTGGCTTTGAGGCAGAAAACCCCAACAACACAGGCTCAAACAGTGCAGACACCTATTTCTCTTCCTTCAGTCTCAGCCCAGGCCAGCGTTATGGCTGCACAAGCACTGGAACCCAGGCCCTTGTCTTTTCCCTCCAACACTCCCAGCATTTGGTGTCTACTTGGAGGTCAGTGCTGAGCGGCACATCCACATTCCAGCAGCAGGAAGGAAAAGCAGCTCAGAGGGGGCACATCCCACCCTCTAAGGAGACATCCTTCGATATCCCACTGCTTGGCCACAGGCAGTGGCCGCACAGAGCTGCAGAAGCATCTGGAGAGGGAGTCTGTTCTCCTGGTCAGCGAAGTGTCCAGCTAAAAATGAGGGTTCCTGCCACCAAGGCAGGGGGAGCAGGCAGGTGTCTGGGTGCTGCTTGGCATTCCTTGCTATGCTGTGATTGAGGGTTCTTTCAACAGTGGACCCCTGACCCCGAGCTGTGACTTCTGGGCCACCCATCAGTCCCACTCAATTACCAATCCTATCACAGTAGACTGGCAGGCACTTCCTTAACCAAACCAGCACATGTTCACTGGATACCTCCATGTCCCACTTCACCCTGCAGGGTGCACTTCCTTAGCCAGGACATTCACAGGCTGAGTGGACATGATAACACCCAGACAAGACAAGCAGGAGGTGTGTTTGCTCCCTTTGTTCCAGGGTTAATTTCTTTGACAAATATTGCCAGCACTGGAGCATATCAGGATGACACTGCCCTCATGGAGCTTACAGTCTAGCCAGGAAACCAGGTGAAAAATGAAAGTCTCCTCAGGCCAAAAATGTTTAATCAGGCTCCAGCCTTATCTTTCAAGTAACAGGAAATACGGTAATAAAGGAAAGAGTAAATGACACCAGGAGGGAACGCATAGGGGACATTCTACAAGAAACTCCTGAATTGTGCGAAAAGATCAATGTAATGAAAAAAAGACTGTTTTAGATTAAAAGAGACTAAAGAGACACAAAAGCCAGGTGCAAAATGTGAGTGTTGATCGGATTCTGTTGAAAAAAGTTATAACTGGAACATGCGAATATAATAAATGATGCCATGGCATTACTCTCCGTATCCACCGATTCTGCATCCACAGATTCAACCAACTTCAGATCAAAAATATTTTGGGGGAAAATAAAAATAATACAACAATAAAGATGATACAGATGAAAACAATATAGTATAACAACTATGTACATTGTCTTAGGTATTATAAGTAATCTAGATATTATTTTAATTTTAATGTTTTTTAAAATTTTACTTTTTTTTTTTTGAGACAAGGACTCACTCTGTCACCCAGGCTGGAGTGTGCAGTGGGGCAATCTCAGCTCACTACAACTTCCACCTCTGGGGCTCAAGTGATCCTCCTACCTCAGCCTCCTGGGTAGCTGGGACTACAGGTACACACCACCACACCTGGCTAATTTTTGTATTTTTTGTAGAGACGAGGTTTCACCATGTTGCCTACACTGGTCTTGAACTCCTGAGCTCAAGCAATCTGCCTGCCTTGGCCTCCCAAAGTCCTGGGATTACAGGCGTGAGCTGCTGCGCCTGGCCTAGAGATGATTTAAAGCATACAGCAGGGGTAGAAAGGGTAGGAGGAAGTGGGTAGACAGAGATTTGTTAAAGGATATAAAATTACAGCTAGATAAGTGGGCTAAGTTCTAGTGGTCTATAGCATTTTAGGATGACTGTATTACATCATTTCAAATAGCTAGAAAGAGAATATTGAATGTTCCCAACAAAAAGAAATGATAAATGTTCCAGATAAATATGCTAATTACCCTGATCTCATCACTATACATTATATGTATCAAAACATCACTATGCACCCTATAAAAGTGTACTTGTTTATATCAATTAAGAAAATAAAAGAAAAAAATGTAAATAAGGCATAGAGAAAGATATGGAAATACTATGGCACTTTATATACAGGACTTGAGCATTCGTGTATTTTGGTATCCACAGGAGGTCCTGGAACTAATCCTCCATGGATACCAAGGGATGATAGTATTGTTAATTTTCTTAGCTGTGACAATGGTAATGTGGTTATAAATGAAAACTTCCTGGCTGGATGTGGTGGTACATGTCTGTGATCCCAGCACTTTGGGAGGCTGAGGTGGGCAGATTGCTTGAACCCAGAAGTTCGAGACCAGCCTGGGCAGCAGGGTGAAACTCTGTCTTTACAAAAAAAAAAAAAAAAATAGCCAGGTGTTGGGGTGTGTGCCTGTAGTCCCAGCTACTTGGTAGGCTGAGGTAGGAGGATTGAGGTGGAGGCTTCAATGAGCTGTGATTGCACCACTGCACCCCAGCCTTGGTGACAGAGCAAAGGAAAAATAAAACTTAAATTTTTTTCCAACATACATACCGAAGTATTTAGAGATGAAGTATTTATTTTGTCTGCAACTTACTTTCCAAAGTTGGCAACAAAAAAAAGTGTGTGCATAAAAAAAATAGATACATGGAGAAAGAGAGAGCATGTAAACGAACATGGCAAGATGTTAACAATTGGTGAATCTCTAGGTTATGTGGGTGCTCACTGCACTATTCTTTTAAATTTATTTTTATTTTTGTTGTTTTTCAGAGACAGGGTCTTGCTCTATCACCCAGGCTAGAGTGTAGTGGCACCAAGATAGCTCCCTGCAGCCTCAAACTCCTGGGCTCAAGTGACGCTCCCTTCTCAGCCTCCCAAGTAGCTGGGACTACACAGGTGTGCTCCACCACACCTGGTTAATTAAAAAAATTTTTTGTAGACACAGGGTCTCACTTTGTTGTCCAAGCTGGTCTTGAACTTCTGGATTTTGGCGATCCTCCTGCCTTGACTTCACAAAGTGCTCGGATTACAGGTGTGAGCCACTGCACTTGCCATTGCATTACTTTTTAACTTTATTAAAATAAAGAGTTGGGGCCGGGGCCAGGTGCGGTGGCTCACTCCTGTAATCCCAGCACTTTGGGAGGCCTTGGCGGGCGGATCACTTGAGGTCAGGAGTTCATAACCAGCCTGGCCAACATGGTGAAACCCCATCCCTACTAAAAATACAAAAATTAGCAGGGCTTGGTGGCACACGCCTGTAATCCCAGTACTCAGGAGGCCGAGTACTGTAATCCCAGTACTCAGGAGGCCGAGTACTGTAATCCCAGTACTCAGGAGGCTGATTCGCTTGAATCCAGGAGGCGAAGGTTGCAGTGAGCCGAGATCGCGTCACTGCACTCCCACCTGGAGGACAGAGTGAGACTCTGCTTAAAAAAAAAAAATTAGCCAGGCGTGGTGGTGTAAGCCTGTGGCCCCAGCCACCTGGGAGGCTGAGATGAGAGGAGTGCTTATGCCCTGGAGGTCAACGCTGCAGTGAGCTGTGATTGCACCACTGCACTCCACCTGACAGAGTGACACCCCCCCATCTCTAAAAAATAAAAAAAAAAAAGTGGGAAGAACAATCACACCACGGTTTAACTGATCAGCTACGATGGGAACTGTGAAAGGCATTCCACAGAGTGAATCAAGGCTTCAGGAGGAGGCCCTGACTTATCCTGGAGGCAGAGGGTTCTCCCAGGAATGGCGTCTTAGCTGAAGCCTGACCCAGAAGGTAGACGGGCAGGAACGAGGTAATGTGGAGACTGTTGGGAGCAGGCAAGGACTTCATCCCAAGGCAATGGGAGGCCCTCTGTACTCCCTCTTGTGATAACTGCTTCCCTTCTTTCGGGCAGTGCTCCTGACCCCACTCTAGCTGTGTGGGTGGGTCCCTACCTGGTTGAGTCAACCAGATCCCATCCCTGGGATTTTAAACTTGGAACCAGAAGGAGAGTGATCATCACCTCTTTTCTAGGGTGAATCAATGAGAAGTGAGGCTCCGAAGCTTGGATCTCAAGTTCACAGAAGCAGCTGGTTGAGGGTGAAGCTTGCACACAGAGGCCAAGGAAGGATGCCTACCCATGTCCAGCTGCCCCAGGGCCCTTTCAGGACTGCTATTTTGAGCCCCTTCCTTCCTTAACTGGTTTGAATTGGTCACCGTCACTTGCAACCTATTGAGTCCTAGCTAATGTACCATGACAGGGTTCAAGACTTGGTCAGAGAAGAGCTGGGGTATAGGATGCTGGGGAAGGGTACCCATTAATCCTCCCTTCTAAGTGGTAACTGAGAGAATGAACAAGAACAATATACAGTTAAATGAAAATAAAAAGGCACAGTGGCTCAAGCCTATAATCCCAGCACTTTGGGAGGCCGAGGCAGGCAGATCACAAGGTCAGGAGTTCGAGACCAGCCTAACCAACATGGTGAAACCCCATCTCTACTAAAATTACAAGAATTAGCCAGGCGTGATGGCGCGCCACCTGTAATCCCAGCTGCTCAGGAGGCTGAGCAGGAGAATCACTTGAACCCGGGAGGCGGAAGTTGCAGTGAGCTGAGATCATGCCACTGCACTCCAGCCTGGGCGACAGAGCAAGACTCCGTCTTAAAAAAAAAAAAAAAGAAAATAAACACAGACGCTTTAAGGATCAGTTAACAACAAGACACAGACTCTAATATTCACTGACATAAAGTTTCAGAAAGGGCAAAATTAATCTCTGGTGACAGGGGCCAGAACAGTGATGACCTGGGGTGGGGTGTGGGTTGGTCTCTCCTGTGAGGTTTGGAAGGGCAGGTACACACGCGTGTGCACTTACCAAAACCTACTGCACTGTGCATCCGACTGCACTGATGTCCCTGGCTTCTTTGAGGCAACTTGGGTGACAGGCCATCCTGAGCCAGTCATGTCTTGCCCTCCCACTCAGGGCAGGCAGGATGGGCTGTCTCAATGGCCCCCAAAGCCTGGAAGGCTGGAAGGGTGGCAAGGAGGAAACCCACAGTGGGTAGAGTTACAGGGGTCAGAAGTGGGGGCCACTGCCTGCTGGGGAAGGCCACTGGAGGAAGCTGGGGCAGAATGGGAGGGAAGCTGGCCCCTCACATGAATACGGGGAATTAGGAAGTGTTTTCTCCTCCACAATGTTTGGGAGAATTTGGGGATTTATGTCCATTCTTTAGCATTTGGTAGAATTCACCATCTGGTCCTGGGCTTTTCTTTTGTTGGGAAGCTTTTGATGACTGGTTCTACCTATGTGTTTTAGGTTGGTTCAGATTTTTTCCTTTTTCTTCTTTTTTTGAGGTCAGGTCTCTGTCTCTGCCTCATTCCTGGCTGGAGTGCAGTGGTGCTGTCATAGGTCGTTGCAGCTTTGAACTCCTGGGCTCTAGCTATCCTCCTGCTTCAGCCTCCCAAGTAGCTGGGGCTACAGGCACGTGCCATGACACCTGGTTGATTTCTAAAGATTTTGTCGAGGCAGGGTCTCTGTTGCCCAGGCTGGTCTCGAACTCCTGGCCTCAGGCCATCCTCCTAACTAGTTCTCCCCAAGTGCTGGGATCACAGGTGTGAGCCACTGCACCTGGCCCTGTTCAGATTTTCTATTTTTCCTGGGACAATTTTGGTCATTTGTATCTTTCTAGGAATTTTTTTGTTGTTGTTTTGAGACAGAGTCTCACTCTGTCACCCAAGCTGGAGTGCAATGGCATGATCTCAGCTCACTGCAACCTCTGCCTCCTGGGTTCAAGTGATTTTCCTGCCTCAGCCTCGTGAATAGCTGGGATTACAGGTGTGAGCCACCACGCCTGGCTAATTTTTGTGTTTTTAGTAGAGACAGGGTTTCACCACTTTGGCCAGGTTGGTCTCGAACTTCTGACCTCAGGTGATCTGCCTGCCTCGGCCTCCCAAAGTGCCGCGATTACAGGCGTGAGCCACCACACCCAGCCAAGATGTCGCATCTTTTTAAATGTTGGCATTTGCAGCTATAAATTTCCCTCAGAGCAGTTTTTGCCGCATTCCTTAAGTTCTGGTATGTTGTTTTCATCCATCTCTATTTCCTAATTTTTCTCGTGATTTCTCCTTTGACCCTTTGGCTGTTAAAAAGTGTGTTCAATTTCTATGTATGTGTGAATTTTCATTTTCCTTCTGGTATGGATTTCTGGTTTTATTCCATTGTGATTGGAGAAGGTGGTTTGCAGGATTCCGATCTCTAATTTACTGAGACTTGCTTTGTGCACTAACGTGTGGTCTGTCCTGGAGAACGTTCCCTGTGCACTTAGAAACGTGTGTTCTGCTGCTATTGGGTGGAGCACTGTTAAGTCTGGTCAGCCTTTTGGTTTTTATGTAATACTTGGCACATTCACAAGAAAATGTGTGAAACAGAAAGTACGACAAAGTGAAACCCACGAAGCCACCACTGACCCTGAGGTTCAAAACCTCCAGCATCTCTGCTCTTCCCTAAGCACAGCTCCGTCCCCTCCCCACGGGTGAGCACTGTGTTGTACTGACTCCCTGCCCTCCCTGATGACTTTAGCACCTGGGTATGAATTCCACACATATTTGGTTTTGAGCTTTATAAAAATGGCATCATACTGTATGAACTGTCTTGCTTTTTCATCCCACGTTGTTTCTGAGAGGTGTTTGTGATGGAGCACAGGGCCACGGTGCCCATGCATTCCTCAATCATTTCTCCAGTCTTCTGAGGATGGGCTTCTGGGTTGTTTGCAGCCTTTTGCTTGTCCCAGTCTCCTAGTTTCTCCACTCCATCCGGGAGCATCACGTTTGCAACAGGCAGGGCAGGTGGTGCATCAGATGTCCAGGACACAGTCATTTGACACCCAAGAAAGGAGGGCCTGGGGCCTGCATCAGGCCATGGCTGAGTGGGACTTTGCCAGGCTGTCTCCGCACCCAGCGACAGGACTGTGCGTGCTGCTGCTTCTTTTGTTTCCTCCACTTCTGTTCCCTCATCCAGAGAGGGCGGAAGAGCTGGAAACAGAGGCTTTGTCAGGGAATAAGGAAGCCCACCTGTGTGGTCCCAAATGTCGCAGGGGCAACGCTCACACCAGATACCTCCCTCCTCCTCCTCCCTGCAGCCTCTGGGCTCCCACAGACAGATGCCCTCCTCTAGTGCCTCCAGGGGCAGGCCTTGGCCGCCAGCCTGAGGATGCCCAGCGCTCCCCTCCTCCCCTAGGTTCCTGTGTTCCCCCAGTTCTTGCCTCTCCTGCTGGCTGGCTGGGAAGGCCCTCAAGGATGGGGCCCAGGACTGGAGGAAATGGTGACCCGGACCCCCACCAAGCTGGACAGGCAGATGGTAGGCAGGACACACCTCTGCAATCTCTGGGAAGTGACAAGCAGAGGCCTCCCAGGGACAAGAGCTGAGAAGGATGAGCCCCTGGCTGGGCTGGGGCTGCCAAACAACTGTCTCAGTGCCCCAGGGCAAGCCCAGATAAGGTGACATAGTGGCAAATGTCTCTCCTGGGCAAGCCTGGGATGCTTCACAAAACAGCTCTTCAGCTGAAGCCAACTTGGAAAATTCCAGGGAAAAGGAAATTTACTATGGGGCGGGAATAGCCGAGCCTTGGCTTGAAACATCCAGAGCTCAACCTGGGGCCCCAAAAGCCACTTGAAGGTCGACCTGGCCCCCAGGTCCTGCACAAGCTTTGCAGGCACAGCCCAAGCTTTAGGCAGGTCGCTGGCTTACGAGGAGAAAATAGTCCCTGGGAGCACAAAGGAGGGACTCGGCCAGGCCCACCAAGAGGGAGTCCTTTAATAGAGATCGGCACAGACAGGAGACACAACAGCCCAGGCGCCCTGCTCGCACAGGCTGGGGCCCTGAGCCAACAGATGCAGTGGCTTCCTCCTCCCCCACCTGGGTGTGGGCCCATGGGGTGGAGACAGAGAGGTGGCTTTAAAAAACACAGCTGTACTAATTCTTCACTTTCACAGAGAAGGGGAACTTGGGAGCGCAGCCCGCTAGAGAATCTTTACACAGAGCTGAATCTGAGAGCCCACCCACCCACCTCGGCCAGGCCGAAGCTCACTGTCCCCCACCCATTGGAGGTTCCTCCCTGATCTGTCTGCACATGGGAAGGAGCAGAGCGCGCAGGGAGACCGGGCTGTACAACAGGAACATGCTGGCTGGACAGCTGGCTCCCCTCTCCCAGCTGTTAGTGTTTCTACACTATGTACATTGTTGTGCTTTGTAGCTCCCCCACCCCGAGGCCTCTGCTTGAAGCTGGGGTGGGGAGAGGAACCTGACACCACACACGGCTGGGCTGCCAGAGCTCCAGGCCCCCAAGAGGCTGCCATTCAGCGAGGTTCCAAGAGCTGGACTGCTGGGCACAGGGGCCACTGGAGCCAAAGGCCCAGGGGACAGAGCCAGCCCTGCCAGATGCCCAGCTCTGCCCAGTGGAGGAGTTGTTGAAACAGAAGGATCAATGCTGGACAAGAAGCAGGCTGGGTGGGGGCAGGCAGGGGTGGAAGGACAAGGTGTGAGGCTGTGAGACCAGGGGCGTGAGATGTGTGTGTGGACAAGGCTGGACAGGGCTGGGCAGGGGCACCTCAGCAAAAACCGTTCTGCAGCAGCAGGCTTGGCAGAGGGAGGTGGCAAGGGCTGCCGGCCTGGGAGCCCCTCCCATCGAGCACAGGGCTGCTTCCAATTCAGGGGCAGGGCTGGCGGCAGAAGGCTCTGGCTCCAGGTGTGTTTTGGGGGAGGTTTGGGAAAGACCACCGGGTGTCCCATGGGGCTGGGCATGAAGGGCAGGGCTGTGGTGACATCTGTGAGCGTGTCCCCGCCGGGCTTGGGGTAAACACAGGATCAGTTGTTCTCAAACAGAGAAAGCAGGTCGTCATTGTTGTTCGTAGGGAGGTCGGGTGGGCCCAAGTAGGACAGTAGCTCATCAGGGTTGGTCAGTTCCGGGAGCAGCTGAGGACAAAGTGAACTCTGTTAGCAGCTTTGGTCACTGACTGGCCACACCTGAGTGACCATCCTGTCACCACATCCCGGCCCTGTCTCCAGGCACAGTGGGGATGCTGA
The DNA here is from genome assembly GCF_000001405.40 of Homo sapiens. Taxonomy (NCBI): domain Eukaryota; kingdom Metazoa; phylum Chordata; class Mammalia; order Primates; family Hominidae; genus Homo; species Homo sapiens. The sequence continues at coordinate 44,767,404 of NC_000007.14, read as the reverse complement.
GCAGCCCCTCCTCACACACAGGCCGGGTGCGGGGCCCCACCATAGGCCTGCATGTGCTCAAAGAGGCACACGCCACCCCCTGGGACCTCCCTGCAAGGTTGCTCTGGGGCCAGAACAGCTGGCAACATGCTGTTCAATACCACCAGGAAACGGGATGTGAGGGAGTGCAGCCACTCCACACTCCCTCTGTGCATCAGCCTGCGTGGGGATCCCCACCGTGATGCCCCAAGGTGAATGCTGGTGGTGGAATTCCATGCCCCTAGGATTTTCTGCTTGGAGCTGTTCTTCCTAACTTTTTCATGTTGAACTTCTAGAATGAGTTTCATGTTGAACTTCTAGAATGAGTTTCTATTATGGTCCAGGGACAGTCAGTTCTGTCCTTCATGTACTGAGTTTGCACTCCCATTCCACCTGTGAGTCAAGACCCAGGGCTACTGAGCAAATGGACAGACGAAATTTGACTCTAAGGACCGTGCTGTCAGCTTCCAGTGCAGTCTCCTCTGAGACTCTGCGTCCGCCCGTACGGCATCCAGGCCCCTCATGAACACAAATGTGGTACATCGCATCCCACCCGCAGCTACTCCAGGTATCTAATTCATGAACAAAAGCTGCATTTAGTTGACCTTATCTGACCGGCTCTCTGAGGGGTCACTGTCTTCCCTTCCAGAACGCACCTGGAACAGACACACCACCTCTAGCCCTGGCTCCCACGCACTCCCCCGCATGGGGCCTGGTACTCACGTCCAGAGCTGGTTCTGGGGCCTCCCCGGCTCCAGACATGCTGGGGGGCCCCATCACGCCTGTGGCAGGACTGAAGGCCAGTTCACCCGTAGGTCCTAAGCTCGCTTGGCCCAAGGACTGCCGGGACGCTGGGGGAGGGTTTGAATGGTGCAGCTGGGGACCTGGAGGGGCCCCAAGGTTGGAGGTGTGTAGTCCTGGTGTCCCAGGATTGTGAGTGGGGTCCAGGTGACCTGCTGGTGCCATCTGAAGACAGAGAGAAGAATTTGTTAAAACAGCTCAGGGGCTCCCCTGGGGAGACAGGGCCCCTTGGCCTCTCGGCTTGGCACTGACCTGGCTTGGGAGGCAGGCGGTAGACTTCTCTGAAGTCAGGAGGCTGCTGGGAATGTCAGACTGGTAGGAGATGGGGGGTGGTCCCGGGGTGAACTCAGCAAGGGTTGGGGTGCTGGGCGTGGTGGGTGGGAAGGACTCAGGGAAAGTTCCAGGCCCCAGGAAGCTGGAACCTGTGAGAGGAGAGTCGGGGCCTGGGTGAGGGCTGGGGAAGGCCACCGCTGGCAGAGGAGCCAGGAGGGAGGCTGGCTGTGGCATGGGTGGGACTTGCAGTGCTCACCCACAAACAACAGCGGGTTTTGCAGAAGTCGCTATTTGGAAAAGGGCATTTCTTCTCATTGCTGCCAAGGGAATTGGCCTTGGGACATTCCTAGGAGTGAAGGTCTCGGAGGTTATAGGAATGGGAGCAGCCACAAACAAACGCACCACGCGTGTGAGGTGGGTCCCAGAGGGGGGCCCCAGATGGGGCCAGTCCTGTGAGGTGTTCCAGCCAGGAGCCCCTTAATCCAAACGGGGAAGGAAGGGTGGAGGCCCCACTGTCTGTTTCCTGGGACCATAGCTGAGACTGTGCCTTCACCGCCACGTCCCTGAGATGGGAGGGGCTGGAGGTGCCCCGCGGCATGTTTTGTGTGGCAACACTGATAACCTAGGTGTGTGACCTGCATAGCCACATTCTTGCAGGTGAGGAGACTGATCTGGGGAGAGGAGCCATATGCCCAGGGTCATCTGAGGTTCAAGGCTAGCCTGCTGTACTTACCCTGGCCAGGGTAGTCGCTGGGGGCAGGGACTGAGGGGGGCTGCAGGGGGGCAAAGGGGGCAGCGCCGGGGCCCAGGGCGGCGATCATCTCCATCACGCTGGGCATGAGCACGTGGGCGGGGCTCACGGTGCGGCAGCGCTTCAGTGCTGGCCCATCCGGCTCCTCCTTGATGTGCATGTCAGGCTTCACGGGCACTGGCTTCCAGCTGCACGTGGGGTCGATGGTGATCTCCTCATAGTCAGAGCTGGGCAGGGACAGGTGGGGAATGGTTACCTCCTGGCCTGCTGCTGGCCCGGCACCCACTGCCCCTCCCAGCCCTGGGCTGTTTCCAGGCAGGTTCCCCCACTCAAATGCTTGCTTCCACCCAGCACCTTCCACATCGAGCAGGACGCTGGGCCCAGCACCAACACTCAGGTAGGACACACACGCTGTCTCTGGCCTGGAATCCAGCCTGCTCCATGCCGGAAAAAGGCTGGAAGGCTGCACTTGGCAAGGGACATCCCCCGACATGTCCTGGGGCTGCCCTCCAGTGGCCACAGATGCAGGGATCACAGGAAGAGGATGCTTACTTCTGAATGTAAATCAGGATGCCCAGCATGTACTGGTCCACCTCCAGGCCCTCCAGCAAAGCTGTCTTGCTGTGGGGAAAAAAAGGGACACAGCTCAGAGACCTTGCACAACCCTGTCCTGGGCACAGGCCCTGTCATTTCTCAGCCCTGTCAGCTGTGACCCTGCATGAGGCAATCCTGTGTGAGGCAACTGAACAAGGTAACTCTGTGTGAGCTGACCCTATGTGAGGTGACAGTACAAGGTGACCCTGTGTGACTGACCCTTGTGTGAGGTGAAAATACGAGGTGATCCTGTGCATGTGGTGACCCTGTGTGAAGTGACTCTGCACAAGGTGACTGCATGAGATGACCCTGCATAAGGCCACCCTATACGAGCTCTCTGCGCTGAGCTGCACAACCCCAGTCCATGCAGTGACTCCTCCCAGCAGGCTCGTATCTTTGATGATGCTGTTGGAGGTTTCACCCATGAAAGCCTCTAAAAGCACCAGCCCCTCCTCCATCACACGCTGCATCTGAGACTCACTTGCACACAGGACACCTCCAAGTCCCCCGCTCACAGTTGAGCTGCAGGTACGACTCCAGGTCAAAGCACTGTAGAGAGATGGGAAGAAAGTCAGTTTCTCATTGTGGGTAGCACAGGGAAAATCTGGTCACTCTGCAATCCCTTTTCAGGAATGTGTGACTTATTTACATGCATAACTGAGATACTGCATGTACCAGGTTTTCACTGCAACATCATTCTAATGGATCAAGGTTGGGAACAGCCCAAACAGCTCTCACTGAGACTGGAATGCCATGTGGCCAAAGCAAGCATCGGGCAGCTGTGCTGACTGGGACCCACTTCCAGAACATGGTATTTTTGTTTTGTTTCGAGACAAGAGTCTCGCTCTGTCACCCAGGCTGGAATGCAGTGGCTCGATCTCAGCTCATTGCAACCTCCGCCTCCCAGGTTCAAGCGATTCTCCTACCTCAGCCTCGTAAGTGGCTGGGATTACAGGCACACACCACCATGCCCCAGCTAATTTTTGTAATTTTAGTAGAGACAGGGTTTCACCATGCTGGCCAGGCTGGTCTCGAACTCCTTACCTCGATCTGCCCACCTCAGCCTCCCAAAGTGCTGGGATTACAGGTGTGAGCCACCGCGCCCAGCCTCAGAACATGGTGTTAAAAGAAGAAAAACGACAGCACAGAGCAGTTTGTGCAATAGGGACCACTATGTAACCACAGAGACAGTGGGCTGTGCATCTACTTGTTCATACCCAGAGTATTTCTGCAAAGACAGATGCTAACGATGGTCACCCTTGGGGGTAGGGCAGGAAGACTGGACCCTGCAATCTTATGCCTTTCAAAACTTGAACCCATGAATGAAGCAGGCAGTAAAAAAGTTAGTAAAATGACAATTATATTTGGAAGAAAAAATAGCCTAGTCTTGGGGGAGCCAGGCCCACCTGCCTCCTTGGCGTGGGAGGCCTGTCCTGTCAGCCTGACAGCCAAGGCACTCGGAGTTCACGTCTGTCCAGAGAATGACACTGATGTATCGACTCAAGATATTTTAGCAGCAGCAAATTCCGGCAAGACTCTGCAGTAACCACCTACCTGTATGTGGCGACAGTCATGACCTCGGGCAGGGAGCTGGATCCTGCGGAAGGTGATGGGGCACTTCAGGGACACCTTGATAGCTGTCTGCTCCACCCCGTCCTCTCCGTTGGGCCCAGGGGTGCCAGGGATGGTGCCGCTGCTGAAGTTCCGCTTTACTGACATCAACAAGGTAAAGGACTTGAGTAAAGGGTCCCCAAGATGGGGAGGTGTGAATGGGGATGCCAACGAGGCAGGGACCCAGTCACTGACCCACTGACAGCTCTGAGGGGCCACCTGGAACTAACCACTGCCCCTACTGCAGAGCCACCTGTCCAAGGAGAAGGCCTGGTGTGACACGAGGAGGTGCCCACAAGGAGGATTGTTGGGCTTGGGCCACACAGAATGGGGATGGCTGCCTGGCAGCTGAGGGGCAGGAGCCACTCACTCTTGGTGATGCAGTGCTCAGCAGGCAGGAGGCGCTTTTTGAGGAGGCCCTGCAGCACCGAGCGGACGGATGGGCGGTGCACTAGCTGCAGCACGAAGAGGTGGGACTGCAATACAACGGGAGGATGTCATCAGGGGGACTTGGGCCAGGGGCCACCCTGGCCAGGTAAAGGGTGTGCTGGGGGTTGTGTGTCAGGGGCTGCCAGGTGGGGGAGGGACAAGGCTGAGGGCAGGGTGAGCTGGGGGTGGGGATTCAGCCAACAAAACTCCTCAGTGGCTTGGCCCCATCCAGCTGCCTTTCCTGGCCTCAGCGCCCTGCCCACGCTTGTATCCATCTCTACAGCTGTGCTGGGCATCCTGCCGGTCTAACCATTGCCTAGTCACCACTTCTCCATGAAGAGAATCACCTCAAGTCCCCTTGAACGTTCCCCCTGCTCGCACATCCACAGTCACAGATGCTGGGTCTGTGTTGACATCTGCCACATCCCAGACAATGTGGTGTGTGGCCAACCCGTCCCCAAGGCCCTCATGCCCAGGCTGACTAGTGCACTCATAAGCCATGTCTTTCTTCTCTAGCCCAAGGGTGACCCTGATGCTTGCTAGAACCGGTAATGCTTGATCAGCCGGGGACTCCGAGCTCCATGAGCTTTCTGCATATCCTGGTTTCTCTTACATAATTAATGTGAGCATCAAATCTAGTCAATTTACTCTAACTGGAAAACAGCTAGGGTATATTACTGGATCGCTTTCTTAAAGGGCAAGGATGACAGATTAAAATAGAAATACAAGGCAGTAACAAAGAGAAGCAACGCATTTTTCTGAAATAATAAAGCCCCCACGTCCTGCTCTCCACCCTGCAAGGGGGCACACATGCTACAGCAGGCGGTGGACAGCAAAACAGCAGACGGCGGCATGATCTGATGGTGCTGCAGGCCGGCCCGCCCATGTCCTGGCTCCGCTCCCACTGCGCCGCTGGGCCAGGCCCCGCCCACACCCCGCCCCACCCCACGGCACCGCTGGGCCAGGCCCCACCACACCCCGCCCCACGCCACAGCACCGCCCCCTCGGCGCAGGACACGCACGCAGCAGCAGGCGGTGACGGTGATCTGGATGGTGTTGCGGCCTGGCTGGCACACATGCTTCAGGTAGAGTGGCTTGTGCGAGGTCTTGTTGTCGCCACGCTCGATGGTGAGCGGCGTGGCATTGACGCTGACCTGCACCGAGGCTGGCCAGTTGGTGTTCATCTGCCGGTCCTCGTGGTGGTAGCACTTGAATTGCAGCTCCAGGTCAGGCCTGCTCAGGAAGATGGGTGGACACCCAGAAAACGGGCCCTGAGAGTGTGGGAGGAGGAACAGAGCCTCGTGGGGGTCAGGTGGGGGCCAGGCGGAGCTCACCTCATTATCAGGGTCTTGTAGACTGAGTCTCGCAGCTGGAAGACATGGTTGCTTACAGCCAGGTTGTGCTGCAGGCGGAAGGGCTCCAGGACCACCCCATCGCGCACAGGGAAGGTCAGCCGCAACTCGTCACAAGGCCCGCTTCCTGGGAGCAGAGGCCACTGGCTGTGAGCTGGGTTGCCCCAGCCAGAGCGTCTTGTGTCACTCAAGGAGGGCAGCGGCTCCCCAGCCACCTTCCCCGCAGGGACCTTGGTGAAGGGAGCCCCTCCTGTCAGGCACTGCTTGGCAGGCCTGAGTGGTGCCCTGGGGCTGGGGCCATGGGCAGCATCTCTCCTGAGGCCTGGGCATTCGGTCGTGATGTTCTGTCTTGCCTCCTGCCTCAGCAGTCCAGCCCAGTGTCCCCTAAACCATAATAGGGGAACATGTCCCCAGCCCAGACAAAAGGTGTTTCCAGTGCTTTCAGAGAGACTGGGAGGCCAAGGTGTGTGAGAGCCTCCTGCAATTGCCCTATAGCTCTGTTTAGAGTTCTACGATCCCAACTTCTGCTGCTGTGGTCTCCCTGGAATGGGCTTCCGGGGTTCATAAATCCCCTGAAATTATATACAACATTTTGTGCACAGGGGAGAGAAGAGCCACAGCCTCCTTTGCAAAGAAAGCCACAAACAGAACAAAAAGGTGAAGGCTTGGCACTAAGCGACTTGTCTTTAAGAAGATGGAATCCTTGGCCTTTTTTTTTTTTTTTTTTAAGACAGGGTCTTGCTTTGGGACCCAGGTTGAAGTGCAGTGGCAAGATCACACTCACGGTAACCTTGAACTCTTGTGCTCAGCCTCCGAAGGTGCTGGGATTACAAGTGTGAGCCACCACACCCAGCCCTTTTCTTAGGGATATGGCAGCCATCCCCTGTCCCCCAAGCTCCTACAGGACTCTCTGGAGTCCTGTGATTCCCCCATGCCCACCCTGGCCTTGTCACCCCGCTGTCCCAAGAGTGGACAGACTTACCAGAGGGCGATGAGTGCAAGGAGTTGAGGTTGGGCTTGAGATCAGGCAAGAAGGGAGACTTGACCTCTTGGTTTGGTGACATGTAAGGGACGCTGCTGCTTGGGGTCATGGGTGGCGTGGGGTTCCCTGGCAGTGGGGAACTGGGATAGCCCGGGATGGAACGGGTAGGCTGTAGGGTTGAGCACAAACAGTCAAGGCAGATTGCCAGGGTGGATGGGAGTGGAGTCTGTTCACGGCGCACCCACTGGGAACCATGATAACAGAGGTGGACAGGAGGCGGCCCCAGGGGTGCCTGCCCGGTCGCCCTCTCTCCATATGCCCACCCTGTGAGCCTCCCGGCCCATCCTCCCGGCCAGGCCCCCTACCCCACTCAGGCCAGGTTGGCTGTAGCTGACGCTGCCCCCGTTGAAGCTGGCGCCCTGCCCGTTGAACTGCTCTGTGGGCTGCGGGAGAGAAAACTGCATGCACCTGGGGCTCCAACCTGACCCCTGCCGGGCCCCCTGGACCTGACCCTAGAAGCCCACCATACACGGTCTTCTTTACACTCTCTTGTATTTTCCAAATAATCTACAAGTAACACTACTTAAAGCAATCATAGCCACAGAGGAAAATGATCAAACAGGTTGGAGGGGCTGAAAAGACAAAAGCACGCTAAGCCCTCCTCCTCTCCTCCCCCAAGCTGCACCACCCGGCGCACCCAGGCTCCCAGGGAGGTAGGCTCTGCCCATGCACCCAGAAAGGGTACATGGCCAGCAGCGAGGGCCTGTCCTCTCAATGGATTTCTCTGCAGCAAGTAGAAGGAATGACACTTTTCCATAAAGAACATTCAAATGTTTTGGGTACCCACCTGCTGCTCCCTGCACAGGATACCCCTGAGATATATGAATCTTGTAGAGGGTCCTTTCGGAACTGGATCCCAAACCCCAGGAGCTGCTCCTGCACTGGTCAGAATGCCCCCACCCCCCACCCCCCATCTCCTGTAGAGCTGTGGTCCATGAGCACACATGGACCTACACATCCTGCTGGCCCCTTTAGCCACCCTGTCGCTCTCGAGGACAGGACTGCCCCAAGGTCCCCTGTCCCACAGCACTCAGCACGGAGCCCGGCACAGGGCCTGGAGGAGCCTGCCCTACCTTATAATGCAGTCCCGTGGGGCCAGGCACGGACAGGGACTGGGTCATGCCCTGCTGCAGGGGCAGCCTGTGCCCAGGGTAGGAAGGGGAGGGGGCAGGGGGCTGCCCAGGGCTGGGCGCAAACTGGGCGGTGCTGGGTGCATACTGGCCTCCTTGCAGATACTGCTGCCCTGGATACACCTGAAAAAGAGGCAAAATGCCCGAGGGGAGAAAAAAGGCATCAGGGGAGCTGGTTCCAGAAGGAAGTAGAGTCTCATGTGTGGCAGGGTTCGGGGAATGGAGATTTCCTGGTTCCCTTGAAGATCCTGCTGTGACACTGTCAGGCACAGGCAGTTCTCACATGCAGAAGCCTGTTTTTTTTTTTTTTTTTTTTTTTAATTTGAGACAGTCTCACTCTGTTGCCCAGGCTGAAGTGCAGTGGTGCAATCTTGGCTCACTGCAGCCTCCACCTCCTGGGTTCAAGCAATTCTCCTGCCTCAGCCTCCCAAGTAGCTGGAATTACAGGTGCACACCACCACGCCCGGCTAATTTTTTTTTTTTTTTTTTTGAGATGGAGTCTTATTCTGTCACCCAGGCTGGAGTGCAGTGGCATGATCTCAGCTCACTGCAACCTCTGCCTGCTGGGTTCAAGCAATTCTCCTGCCTCAGCCTCCCAAGTAGCTGGGACTGCAGGCGCCCGCCACCACACCCGGCTAATGCTTTTTGTATTTTTATTAGAGATGGGGTTTCACCATGCTGGCCAGGCTGGTCTTCAACTCCTGACCTCGTGATCCACCCGCCTTGGCCTCCCAAAGTGCTGAGATTACAGGCGTGAGCCACCGCGCCCGGCCTAATTTTTTCTATTATTAGTAGACATGCGGTTTCACCACATTGGCCAGGCTGGTCTTGAACTCCTGATCTCAAGTGATCCACCTGCCTCAGCCTCCCAAAGTGTTGGGATTACAGGCATGAGACAGCATGCCCGGCTTTTGCTTTTTTTTTTTTTTTTTGAAACAGGGTCTCACTCCTGTTGCCCAGCCTGAAGTGCAGGGGAGCGATCACAGCTAACTGCACCCTCAACTTTCTGGGTTCAGGCGATCCTCCCACCTCTGCCTCCCAAGTAGCTATGACTACAGCCACATGCCACCACACCAGGCTAATTTTTGTAGAGACACGGTTTCGCCATGTTGCCCAGGCTGGTCTCAAACTCCTGAGCTCAAGGGATCCACCCTCCTTGGTTTCCCAAAGTGCAGGGACTACAGGCGTGAGCCACCATGCCCAGCCAGAAGCCTGCTCTTTACCACAGCTCTAAAGAGTGCCTGGGTGAGGGAGTTGGTACCCAAGGCCCCAAACTAGGTGACCTGGACACTCACCTCAGAGTAGGTTCTCTTGACCCCCTGTCGGGGCAGTGGCTGGGCCTGGGGAGGCCCAGGATACCCATGTTGGGGCAGACGCTGCCCTGCATACAAGGGTGTCATTCCTGCTGCCCGGGTGGGGTTCATAGCCAAGGGGGAGAGGCCAGAGGGGCCCATTACCCCTCCTATGCCAGTAGGGTTCATGCCAGCGGGGACACTAGGCCCCCGGGGACCTCCATGCTGCAGAAACTGGCTGTTAAAAGACTGTCCGGCCCCCATCTAGGAAGAGAAAAAAGAAGAATGGTCCAGGTCCCACCCACAAAGGGCTCCAAAAGATAGGCATAAAACCCGCCCACCCACCCATGTGGGCACCATACCCTTTCACAGGACACCCCAGAAACCTCTCCCCTCAGACCCTCACTCCTTCCCACACATCTCTCTTTTACTGGCTTCATGAGCCCTGGCATATTCCATGCTTGTCCCTGGAGCCCACTGTCTGGCTGAGTACCTCCTCCCAGGCCCTCAGGCTGGCTGCCATGTGGGAGGAGCTGCTGAGGGGGCTCACCGCTCCATACTGGCTCAGCTCCTGGCTCTGCTTCTCCTGGAGAGCAGCCACGGTGGCTGTGGCTGTGGCGGTGGCAGTGGCTGCCGCAGCAGCCACAGCTGCAGCAGCTGCCGCTTGCGTGAAGTCAGTGGAGGGTCTTGCAGCATGTGAGGGGAGGCCCAGGCCCCCCGGGCCGCCTGCATACCTGCAGGAGACACAGGATTGCCACGCTCTCTGCGTGGGCTCATGAGGGCCAGGACTGTGCTCACCCCAGAGGCATGCAGCACCCAGGGGGAGCCCATTCTTTCTAGACCCTCCACTACAGCTGTCAGGAAGCAGAGAGGGAACGTCCAGCTGATCAGCGCCACAGTTCTGAGGTGCCTGCCAGATTGATGGCTCCTAGCATACCTGCCAGGTGAGGGAACTTGCTTACCCGGTGGTGAAGCCGGGGGCCCCAGGGTAGCCCCCGCGGCTGTACACGCCTTGCTGCACGTAGCCCTTGTTGGCGCCGCCTTCAGCAAACGCCTGCTGTCCCAGGCACTGTGGGGAGGTCAAGGCGGAGCTGCCCCCTGCCACACCAGGCATCATGGAGCTGCCAGAGGGACTCCCTGCAGGGCCCATGGGGTTCCCCAAAACCTATGAGGAAGCAGGAATCACCAAAGGGAACCAGCCAAACAACGTGCTTCATGCAGCAGCTCCAAAGTGCTAGAAACCAACAGGCCTGGCAAGTGGGTTGGGGGAGAGGTGGGGGGGACAGGGTATAGCACGGGAAGCAGGGAAAGCAGCTGTCCACAGGGAGGTTGGGGCATTTTGTGAAGGCTAGGTGAAGACAGGAGAAGAAAATCCCACAGCAGGTGTGGAAAGAGAACCAGTGTCCAAAGACTTAGGGGACTCAGGAGGCCCCATCCTCATATGTCATGCCTCAGCCTCTCTGTCCTCACCTCTCAGCCTCTTCGTCTCTCAGAGCTCTGAGGAGGCACTAAGCACTGCCAAGTGCTGGGAGGCTCTGTCTGCTCGGGGGTGGGGCACCAGTGGGTGCTTACCTGGCTCTGTGTCGCGTTGCCAACTCCCCACACAGTAGTGACCACAGACAGCGATCCAGCCGGCTGAGTGGCGCTTTGTTGCCAAGGCACAGACTCATATGCGAATGAACCATCACTGCAGGGAAAGAGGCTGCTGAGGCCTGGGTCAGGAAGCCACTGGTGTCCAAGAGTCTAGGATCTTCCAGAAATGCCACCCCCAACCCCAGGGCCTGAGGGGTGGGCAGAGGAGCCCACACTCACCCGTGTGGCGCAGGGGGCAGGGCAGGTTTCATGGGGTTCATGGAGTTCATTGGCAATGGAGCAGCCTACAGGCCGGGTCTGACAGTTTTTATCTGGAACTCAGCTGCTCTGGCTGCCCGACAGGAAGGAAGGGATGTTAGCTGCGATGCAGCCAGGAGACCCTTTCAGCAGGGTGGAGGGACCCCGGTGCCAGCAGGCCCCACCTCTTTCTCAATAAGGGACCCCTGGGCTCTGATGGCAGGCAAGGCAGTGGAGGGGCCTAGTACTGACCCACCCCACTCACTCTGGTGAGGATCTGCCCCCACAAATACAGCCTGGAGGCCAGCATGAACCCTTTCTGACCAGGCCCTGCCACCCAGAGTCCCTGGATCAGCCCTAGAGATGGACTTCCCGATTCCAAATACTTTCCCCACTCTCCCGCCCACACCGAGGCCTGGCTATCCTTATAAAGCCAGGGACAATCCTAGCTACCCCGTGGAAACTGGGGTTTAGAGAGGAGCCAGTAGCCAGTAACCCCACAGAAGGCCCTGGGGTGAAGGACAGAGGGCAGTGGAGGTGAGGGGACTCCCTGCTAAAGGTCTTGTCTACCCTGAGTAGCCCAGGTAGGGGCATAGGCGGTTCTGGAGGCCAGGGGCTGAGAAAGCCGAGGAGGAGAGTGCAGGGGTGCGGTGATCACAGGAGTGCAGTGGTCAACCAACAACTCTCCATCCTGGCCTTGGGGAGGGACATGCAGGATACCTCCTGAAATGGGGTGTGGGGCCAGTAACCTGGGCTCTGGCTAGCAGCCCCTCCCAACAAGAAGGCCCTCTTTAGGGTAGTAGAAGGGCTCCAGGCCAGGGCACCTCAGAACTGACCCAGATTCCACCAAGTGGGGGCTGCCCGAGGCTGATATGGTCCTAGGGGCCAGGCAGGCAGACCCACTGGCCCATCCATGACACCCCCAGGAGAGGGCAGGGACACACAGCACAATAGATGGAGGGTGGGCACCCACAGACCTGGCAGGGACTGTGACTTGGCCAGTGTTTCTAAGAAAGGGGCTGGGGAGACATTGAAGTGACTCTGCAAGATGGGGCTGAGTGGATACCAGTGACCTGGTGCTCAGGACAGGGCAGCAGAGGGGGTGTGTCAGGGAGGACGCATGCAGGACCACAGTGCTGGCACCATGGGACTTACATGTGCCACGCTAAGTTTGCTCTCCCCATTTAGTAAATAAGCCACGGAAGTGACCACACCTTCAGGCTGCTTCTGAGTGCCACGCCTTCCGACACTGCCACAAGCAAGCCCCTTACCAAAGCAGGCCCAGACATGCCCTGGAGCCCTGCCCCTGAGTGTCCCTGAAGGGCCCTCACTGGCACTACCCTGGGTTCTGACACTCCCAGGACCACCTGACATGTCCACCTCTGCCTGCCTAGGCTATCCACAGAGGAACACTGGCTGCAGCACAGGAGAGGCCGCTTCAGCTGTTTCTCAGGAGTCCCCAGGCATGCTCGCCTTGGATACTACTCCCTTTTAGGGCCTACAAGGCTGCCACACACACAGACATGCCACCTGAGGCGTGCTGACCACTGGTGCCATCCTGCCATCGCAGCACTCACATGGCCTCTCCCTGCCCCAGGAGAGGGTGGCCCCGCATTCATCTAGGCTGCCATTTCTTGTGCTGACCGAGGGCCTCACCAATGGAGGTAGGAACAGCCTCACCCCTCAAAATATAGACCTGGAGATTCTGAGGGCGAGCTGTGTGCCCAGGGCCCCAGAGCAGGTGAGAAGTAGAGCTGAGCTCTGCCTGGGGAGTCTAAGCATGTGGCCTTTCACTGGATCTTCCCATCACCGAGCACTGGGACTGGGGGGTACCAATTAGGGAAGAGGGAGAGGGCAGTGTTCTGGACTTCCTCACACCCTCAGGGGAGGCAAGACTTGATTCCCAGCCCATAGGCTCCTCCCCTTGCTCCCCCAGACCAAGTCCTGCCCAGGAAGCAGGGGTGAAGAAAACCAGGGGCTGATGGCTCCAGAAGGCTCCAGGCACCTGGACTCTAGGCAAGAACAGGCCTGGGAGCTGAGATGGCCCAGCCAGGCAAGGTAGGGGTGGCAATCCCAGTCCCATAGCCTGACTCAGGAATAGTGATGTTGGGGGACAGAGGAACCTGCCAACAGCCAGAAACTCCTCCCCAGAACTGCTGGGTGGGGCCTTGAGCAGCCATACACAGATTTTAGGACTTAGAATATAGATATGGTAATCAAAACTGTGTGGTACCAACATGGGAACAGAACCATGGGCCAACAGGCGAGACCAGAGAATCTGAAATTGATTTGCACAAATAGGCCCAAACAATGTCTGACAAAGGTGCGAGAGCAATTCAAAGGAGGAAGGACAGCCTTTCCAACCAATGGTGCTGGGACAATGGAGCAACTGGGCATCAAAACAACAAACAAAAAACACCTAAACTTCACACCTTATACAGAAAGTAACTCAAAATGGTTTATAGATTTAACTGTAAAACATAAATCTATAAAATATTCAGGAAAATATATAGGAGAAAATCTTTGTGATCTAGGCCAAAGAGCTCTTAGACCTGATACCAAAGGCATGATCCATAAAAGAAAAAAACTGATAAACTGGACTTCATCAAAATTAAAATTTTTCCTTCGGGAAAGGCCCTGCTAAGAGGATGAAAAGATAAGTTACAGGCCAGGAGAAATATTTGCAAGCTGCATATCCAACAAAGGACTAGTATCTAGAACATATAAAGAATTCTCAGCCAGGCACAGTGGCTCACACTTATAATCCCAGCACTTTGGGAGGCCGAGGCAGGAGGACTGCTTGAGCCCAGGAGTTCAAGATCAGTCTGGGCAACAGAGTGAGACCCCCGACTCCTCAAGAAATTTAAAAATTAGCTGGGCGTGGTGGCATGCACCTGTGGTCCCAGCTTTTCAGGAGGCTGCAGTGGAGGGATCACTTGACCCCAGAAGGTGGAGGCTGGGGTGAGACATGATCATGCCACTGTACTCTAGCCTGGATGACAGAGTGAACCATGATTTAAAAAACAAAACAAAACAAAAAAAGAATTCTCAAAACTAAAAAAAAAAAAAATTAAAATTAAAAACTCCAATTAGAAAATAAGCAAAAAACATAAAGAGACACTTTGCCAAAGAGAATATACAGATGGCAAATAAGCATAAGAAAAGATGCTCAGCATCACTAGTCAGTGGGGAAATGCAAATTAAAACCACAGTGAGATATCACTATACATCCATCAGAATGGCTAAAATAAAAAATAGTGACATCACTAAATGCTGGCAAGGAGAAACTGGATCTCTCACACATTACTAGTGGGAATGTAAAATGTACAGCCACTCTGGGAAACAGTCTGGCCGTATCATATGGAACTAAGCAAGCAGCTACCCTACTATGACCCAGCAACTGCACTTGTACGCATTTATCTCAGAGAAATGAAAACTTATGTTCACATAAAAACCTGTACACAAATGTTTATAACTGCTTTATTTGCAAGAGCTATGGAATGGAAACAGCCCAGATGTCCTTCAATGGATGAAGAGTTAAATCAACGGTGGTACATCCATAGCCCGGATGCAATATAAAGGAATGAACTACTGATATATGCAACAACCTGGATGAATCTCCAGAGAATTAATGCTCGGTGGAAAAAGCCAATCCCAAGAGGCTACACGGTGTACGATTCCTTTATTTAGCATTCTTGACACACCAAAATTAGGGAAATGGAGAACAGATTGGTGATTGCCAGGGGTTAAATGTGGGGGTAAAGAGAAAGGTACTAATCTCTTCTCCATTTCTGTAATTTTGGCAGGAGGAAGGTGGGCGTGAATATAAGAAGGCAACAGGCTGGGCACGGTGGCTCACGCCTGTAATCCCAGCACTTTGGGAGGCTGAAGTGGGCAGATCATTTGAGGTCAGGAGTTCGAGACCAGCCTGGCCAACATGGTGAAACCCCAACTCTACTAAAAACATAAGAATTAGCTGGGCAAAAACTAACCGGGCGTAGTGGTGGGCGCCTGTAATCCCAGCTACTCAGGAGGCTGAGGCAGGAGAATCATTTGAACCCAGGAGGTGGAGGTTGCAGTGAGCCGATCGCACCATTGCACTCCAGCCTGGGCAGCAAGAGTGAAACTCCATCTCAAAAAAAAAAAATAGAAGGCAACAGGCTGTAACCTCTTTACTGTATCAGTGTAGTGTCCTGGTGCAATGTTGTACTAGTTTTCCAAGATGTTACCATTGGGGCAAACTGGGTAAAGGACAGAATAAATCTCTCTGTGTCATTTCTTATAATGCACATGAATCTTTAATTTTTTTTTTTTCTTTTTGAGATGGAATCTTGCTCTTTCACCGAGGCTGGAGTGCAGTGGCACGATCTAGGCTCACTGCAACCTCCACCTCCCAGGTTCAAGCGATTCTCCTGCCTCAGCCTCCTGAGTAACTGGACTACAGGTGTACACCACCATAGTCCATGCCTGGCTAATTTTTGTATTTTTAGTGGAGATGAAGTTTCGCCATGTTGGCCAGGCTGGTCTTGAACTCTTGACCTCAAGTGATCCACCCACCTCGGCCTCCCAAAGTGCTGGGATTAGAGGTGAGCACCACTGTGTCCAGCCAATAATTTCAAAATAAAAAGTTTAATTACAATACAACTGCTACCACCAGCCTTCTGTCTCCGCAGAACTGCTGTGACAATCTTTCCCCACTAGAAAGCTGGTTGGGTTGGCTGGCCACTTTGCTGTCCCAAGAACAGAGAGGGAATCTGGCAGGCAAGCAGATGTGCCCCCTCCCCCGCCCGTGGTCAAAGGCCTCAAAGTGCAGGCAGCACTCTGTGCAGCACTGCCTCATTTTAGGTCACCTAGGGCAGCAGCTCCCCAACTGCAGCACATCAAAACCAGCTCGCAGCTGGTGATGACAGGCTGCCCAGCCCCACCTGAAGTCAGTAGGATGGGCTGGGGCCTAAGCCCAGAATTTCTAACAAGTTTGCAGCTACTGCTGCTGCTGGTCCAGGAACTGTAGTTTGAGAACCTCAGATCTAGGAAATGCAGTGAGCTGGGGAGAAGGAGCACAGGGCAGGTACAAGGAGGGGAGGAGCCCACAGCAGGCTCCTATGTCACATGAGCCTGGGGAATTCCACCCCTGATGGTTCTCTGCTGTGGACAGAGACCACAAAGATTTCCAGTTCCCTCTGAGCTTACTCTTCACTGCACAGGGGGATTTCCTGCCGACCCGAACTCATGCCTCTGGTCTCCTCTCTGAGGACAGTCTCTCTGAAAAGACTTCCAGTCTCCAGGTCTGGTATCCTTGACCCTGTGCCCCTGATGATAGGATAGTGTTCTGCGTTGTGTGTGTGCAGATCCTCTTCTCATCTCCTGGCTTTGAGTCTGGGTTGGGAACAAGCCTGGAGCCTGGAATCTGGATCCCAGATCATGCAAGGCCCATGCCCACCAAGGGTCTTAGTGCCTGGCGCTTTCCTTGTAAACTAACTCCAGCTGGAAGCTAGGACCCCTTGAGAGATGGACAAGGTCAGTCTAGAGGGCCACAAGGCTTTCTCGGGGGTCAGATCACATCTTCCTCTAGACAGAGTTACAGAACTCACTACCCCAGACCTCTCTTCCCCAAATGTCCCAGAGTAGCTGCACCCCCAAGTCTCCTGGTTGACCTCCTGAGCCTTGTTCCATGCCACCTCTCTGCCTGCCTAGTCAGCTAGGAGCAGGACCAGCAAGTGGGCCCTGTGGCAGGCAACGCTTCTCAATAGGTCACACATCAGGACTCACTGTCTCCAAGATTGCAGGGTCAGGATCCAACCCAGGTGACAATGGAGTCAAAGGGTATTGAAGAAATGATGGCTGTGGAATGTTGCAGGAGCGGGGTCCTTGGTAGCAAAAAGTGGGGTACTCACATATACAGGTAGCTGAAAGTCCTGCCCCCTCTACCTGTAAGGCCACAGTACTAAAATGTCTAAGCGTGGGGCTAAGTCAGGATGCAGAGTTCATCAAAAAGTCCAGGAATAAGCAATGGCCCAGGCATGAGACATTTCAGTGAACAGCTGAAGGGACAACCTTAACCTGGCATCAGTTTACAATGTGTAAGATGGATATCTGGTAGCATCCTAGGACTGAGGACACATGACCACCTTCATGTCATCAGCCCTTGGGAGCTCAATCCCAATAATCAGGATGCTCCCCAAACATCTTAGGCCTGTCCTTCAGAAATCTACAACCGGCAACTGTCACCTGCTTGTTCTCTTCATTTACACTTCCAGCTTGTAACTATCCCCTGGGCATGACAAGGGCTAGAGGTCAGTACCTCTGGAAGTTAAGATTCCTTCACTTCTCCTGTTTCCACACTAAGCATCAAGGGATGCCCTCTGGTTCTAGCTTGCCAGAACTTGGTGGTGAGTCTGTGTCCATCCTATCCGTAATCACCACGGTCTCAGACCAAGTCACATGTTCCGTGTGTGTCCCTGTGAAATCTGCGATGACACAAATTAAAGACACCACCATGGATGTTCTGTAATACTGGAAAGAGGGTACCCTAGGGAGAAGGAGAGGCAGAACACTGCAGGGCAGAGGGTCCAGGGAATGGGAGGAGAGACACGGTAGGTGGAGGGGTAAACAAGGCACCGGGTGGGGGTGCCGCGGTGAAGGACACCTGGCACTAGGGAAGACAAGGCACCTCAGGGGAGCAGGGCATCCTCACGCCTGAGCTTCAGTATGTCCAGTTTGGAAAGGGGTGTCCCCATCAAAACTGGCAGCTGGGGGCTGGCCGCTCAGCGTCGTTCAGCCCAGGAGCGGAACAGCTCCTCCGCGAGCAGGTGACGGCCTCAGACGGCCCCCACATCGCCGTGCTGGTGGGCACGTAAGTAGGAGCGGAGGGGCGTACCATGTAGGTGAGACTGCCTGGCCCCAAAGCTAGGAACGATCAGGTTGGAGCGAAGGCCCGGCCAGCCTTCATCGCTCAGGAGAACCCCGAGCGCCGCTTACACCCCTCGGCCAGCCTCCAACAAAGACTCAGGGGAGGGCTGGATGACCCTGACGCCCACGGGGCCGAGCCTGCCCAAGACCACGACGCACGCGTGGCAGGTGCCGGCAGGTGGGCGGCAGAGCCTCTAGCCCCAGCCCAGCTGTGAACCCTACCGTGGCGCCGCAGCGGAACCGGGGCGCCCCGGGCGACCAGCTACACCTGCCTGCCCGCCCGCACCTGCCGGCCCGCACCTGCCGCACCTGCCTGCCCCCGCCGGCCCACACCTGCCTGCTGGCGGCGTTGCCAGGGGCCACCCCCAGGACCCCGCTCACCTCCGCCCGGCCTGGCCCGGCCCCTCGCCGTGGCGGCCCCCGGCCCGCGCCGCTCCATGCGCTCAGCCCGCCCTCCGCGCCGCCCGCCGCCCCGGGGCCGCCGCCACCCGCGCCATCGCGCCGCCGCCCGCTCCGAGGGCACAATGGAGCCGCCGCCGCGCCGCTCATGCATATGCATGACGCCGCGCAGCCGGCCCCGCCTCCCAGGCCAGAGCAGCAGAGCCCCGAGCCGGCGCTCGGGGCGGGGGCGGCCGCGAGCCCGAGCGGCCCAAAGCGGCAGGGTGGGGCCAGGGCCGCAGGTGGCTGGGCGGGCAGGAGACGCAGCCTGATCGCGACCTGCGCCCCCAGCCCCCTCCACACCTTTCTGAACGCGGCGTCGGCAGAGCCACTGCGCTCTTCCTGCTCGCAGTCCGCCGGGAGCGGGGCGGGGCCGGGCGGCGGAGGCGGGGCCAGGACGCCGGGGCGGGGCCGAGTGGAAGGCGGGGCCAAGGTGCCGGGGCGGGGTCGGGAGGAGGAGGCGGATCCAGAGAGCCGGGGTGGGGCCAGGGCTCGGGGCGGGCCCCGGCGGAGGAGGAAAGGAAGAGTGAGTCCTTGCCCTTCCCCCACCCGCCCCGCCCGCGCCCCGCCCGCGCCCCCCCTGCTTCCTGGGAGTCCATTGCTCTGGCCCGGCGGGCGGGGACACGACTGGGAGACAGAGAGACCCAGGGTGCCACTTTTGGGAGGGGATCTTATTAAAGGACTCCGGAAGCCCCTCGTTAAAGCAGAAAACTAAACTTAACAAGTTCGCTGTCCTCACTGCTCAGTTCTCTCTTCCCAGTGGTTCTCCTTCTGGAAAAAGTCACTATTGAGCTAGTCTAGCCTGATGGAATAGCCTCTCTGATCAGTTTCGATCTTTGAAATGCTATTATCAGCCTTTAAGTTATTCTTGACTTTTCCTACCGTAAGTTGAGGAAGACCACATTCTCTCAACTACCCATAATTAATTTTTCTTAATTGTGGTAAAATACACATAACGTAAAACTTACCATCTTAACTGTTTCCAAGTGTAGTTCTGTGGCACCAAGTACATTCACATTCTTGTGCAACCACCAACCGTCTCCAGGACTTTTTCATCTTCTCAAATGGAAACTCCATACCCAGTAAACACTAGCTCCCCATTCTTTCCTCCTCCTAGCCTTTGGCATTCACTATTCGTCTCTAAATTAGACTACTCTAAGGACATCGTATAAGTGGAATCATACATTATATGTCTTTTTGTGACAGTCTTACTTTAGTTAGCACAGTGTCCTCACTTCCATCCATGTTGTGGCATGTGTCAGAATTTCTTTCTTTCTTTCTTTCTTTCTTTCTTTCTTTCTTTCTTTCTTTCTTTCCTTTCTCTCTCTCTTTCTTTCTTTCTTTCTTTCCTTCCTTCTTTCCTTCCTTCTTCCCTCCCCTTCCCTTCCCTTCTTTTTTTTGACGGAGTCTCACTCTGTCGCCAGGCTGGAGTGCAGTGGTGCAATCTCGGCTCACTGCAACCTCCACCTCCCAGGTTCAAGCGATTCCCCTGCCTCAGCCTCCTGAGTAGCTGAGACTACAGGGGCACGCCACCACGCCTGGCTAATTTTTTTGTGTGTGTGTTTTAGTAGAGACGGGGTTCATCATGTTGGCCAGGATGGAATCGATCTCCTGACCTCGTGATCCGCCTGCCTGGGCCTCCCAAAGTGTTGGGATTACAGGCGTGAGCCACGGCGCCCAGCCCCTTCTTTCTTATGGCTGAATAATATTCCATTGTATGCATATTCCACATTTAAGTTATCCATTCATCTATCAATGGATACTCCACAATTAATTTTTGACATTGTTGAAATTTCTTCCCTGAAGGCCGCCTCTGAACTCTGTGCTCTATTTCTTTTGGGAATCATTCGTTCATTGAACAAATATGGCAGGCCTGCTGTACAACAGTCCCTGGTCTGGGGTCTGTGAACACTGGTCTGTCCCCAGGAACCAGGAGAATAAGGCCCCTCCATCCATACAGCAAGCATGTTAGAGGGGACAAACAGAAGGAAATGAGTTAACAGGTAACAGTGTGTCTGTCAGAAAGAGTGTTAGGAAGAAAACTAAATCAGGGCCAGAGAATGGGGAGGGAGTGATGAGGTATGAGGGACGGATTCTCTGTGGAGCTGGCCCTGAAGAAGAGACCCAAATGAAGGGGGAGGCAGGCACCAGGGGACCCTGACCATTCCTCTGTCTCGGAAGAGGCTGCATGTATGGGGGAGTTGCAGGCAGGTTTGTGGAGGATGCTGGAAGTGGCCACGCCAAGCATCCCAGGTGCCCCCAGGGCAGGCATCTCTCTCACCTCCTAACTGCTTCAATAATTCCTGCCCTGCTCCCCTGGGAAAGGCCACCTGGTGTCCACTCCTTTCTAGGGAATGTTTTCATTTTCTACTATATGATGAATTGTTAAGAAAGTCTTCCTTGAGGCCGGGCACAGTGGCTCACGCCTGTAATCCTAGCACTTTTGGAGGCCAAGATGGGTGGATCACCTGAGATCAGGAGTTCGAGACCAGCCTGGCCAACATGGTGAAACCCTGTCTCTACTAAAAAATACAAAAATTAGCCAGGCATGGTGGCGTGAAACCCTACTCTACTAAAAATACAAAAATTAGCCAGGTGTGGTGGCATGCACCTGTATTCCCAGCTATTCGGGAGGCGGAGGCAGGAGAATCGCTTGAACCCGAGAGGCAGAGGTTGCAGTGAGCTGAGATCGCACCACTGCACTCCACCGTGGGTGACAGAGCGAGACTCTATCCCCCCACCATCACCCCCCCAAAAAAAAAAGTTGCCTGGCGCGGTGGCTCACGCCTGTAATCCCAGCACTTTGGGAGGCCGAGGCAGGCAGATCACGTGAGGTCAGGAGTTCGAGACCAGCCTGGCCAACATGGTGAAACCCTGTCTCTACTAAAAGTACAAAAATTAGCCGGGCATGGTGGTGTGTACCTGTAGTCCCAGCTACTCGGGAGGCTGAGGCAGGAGAATTGCTGAACCCGGGAGGTGGAGGTTGCAGTGAGCCGAGATCACACCACTGCACTCCAGCCTGGACGACAGAGTGAGATTCTGTCTCAAAAAAAAAAAAAAAAGTCTTCCTCATTTACTAGAATAAAAAAACTGCCTTATTGAAGCTTTTCCTCTACAAGTGCATAAAATAAGAATCATCACTTTGTTATTTGACAGCTCTTCAAATATTAAAAGCAACTTCTCAATCCCCCAGTCTTCTGTTGGAGGAATAATGCTCCCAGTTCCTTAAGTGTTAACAGTAACACAATTTTCAGATCCTGTACCAACTGGCCACTCTCCTTTAGACAGGCACCAGTTAGACAATATCGCTTTTAAAATGTGACACCAGAAAGGGAACCTGATATCCTAAATGTAATCAGCCTAGCCCAGCGTCCAGGGGCTCCTGCGAGTCCACAGTCTCCTACAGTTGGTGTGGCCTTAACCTGAATTTGGTTTTTAACCAGTTTGGGTACCCCCAGTTACTATGACTCTTGACTTGCAAAACTAACTTTAAAAAGAAAAAGGTAGGCCGGGCGCAGTGGCTCACGCCTGTAATCCCAGCACTTTGGGAGGCCGAGGTGGGCGGATCACGAGGTCAGGAGATCGAGACCATCCTGGCTAACATGGTGAAACCCTGTCTCTACTAAAAATACAAAACATTAGCCAGGCATGGTGGCGGGCCCTGTAGCCACAGCTACCTGGGAGGCTGAGGCAGGAGAATGGCGTGAACCCAGGAGGTGGAGCTTGCAGTCAGCGAAGATCACGCCACTGCACTCCAGCCTGGGCGACAGAGCGAGACTCCATCTCAAAAAAAAAAAAAAAAGAGAAAGGTGCTGCTGCTCCTTTGCATACAAGCGGTATATTCTCATTGTGGAAAATACAGAGAAATGTTCAAAATACCTTAAAACTGTTCAGAGATAATTCCAGTCAATTGTTTGCTCTGTTTTTTTCCCAGATGGTTCTCTTTGCATATCTTGATGTTGTGGAGAATATGGCATATGTATGATTTTGCATTCTTATTTTTTCACATTATCAACATAAACATTTCCCTTACAAGCATTATCTGTGTTTCTCACAAAATAAATACTTCAAAGATTTATTTACAAGGATGTTTGCTGTGACATTAGGATATTGAAAAATTACACACAAGCTGTATTCATTCATTCAACAATTTTCTGTTGAGCTTCTACTGTGTGCCAGATACCACTCTCAGTGCTGGAAACATGGCAGTAAGTAAAACTGATGAAAATCTGCATTGTCGTGGAGCTTGTGTTAGCAAGCTAATAGTTACATCCTAGTAGGTAATAGTTAAGTAGAACGCACCCACAGGTTGGAAATCATGTTTTTGAAGAATATTTAATGGTATGAGCAGACAGTCACAATTTGCTAACTGAAAACATCATACAAAGTTGCACAATGCCAACATCTTTGTTTCCTGAAAAGCCTTTACGGAGCACACAGTCTTCCCACAGGCCTCTAATTCATTATACGGGGAGAAAGGAACCTTTATAATAACATTGGTCAGACACTACCTTAGCAAAATGACCAAGGTCAACAACACCAACAGTGGGACCATTTGACATCCTGGGTACCTGATGTGATACTCAGAGAAAAGATACAGACTCCTTCAAGTAGAATTTCCAGCCAGAAATGTTCAACCTGAATCTGATCATGAAAAAATAAGACAGATCTACACAAAGGCTCAGTCTCCAGCACTGTCTGTGACTCTCAGAGAACGTCAGGCCTGGGGAAATGGTCTCATTTCTCGGTAAGCAGGTCTGTGCAAGCCTGCCCCTAAAGTCGGAGGAAGCTAAGAGGTTAAAGAAAGAGGCTGACAAATTCAGTTTCTCCAAAAGAAACATTTAATAGGAACTCATGAGCTGAAGCCCTGTCTGTGTATCAGGGGCTTACATGGGATAGGGAAAGGGTGACCCTGAAGGGATGTATAGGACAATTGAGGTATGATAACATCAAGACTGTTTTGACCTAAGGGCAGGAATTACAATAAGGCCTCTTACACAAGGAACAATAGATAAACTGGAAATCTTAGAGGCCTTCCCAGAACAGAGGTTAATCAGAGGTCATCATGGCAGATCGGCATCAAAGATGGACTTGCTTTAGCCTCCACAGGTCTGGATTAGGGGAGACTAGAGACAAGAGAAGAAAATGCCATGCTCCTTAACTAGACTGGGGCAGGGACACTATTGGGACAATTGGGGAAATTTGATTATAGCCTAGAGGGTAATTGCATTGAATGGGCTGGGCATGATGGCTCATGCCTGTAATCCCAGCACTTTGGGAGGCCGAGGCGGGCAGATCACTTGAGGTCAGGAGTTCGAGACCAGTCTGGCCAACATGGTGAAACCCCATCTCTACTAAAAATACAGAATTAGCTGGGCGTGGTGGCAGGGTCCTGTAATCCCAGCTACTCAGGAGGCTGAGGCAGGAGAATCGTTTGAACCCGGGAGGTGGAGGTTGCAGTGAGCTGAGATTGCACCACTGCATTCCAGCCTGGGCAACAGAGTGAGATTCTGTCCTAAAAATAATAATAATAAATAAATAAATTGCATTGAATGAATGTTTAATAGCCCACTGGGAGTCATGTGTCAGCAATTAAGGCTCATAAGGTTAAAACAAAACAACAAAGTGTGTGTGTGTGTGTGTGTGTGTGTGTGTGTGTGTAGACAGAAATAAAGAAACATGGCACAGTGTTTGTAGGGGCACTAAAATCTAAAAAAGTATTTAGAAAGGCATTAAAAAAAAAAAAGGACAGGAAGGGGCCAGGTGCGGTGGCTCACGGCTGTAATCCCAGCACTTTGGGAGGCCAAGGTGGATGGATCGCCTGAGCTCAGGAGTTCAAGACCACCCTAGGCAACATGGTGAAACCCCGTCTCTACTAACATACAAAAAATTAGCCAGGTGTGGTGGCACGCACCTGTAGTCCCAGCTACTCAGGAGGCTGAGGCACAAGAATCACTTGAGCCTGGGAGGCAGAGGTTGCAGTGAGCTGAGATCACACCATTGCACTCCAGCTTGGGCCACCGAGTGAGACTCCGTCTCAAAAAAAAAAAAAAAAGACAGGAAGGAAATGTGCCAAACCATGAATAAGAATGCATGAATGCATTCTTTGTAGAATCAGGGACTGGCACAGTGGCTTACACGTATAATCCAGCACTTTGGGAGGCTGAGGCTGGAGGATCGGTCAAGCCTAGGAGTTTGAGACCAGCCTGGGCAACGTAGTGAGACTCCATCTCTACAAAAAATTTTTCAAAAATAGCCAGGCATGGTGGCTTGCATCTGTAGTCCCAGCTACTTGGGAGGCCGAGGTAGGAATATCACCTGAGTCTGAGAGGTTTAAGGCTGCAGTGAGCTGTGATTACACCACTCACTCCTGCCTGGGTAACAGAGCCTCAAATAAAACAAAACAAAACAAGAATACATTATTTGTAGAATCAGAAAAAAAAAAGCTATTTAAAAATCTTACAATTTATTTTCTTCTCTGTCACCCAGGCTGGAGTGCAGTGGCATGATCATGGCTCACTGCAACCTCCAACTCCTGCACTCAGGGGATCCTCCCACCTCAGCCTCTTGAGCATCTGGGACTATAGGCACATACCACCACGTCTGGCTACTTTTTATTTTTATTTATTTATTTATTTTTGAGACGGAGTCTTGCTTTGTCGACCATGCTGGAGTGCAGTGGTGCGATCTCAGCTCACTGTAACGTCTGCCTCCCAGGTTCAAGCAATTCTCCTGCCTTAGCCTCCCAAGTAGCTGGGACTACAGGCATGTGCCACCACACCTGGGTACTTTTTGTATTTTTAGTAGAGACGGGGTTTCACCATGTTGGTCAGGCTGGTCTCAAACTCCTGACCTTGTGATCCTCCCACCTCAGCCTCCCAAAGTGCTGGGATTACAGGTGTGAGCCACTGTGCCCGGCTATTTTTATTTTTAGTACAGACAGGGTTTTGTTATGTTCCCCAGGCTGGCCTCAAACTCCTGGCCTCAAGTGATCCTCCAGCCTTGGTCTCCCAAAGTTCTGGGATTACAGGTGTGAGCCGCCAAGCCCAGCCTAAAATAGTCTTCATGACTGTTTGTTTTATAGATGTATCATGATTTACATTGTAGGCAATAGGGAACCAAAATAAATAAATAAATAAAGCAGAATGGAATAGCCTTATCGCACTTTAGGGAGATCAATCTTAGAGGTGAGTATGGGACCCATTGGACTGAGGGGGACCAAAGACAGGAGCTATTGTTAGAGGCATAAAGCGAGCAGGCTGCTGAGTGGGGTGGAGTTCAGTGAAATGTATGGAGACCATTGTTTTGGAGTAAGATCCTGCACTAGGCCCCAGTGGACCAGAGCAAACCAAAATGGAATCACTCATGCTAGGTACCACATCGCCCAACTGAACTTTGAAACGGGCCAGTTTTCCAAAAAACAGGAAATTCACAGCAACCAATCAGAAGGGTCCCTGTTTTCCTGAGCCGGCTTGACAAGAAAGTCCTCTTTGTTTTAACCCTGTAAGGAAAGTAATTTAAAATGACCCACCCCCTTTTTGTTCTCTATTTTTCTTTCCTCAGCCCTTTTCAACAAAACCAATCTCCTCCGCTCCTCTCATTGGAGTGCGTTTTCTAAATCCTTAGATGATATGCTGGCCAACTCATGAACCACTAATAAAAACCAATTTGAGGATGGCACAGTGGCTCACACCTGTAATCCCAACACTTTGGGAGGCCGAGGCGGGTGGGTGGATCACCTGAGGTCAGAGACCAACCTGACCAACATGGTGAAACCCCGTCTCTACTAAAAATACAAAATTAGCTGGGCACAGTGGCTCATGCCTGTAATCCCAGCACTTTGGGAGGTCGAGGTGGGTGGATCACTTGAGGCCAGGAGTTTGAGACCAGCCTGGGCAACATAGTGAAACCCCGTCTCTACTAAAAATACAAAAATTAGCCAGGCATGGTGGTGCGTGCCTGTAATCCCAGCTCCTTGGGAGGCTGAGGCAGGAGAATCGCTTAAACCCAGGAGGTAGAGGTTGCAGTGAACCGAAATTGCACCACGCACTCCAGCCTAGGCAACAGAGCGAGACTCTGTCTCAATAAAACACTTTTTAAAATCTTTATTTATTTATTTATTTATTTATTTATTTATTTATTTATTTTTGAGACGGAGTTTCACTCTTGTTGCCCAGGCTGTAGTGCAATGGTGTGATCTCGGCTCACTGCAACCTCTGCTTCCCGGGTTCAAGCTATTCTCCTGCTTCGGCCTCCCAAGTAGCTGAGACTACAGGTGTTCACCACCATGCCCAGCGGATTTTGTATTTTTAGTAGAGACGGGGTTTCACCATGTTGGCCAGGCTGGTCTTGAACTCCTGACCTCAAGTGATCCTCCTGCCTCTGCCTCCCAAAGTGTTGGGATTACAGGCGTGAGCCACTGTGCCCAGCCGAATTTGATTTTTAAACTAAACTAAATGTGCTGAAATTTGTTTAACAGTGGGTAGAGAGGCTGCAGATGTCTAAAATCACATTGTTGAAATGGTGACTTGAGCAGATGTGGCGGGGGAGAGAGCTGAAAACAGGCTGGGTGGCTATGGCCATTCTCCCTGCCATCTTACTGGGCAGCTGAGCAGAGGTGGGGGTGGGACAGCTGCCAACAGCTGTCTCTTCATAAGAGTCTACTTTGCCATGGGTGAGGTCTGGAGAGAAAGGGGCAGGGCTGGTCTGACAGTGCTGGTGCCTTCCCAGCAGGGTGACTTGCCCTGGAGCAGGCAGCAGAGCCGGGTGGGAGTGGATGGTCACTTTACACCAGGGTGCCTGCCATAGTTTTGTCTTCTTTACTGCAAGGATCATGGAGATCTTCTCAGAGTTATGTATGAAAAAGCCTTCCTCTCTGCTTCTTCATATCTGCTCAGATAGCTCTACCTTCTGAGAGCTTCTGCTGTCCTGGAACTTTGGCTCTAAGTGGCCCACCCGGTCCTGTTGGTCAAATTCCCTATTCAATTTTCTTACCTTCGCTCTCCTGCTAGCTGGCTCAACCTTTTCATACTTCTTAAAGTTCTAGGAGAATCTGCCCGGTGCGGTGGCTCATGCCTGTAATCCCAGCACTTTGGGAGGCCGAGGCGGGCGGATCATGAGGTCAAGAGATCGAGACCATCCTGGGCAACATGGTGAAACCCCGTCTCTACTAAAAATACAAAAATTAGCTGGGTGTGGTAGCACGTGCCTGTAGTCCCAGCTACTCGGGAGGCTGAGGCAGGAGAATAGCTTGAACCCGGGAGGCAGAGGTTGCAGTGAGCCGAGATCTCACCATCGCACTCCGCCTCAGAAAAAAAAAAAGAATCGGTGGCTGGCCACCCTGCGAGTTGAGATCTCGACACAGAGTAGTGAAGAGGGGAGGGTCAAAGAGCGGGCACTGGACATGGGGAGCAGGGGTTAATGTGCATGCCCACGGTGCAGGGTCAGAGGTCAGGAGGGGTGAAGTGAAGGTGGCACCAGACACCTATGTCCTGTCACCTGGGCCTAGGACCAGTGTGGTGGCTGCAGCTGATCTCCTGCTGCTTCTCCCGTCCACCTTCACTTCCTAGCACAGATTCCAAAAGCCTGGTCACCCTGCCGCTCCTCACTCAGAGTACAGCAGCAGCCAGGGCTCACTGAGCCAGTCATAGCCTCACAGGGTCCACCAGGACCCCGGGCTCCTCTGAAGCTCTGTCCCAGGCTGTACCCTAGGTCCTACGCAGGCTTTACCACAGGTCCTACTCCAAGCCCACCTCAGGCCCCACCCATGCCCCACTCCAGGACTTGTCCAGCCTGCACCCAGGCTCCACCACAGGCCTGGCCCCAGACTGTCACAAAAACAATACCTATTTATTGTAAAACATAAAAATATGTAAGACCGGCTCGGCGCGGTGGCTCACGCCTATAATCCCAGCAGTTTGGAAGGCCGAGGCGGGTGGATCACCTGAGGTGAGGAGTTCGAGACCAGCCTGGCTAACATGGTAAAATCCTGTTTCTACTCAAAATACAAAAAATTAGCCAGGGGTGGTGGCGCGTGCTTGTAATCCCAGCTACTCGGGAAGCTGAGGTGGGAGAATCGCTTGAACCTGGGAGGTGGAGGTTGCAGTGAGTCAAGATTGCGCCATTGCACTCCAGCTTGGGCAACAAGAGGGAAACTCCGTCTCAAAAAAAAAAAAAAAAAAAAAAAAAAGTAAGACCAGGTGCTGTGGCTCATGCCTGTAATCTCAGTACTTTGGGAGGCTGACATGGGTAGCCCAGGAGTTCGAGACCAGCCTGGATACCATAGCAAGACCCCATTTCTACAAAAAAATTAAAAATTAGCCACCACAGGCATGGTGGCATATGCCTGTGGCCCCAGCTACTCAGGAGGCTGAGGTGGGAGGATTGCTTGAGCCCAGGAGGTCATCTGCCATGAGCTGTGATTGCATCACTGCCTGGGCAACAGAGTGAGACCTTGTCTCTGAAAAACAAAACAGAAAGCTAAAGTAAAGAGAATTAAATAAAATTTACTGTAATCCTGTCTCCCAGAAAAAAAAAAACTACTACTTTTAGCGTATTGATGTTCTTCTGCTATTCCACATACAACATTCCAGCAGCACTGGCCCCCACTGCATGTGTTTATACAGATGGAACTGGGTCAGCTCCACCATCCATGCTCCCTCCACCCAGGGTCACCACGCCACTTCCCCCTGGCTCCTTGGCATTCTTGGGGAGCTTGCAGGAGCTACATCAGCCTGACAGGCACAGTCTTGTGAAGGACCCTCCACACTTCTCTCTCTGCCTCTGTCTCCCAGTTGCCCATGACCAGCAGGCCCCTGGCTGTGGCCCCAGCTGACATGTCCATGCCATGGGCACCATATTCAGATACTTCCGAGTTTCTTTTTTTTGAGATGGAGTCTTGCTCTGTCACCCAGGCTGGAGTGCAATGGCACAGTCTAGGCTCACTGCTACCTCTGCCTCCTGGGTTCAAGCGATTCTTCTGCCTCAGACTCCTGAGTAGCTGGGACTACAGGCATGTGCCACACACCCGGCTAATTTTTGTATTTTTAGTAGAGACGAAGTTTCACCATTTTGGCCAGGCTGGTCTCAAACCCCTGACCTCATGATCCACCCGCCTCGGCCTCCCAAAGTGCTGGGATTACAGGCATGAGCCACCGCGCCGAGTTTCTGAACCCCAAGTCAGGCAAGGTGCCGACATCTGCAAAGTGAGGACAAAAATCAGCTATGCCCCAAACTCTGCTGGCTGGTCACAGGAGGGATAAATTTCAACCCATTCTCCTCTAGCTGCCTTTGGGCCCTTCTAGCCGCTGGGCTCCTATGCCCAAGACCTGACAGGGTCTGCACCCCAGAACTTCCTGTGGGCCAGCAGCTCTCATGGGCTAAGTTGGTGCAGGTGGGCAGGGAGGAGAGAAGGGGTAGTGTCCAGAGGAACTCAGTCCCCCACAACTCCCAACACACATGCATAATGCTCTAACAGAGGTGAGATTCTAAGGTGGAAGTTGTGTTGCCTGTTTTCCAGTTAGCATTTGTATTATTTTCTAAGTGTCTCCTTCCAAGCCCTGTTAACCCCCACCCATGTCCATACCCAGACACCAGCAGCCCATGGTTGTGTAGGCCCTGCTGCCTAGTTTCAGTTGATCTTCCTGACCCCTGACCTCAGATGGACCCTAGGTGCTGGCAGGTTGGACTGATTCCTTCCCAGTCAATGCACCCTGCGCTTCCAGACACAGACCACAATTTCTCACCTCCTTGGCTCACTCTTCACAGACGACCTTCCTCCTGAGTCCACTGAGCCCATAAAAGTGATGGGAGAGAGCCTCAACAGGTGCCTCTTCCCAGGACCCCACCCAGCTGCCTCTGGACTGGGCTCAGCCTGCTCTGGTGCTCCTCCCTACTCCAGGCCCCTGATCTTCTGTACCCACTACTGAGCCACATCCAAGCACTTCGCAACACCCAATCAATGCTGCCCTTGCTCCAGCCCTTGCCAGCCCTCTCTTTTTGCTCTTTCTCTTTTTTTTTTTTTAATTTTTATTTTTTGAGACAGGGTCTCTTTGTAGCCCAGGCTGGAGTGCAGTGGTGTGAACGCAGAGCCCTCTGCAGCCTCAATCTCCCTGGTTGAAGTGATCCTACCACCTCAGCCTCTGAAATAGCTGGGACTACAGATACGTGCCACCATGCCCAGCTAATTTTTGTACTTTTTGTGGAGATGGGGTCTCCCTGTGTGCCTAGGCTGGTCTCAAACTCCTGGGCTCAAGTGATCCACCCATCTCTGCCTCCCAGAGCACTGGGATTACAAGGGTGAGCCACTACCATCAGCCTCTTTTTGCTCTTAATAACAGTCTATTCGAGCTATAAATTCACATTTATACAATTCACCTGGGGTGGGTGTGGTGGCTCACGCCTGTAATTCCAGCACTTTGGGAGGCTGAGGTGGGCAAATCACGAGGTCAAGAGTTCGAGACCAGCCTGGCCAACATGATGAAACCCCGTCTCTACTAAGAATACAAAAATTAGCTAGGTGTGGTGGCACACGCCTGTAATCCCAGCTACTTGGGAGGCTGAGGCAGGAGAACTGCTTGAACCCTGAAGGTGGAGGTTGTAGTGAGCCGAGATTGCGCCACTGCCCTCCAGCCTGGGCAACAGAGCAAGACGCCATCTCAAAAAAAAAAAAAAATTCACCTATATAAAGTATACAATTCAACAGTGTTATGTATATGAACATAATCAATTTTAGAGCATTTTTATCACTGTCAGAAGAGATCCTATATCCATTAGATGTCATTCCGCATTACCTCCTCCCCAGCCCCTGGCAACCAATAATCTACTTTTTGTTCCTATGGTTTGCCTATTCTGGACATTTAATATATACGGAATAATAAAATATGTGATCTTTTGTATCTGGCTTCTTTCACTGAGCATAATGCTTTCATGGTTTATTCATGTTGTAGCATGTATCAGCACTTTATTCCTTTTCATTGCTGAATAATATTCCATCATAGGGATACACCACATTCTGTTTATCTGTTCATGAGTTGATGGACATTTTGGTTATTTCAGCTTTTTGGCTACTATGAATAATGCAGCTATGAACATTCATGTATAAGTCTCTGTGTGGACATGCTTTCACTTCTCTGGGTACATACTTGTAAGTGGAATTAATGGGTTTAATGGTAACTCTATGTTTAAACTTGGAGAAACTACCAGATGATCTTCCTGTTCTCCAAAGCAGCTGTACTATTTGACATTCCCACCAGCAGTGTATGAGGGTTCCAGCTTCTCTACATCCTGTGTCTTTTTATTAGTCATTCTAGTAGGTGTGACGTGGCATCTCATTGTGGTTTTCGTTGGCATTTCCCTAATGATTCATGATGTTGAGAATCTTTTCACATACTTACTGCCATTTGTATATCTTCCTTGGAGAAATGACTATTCAGATCCTTTACCCGTTCTTAAATTGGATTTCTTTTCAAGAGGATGAGGGTCTCCCTGTGTTGCCCAGGCTGGTGTCTAACACCTGGGCTCAAGTGATCCTCTTGCCTCAGCCTCCTGAGTAGCTGGGACTAGAGGCACACGCCACTGCTCCCAACTTGGAATTCTTTGTATATTCTGGACACAAGTCCCTTATCAGATATAATTTGTAAACATTTTCTCCTATTCTGTGGATTGTCCTTTCACTTATTTTTTTTTCCTTTTTTTTTTTTTTTTTGAGATGGAGTCTTGCTCTGTTGCCCAGGCTGGAGTGCAGTGGCATGAATTACAGGCGCCCGCCACCACGCCTGGCTAATTTTTGTATTTTTAGTAGAGACGGGGTTTCACCATGTTGGTCAGGCTGGTCTCGAACTCCTGACCTCGTGATCTGCCCACCTCAGCCTCCCAATGTGCTAGGATTACAGGCGTGAGCCACTGCGTCCAGCCTATGTCTGGACTTTCAATTCTATTCCATTGATTTATG
Organism: Homo sapiens; assembly: GCF_000001405.40. Taxonomy (NCBI): domain Eukaryota; kingdom Metazoa; phylum Chordata; class Mammalia; order Primates; family Hominidae; genus Homo; species Homo sapiens. Next base: position 44,734,983 of record NC_000007.14, on the reverse strand, counting down.
TATCTCTCCTTATGCCGGTACCTCACTGATCTGATTACTGTAGCTTTGTAGTAAGTTAAAATTGGGGCCCAGGTTCCATGGCTCATACATATAATCCCAGTGCTGTAGGAGACTGAGGATTGAGGATCCCTTGAGGCCAAGAGTTCAAGACCAGCATGGGCAACTCATCAAGATCCTGTCTATACAAAAGAATTTTTTTTTTTTTTGAGATGGAGTTTTGCTCTTGTTGCCCAGGCTGGATTGCAGTGGTATGATCTTGGCTCACTGCAACCACTGCCTCCTGGGTTCAAGCAATTCTCCCTCCTCAGCCTCCTGAGTAGCTGAATTATAGGCTCCCGCCCCCATGCCTGGCTAATTTTTGTATTTTTAGTAGAGACAGGCTTTCGCCACGTTGGCCAGGCTGGCCTGGAACTCCTGAACTCAGGTGATCTGCCATCCTCGGCCTCCCAAAGTGCTGGGATTACAGGTGTGAGCCACTACACCTAGCCAAAAAATATATTTTGTTAATTAGCTGGGCTTGGTGGCATGCACCTGTAGCCCTAGCTATTCAGGAGGCTGAAATGGGAGGATTGCTTTAGCTCAGGAGTTTGAGGGTGCAGTGAGCTATAATTGCACCACTGCACTCCAGCTTGGGAGAGAGATCCTGTCTGTAAAAACAAAACAAACAAGGAAAGGAGAAAGGAAGGGGGAAAGGAAAGGTGAGGGGAGGGAAGAGTAAGGGAGGGGAAGGGAGGAGAGGGGAGTGGAGGGGGAAGGGGAAGGAAGAGGAAAGGATGGGAAGGGAGGGGAGGGGAAGGGAGGGGAGGGAGAGGGAGTGGAAGGAAGGGGAAGGGAGGGGAGGGAAGGGAAGGGAATTGGGAAGTGTGAGTTTTCCAACTTTGCTGTCTTTTTTTCAAGGTTGTTTTGGCTATTCTGGGTCACTTGAATTTTTTTATAACTTTATGTCTAATTGACAAATAATAATTGTATATCATTATAGGGTAAAAGGTATTATTATATGTATACACTGTGGAATGATTAAATCAAGTTAACTAGGTCAGGAGCAGTGACTCATGCCTGTAATCCCAGAACTTTGGGAGGCCAAAGCGGGTGAATCACTTGAGGCCAGGAGTTTGAGACCAGCCTGGCTAAAATGGCAAAACTCCGTCACTACTAAAAATACAAAAATTAGCCGGGCACTATGGCTCACACCTGTAATCCTAGCACTTTGAGAGGCAGAGGCGGGTGGATCACCTGAGGTCAGGAGTTCAAGGCCAGTCTGGCCAACATGGCGAAACCCCATCTGTACTAAAAATACAAAAATTGGCCAGACGTGGTGGCTCACACCTGTAATCCCAGCACTTTGGGAGGCCAAGGTGGGTGGATCACCTGAGGTCAGGAGTTTGAGACCAACCTGACCAATATGGTGAAATCCTGTCTCTACTAAAAATGCAAAAATTAGCTGGGCATGGTGGTGGGCAGTCCCAGCTACTCCAGAGACTGAGACAGGAGAATTGCTTGAACCCGGGAGGTGGAGGTTGCAGCAAGCCAAGATCGTGCCACTGCACTCCAGACTAGGCAACAGGGTGAGATTCCTTCTCAAAAAAAAAAAAAAAAAATTAGCTGGACGTGGTGGCACATGGCTGTAATCTTAGCTACTCAGGAGGCTGAGGCAGGAGAATGGCTTGAACCCGGGAGGCAGAGGTTGCAGTGAGCTGAGATCGTGCCACTGCACTCCAGCCTGGGTGAAAGAGCGAGACTGTGTCTCAAAAAAAAAAAAAAAAACCCACAAAAATTAGTCAGCTGTGGTGGCGCATGCCTTAATCCCAGCTACTCAGGTGGCTGAGACATAAGAATCGCTTGAACCTGGGAAGTGGAGGCCGCAGTGAGCTTCTATATGATTGCACCCCTGTACTCCAGCCTGGGTGACAGAGCAAGTCTCTGTCTCAAAAAAAAAAAAGAAAAGAAAAAAAGTTAACTTATATATCTACCTATCTGTCACCTCATATACTTATTTCTTTGTGGAAAGAACATCTAAGATGGACTCTTTAAGCAATTTTGGAATATACAATCCATTATTATTAACTATAGTCACCATGCTATGCAGTAGATCACTAGAACTTATTTCTCCTAACTGAAACTTTGCATGTACCCTTAGACCAACCCTTTCCCCATCCACCACCTCCTGCCTCCTCCTGCCTCCTCCTGCATCTGGTAACCACCATTCAACTCTCTACTTCTATAATTCTGTTTTTTTGTGATGGAGTCTCACTCTGTTGCCCAGGCTGGAGTGCAGTGGCAAAATCTCGACTCACTGCAACCTCCACCTCCTGGGTTCAAGCGATTCTTCTGCCTCAGCCTCCTCAGTAGCTGGGATTACAGGATTGTGTCACCATGCCCGGCTAATTTTTGTATTTTTAGTAGAGACGGGGTTTCACTATGTTGGCCAGGCTGGTCTTGAACTCCTGACCTTAAGTGATCCACCTGCCTCGGCCTCCTAAAGTGCTGGGTTTACAGGTGTGAGCCACCACACCCAGCCAGTATCCTGCACACTTGAAACTTTACTAAATTTGTTTAGCAGTTCTAACAGGTTTTTTCAAAGTCTTTAGGGTATTCATGTTATCGGCAAACAAAGACACATTAAATTCTTCCTTTCTATTTTACTTCTTTTTTCTTGCCTAATTGCTCTGGTAGGACTTGCAGTACTATATTGAATAGAAGTGGTGAGAGTGGGCTGGCGCAGTGGCTGACACTTGTAATCCCAGAACTTTGGGAGGCCGAGGCAGGCGGATCACCTGAGGTCAGGGGTTGAGACCAGCCTGACCAACATGGAGAAACCCAGTCTCTACTAAAAATAAAAAATACAAAATTAGCCAGGGTGTGGTGGCGCATGCCTGTAATCCCAGCTACTCGGGAGGCTGAGGCAGGAGAACCGCTTGAACCTGGGAGGTGGACGTCGTGGTGAGCCGAGACCGAGATCACACCATTGCACTCCAGCCTGTGCAACAAGAGGGAAAATATGTCTCAAAAAAAAAAAAAAAAGAAGTTGTGAGAGTGGGCATCCTTGTCTTTTTCCTGATCTTAGAGGAAAAGCTTTTAACTTTTCACTGTTGAATATGATTTTAGCTGCTGTGGGCTTGTGTTATATGGCCTTTATTGTGTTGAGGAACATTACCTCTATATCTAATTTGTTAGGAGTTTTTATCATAAAAGGAGGTTGAGTTTTGTCAAATTTTGAACTTTCTTTCTTTCTTTCTCTCTCTCTCTCTTTTTTGATGGGGTCTCGCTCTGTTTCCTAGGCTGGAGTGCAGTGGCACGATCTCCAACCTCCGCCTCCTGGGTTCAAGCAATTCTTCTGCCTGAGCCTCCTGAGTACCTGGGACTACAGGCATGTGTCACCACACCCGGCTAATTTTTGTATTTTCAGTAGAGACGGGGTTTCACCATATTGGCCAGTCTGGTCTCAAACTCCTGACCTCGTGATCCACCTGCCTCAGCCTCCCAAAGTGCTGGGATTACAGGCGTGAGCCACCGTGCTCAGCTGAAACCTTGAATTTTCATACGAATTTTAGGGTCAGCTTGTCAATTTCCACAAAAAAAAAATCTGAGATTTTGGTAGGGATTGTATTGACTCTGTAGATCAATTTGGGGAGTAATGTCATCTTATTTATATTAAGTCTTCCAATCCATGGACATGGGATATCTTGCCATTTATTTAGATGTTTTTTTATTTCTTTAACAATAGTTTATAGTTTTCAGAGTGTAAGTTTTGCACTTTTTGGATAAACTTATTCCTAAGCATTTTATTCATTTTGATGCTATTAAAAATGGAATGTTGGCTGGGCTCGGTGGCTCACATCTGTAATCCCAGCACTTTGGGAGTCTCACGTGGGCAGATCACAAGGTTAAGAGATAGAGATCATCCTGGCCAATATGGTAAAACCCTGTCTCTACTAAAAATACAAAAATTAGCTGGGTGTGTTGGCACATGCCTGTAGTCCCAGCTACTTGGGAGGCTGAGGCAGGAGAATTGCTTGAACCCAGGAGGAGGAGGTTGCAGTGAGCTGAGATTGCACCACTGCACTCCAGCCTGAAGGCAGAGCAAGACTCCGTTTCAAAAATAAATAAATAAATAAAAATAAAAATGGAATGTTTTCTTTTCTTTTTCTTTCTTTTCTTTCTTTCTTTTTTTTTTTTTTTTTTGAGACAGTGTCTCCCTTTGTCACCCAGTGTGGAGTACAGTGGTGTGATCTCAGCCCCCTGTAGCCTTGACGTCCCAGATTCAAGTGATCCTCCCACCTCAGCCTCCCAAGTAGCTGGGACTACAGGCACGGACCACCACACCTGGCATTTTTTTTGTATTTTTGGTAGAGATGAGGTTTCACCATGTTGCCCAGACTGGTCTTGAACTCCTGATCTCAGGTAATCCACCCACCTCAGCCTCTCAAAGTGCTGGTGATGCAGGATTTTTTTGGTGCTGTTTCACCAGCCGGAGACCTCTGTGGTTGGCAACCCCCTTCACAGGGCTTTGCTTGGCTCCAGGCTTGCATCTGGAGGTACCCCACCCACGCAGCCCAGAGGCTGCCCTTGGCTTGCACTCAGCCAACAGGTGGGCCAGGGGTGCTGTGACCTGCTCCTGCCTTGGGCACCAGTGCCTGGACAAGGGGAACGCAGTGGCACCTGAGAAAATCAAGACGCCAGCGACCCTGAAGCCCACCACAGGAGGTGTTACAGTGTGCTACAGCTTTGGCTTGGGGAGCCCCGAGGTCTAGGCCCCCAGAAGGGACATAGCTCTTCTCTTCCCATCGCCCACAGCATTTCAAACAGGGGGATTGGGGGCGTGTTTAAGCCAGTCTGTGTTACAGCTCATTGAGTCCCGCTGCCCCACTCTGGCCCGTGGCTCCAGGGCTGGCCTGGCCTCAACTGTGGCTTCCTGTCACGTGGGTCATCTGCTTGGAGCCAGTGGAGGGCAGAGGGCAACAGTGTTAGAGCAGCTCCTTTGGCACCCGCCATTCAGTAGGTCCTGAGTTCTTGTCCTGCATCCAAGAAGAATGATGTTACGTGGACAACCAGAGGGTGAGAAGGGCAGAGAAGAGTTTTATTGAGCCATATGGAACAGCTCTCAGCTGAGAGGGGACTTGGGGAGGGTGATCCCCCACCCACAAGTGTGGCTGAGTCTGGGGCTTATGGGCTCATAATGGGGGATTGCATGCTGATTGGTTTGTGAGTATGCAAAAAAGGCTAAAAAAAAAGGCACCACTCAAAGATGGACATGACTGTAAAAAAAAGAAAAACAATTAGGAAAGGGTAGGTATATGTAAAATAGGTGAAGGGTGGGGATGAATCAGGAAAGTGCACCAAATGGGAACAGAGGTTCTCAATCTGGTCCGTGGATTTATCCAAGACTCATAGCATGGTATTCAGGCTTTAAACTGCCTTCGGCTTGAAGGTCAAGTTTCACCAGGGACCTGACCCTGTCTGCCCAGTGATTTGTCTGCCTCCTGCTGCTATCACTGGGATAGCTATCCTGCTGCTATCACTAGGCGTGTGCCACCTCATCCAGCCAAAATGAAATATTTTCTTTAAAAAAATTTTTTTTTATGTCTGGGTGTGGTGGCTTACACCTGTAATCCCAGCACTTTGGGAGGCTGAGGCAGGCAGATCACGAGGTCAGGAGTTCGAGACCAGCCTGACCAACATGGTGAACCCCATCTCTACTAAAAATACAAAATTAGCTGGGCATGGTGGCGCACACCTGTAATCTCAGCTACTCAGGAGGCTAAGGCAGGAGAATCGCTTGAACCTGGGAAGCAGAGGTTGCAGTGAGCCAAGATCGCGCCATTGCACTCCAGCCTGGGTGACAGAAAGAGAATCCGTCTCAAAAAAATAAATAAATAAATAAAATTTTTTAGAGTAGAAATGGTGTCTTACTATGTCAACTAGGCTAGAGTAAAACTGCTGGGCCTAAGTAATCCTCCAGCCTCAGCCTCCCAAAGTGTTGGGGTTATAGGCGTGAGCCACCATGCCCTGCCAAAAATGGAATCTTTTTTTTTTTTTTTTTTGAGATGGAGTCTCACTCTGTCGCCCAGGCTGGAGTGCAGTGTCACGATGTCGGTTCACTGCAACCTCTGCCTCCTAGGTTCAAGCGATTCTCCTGCCTCAGACTCCCAAGTAACTGGGATCACAGGCATCCGCCACCACGCCCAGCTAATTGTGTATATTTAGTAGAGATGGGGTTTCACCATATTAGCCAGGCTGATCTCGAACTCCTGACCTCAGGTGATCTGCCTGCCTTGGTCTCCTAAACTGCTGGGATTACAGGCATGAGCCACTGTGCCCAGCCCAAATGGAATCTTTTTAAAATTTTATTTTCAGTTTGTTCACTGCTACTGTGTAGAAATACAAATGATTTTTGTACATTGATTTTTGTATCCTGCAATCTAGCTGATCTCATTTACTAATTCTAACAGTTTTTTTAGTAGGTTCTTTAGTATTGTTTTTTATTTTTCTTTTTCTCGCTCTGTCACCCAGGAGAACAGTGGTGCAATCTTGGCTCACTGCAACCTCTGCCTCCTGGGTTCAAGTGATTCTCCTGCCTCAGTCTCCGGAGAAGCTGGGATTACAGGTGCCCACCACCACACCTGGCTAATTTTTGTATTTTTAGTAGGGATGGGGTTTCACCATGTTGACCAGACTGGTCTTGAACTCCTGACCTCAGATGCTCAACTTGCCTCTGCTTCCCAAAGTTCTGGGGATTGCAGGCGTGAGCCATTGCACCCAACCAGTATTCTCTATATAAAATATAAAGTAATCTGCAAATAGAGATAATTTCACTTTTTCTTTTGCAATCTGAATGCCTTTTATTTCATCTTTTCTTTTCTTTCTGTTTTTTTTTGGAGGGGGGAGGGGCTGGATCTTGCTCTGTCATCCTACAGACTGCACTCTGTAGGCTGGAGTGCAGTGGCCAGATCAAGACTTACTGCAGCCTCAACCTCCTGGGCTCAAGCAATCCTCCTGAGTAGCTGGGACTACAGGCACACACCACCATGCCTGGCTAATTTTTGTATTTTTTGTAGAGATGAGGTTTCGCCATCTTGCCCAGGCTGGTCTCAAATTCCTGGCTGGTCTTGAATTCCTGAGCTCAAGTGATTCACCCACCACAGCCTCCCAAAGTGCTGAGATTACAGGCGTGAGCCACTGTTCCTCGCCATATTTCATTTTCTTGCCTAATTGCTCTGGGTAGAACCTCCAGTGCAATGTTGAACAGAAGTGATGAAAAGTGATTGGTCTCCCTGCCTCTGCCCTTACCTCAAAGAAAGCAGCCAAAGGGGGCCCTGTAAAGCATAAGCCAGCACATGACACTCCTCTCAGAACCCTGTAATGGTTTCCCACTGCACTCATGCTCAAATAAGACCCAGTCCCTTTAAGGTTTGACACACTCTGGCCCGGCTGTCTTCCTGCCTTCATCTCCTATTACTTCCTCTCCTTGCTCACTATGCTCCAGCCACACTGGCTGACTTTCTGACTCCCAGACCTCTCCAAGTTCCTTATCTTTCCATTTCCCACACCCTTTCCTGTGCTGCTCCTTTCCCAGACTTCCATATGGCTCATTGTCTCATTTGTACCCATGTAATTTTAATTTATGGAGGTGACTAAGTGACAAAGTGAGGAGACCAATGCCATTGAAAGGGAAGTTTAATGTAACTCACGGTTTTTCTAGAAACAAGAGGCATGCCATGCCATGTCACATGGAGAAGCACCAAGTTTGGTCAGGAGGCATAAGCAGGATCTGGGGGAAGCCTACGCCAGATTCTTTTTTTTTTTTTTTTAGACAGAGTCTTGTTCTGTCACCCAGTCTGGAGTGCAATGGCACGATCTCGGCTCACTGCAACCTCTGGCTCCCAGGTTCAAGCAATTCTCCTGCCTCAGCCTCCTGAGTAGCTGGGATTACAGGCGCCCGCCACCATGCCCAGATAATTTTTATATTTTTAGTAGAGATGGGGTTTCACCATGTTGGTCAGGCTGGTCTCTGACCTCAGGTGATCCATCCATCCGCCTCGGCCTCCCAAAGTGCTGGGATTAACAGGTGTGAGCCACCACGCCTGGCCTCAGATTCTTTATTGGGGTTTCTGTGGGACAGGTGTGAAAGAAAAATAAATCTCGGGACCCCAAAATCATTAAGCCAAGGGAAAAGTCAAGCTGGCAACTATGTCAGGCAAACCTGCCCCCCAGTTTAGTCCTAGATAAGACAGCTACAAAAATAAGGAGCTACATACCTCCCTCACAATTTGCCCACAAGGAAATTTCTGTCTGACAAAGGTCAGACAGAACTCAAGTCACCTCTCTAAGGATCACCTAAGACAAATGCATATCTGATTGCTTCCTCTGCCCTATTGTTTATATAAAAAAGCATATTCACTGAGCCAGACTAAATTGTGTATTCAGTGGAAGGCTGATCAAGGACTCAAAATAATGCAACCTTTTGTTTCTTATCCACTTAGGACCCGGAAGCCCTCACCTCCAGTTGTCCCGCCTTACCGGATCCAACCAATGTACAGCTGACACATATTGATTGATGTCTCATGTCTCCCTGAAATGTATAAAAGCAAGCTGTACCACGACCACCTTGGGCACATGTCCTCAGTACCTCCTGAGGCTGCGTCTTGGGCGCGTCCTTAACCATGGCAAAATAAACTTTCTAAATTGACTGAGACCTTTCTCAGATATTTTGGGTTCACACAGGCAAGGCAGAGAAAGGTGAACAGTTTGGGATTTGCTCACTTGAATAATTTTGGTGGGCTTTGGGATATTGGGGCTGTCCCAAGTTGTCTGGAACTTGGCCCTGTGTTGATTTCGGGCAGGGGAAAAATTCACTTGGTATGTGAGTGTTTGATAAAGGAGATGGTTGGGTGTATAGGCTCTAGACTGATTAGTTTGCATATAAACGGTATATTCTCAGGGAGCACTTTTGTAAGAATTGACTAGCCCTAGGAAGGGCAACCTTTCTCCAGCCAGCAAGGTCACAAATGCTAGAGCATTAAGAATACAGAAAATAGTCTGTAATCCTAGCACTTTGGGAGGCCGAGGTGGGCGGATCACGAGGTCAGGAGTTTGAGACCAGCCTGCTCAACATGGTGAAACCCTGTCTCTACTAAAAATACAAAAATTAGCCAGGCATGGTGGCGGGCACCTGTAATCCCAGCTACTTGGGAGACTGAAGCAGGAGAATTGCTTGAACCCAGGAGGCAGAGGTTGCAGTGAGCTGAGATCATACCACTGTACCCCAGCCTGGGCAACAGAGCGAGACTCCACCTCAAAAAAAAAAAAGAAAGGGATTCAGAAAATAAAACTGGGCATGGTGGCTCATGCCTGTAATCCCAGCACTTTCAGAGGCTTAGGTGGGCTTGGGCTTGAACCCAGGAGTTTGAGAGCAGCCTGGGCAACATGTGTCTACAAAAAAAAAAAAAAAATAAATACAGAAATTAACCAGACGTGGTGGCAAGTGATTATAGTTCCAGCTACTCGGGAGGGGAGGTGGAGGTTGCAGTGATCACAGCACTGCACTTCATCCTGGGTGACAGAGCGAAACCCTGTTTCAAAAAAAGAAAAAAAAAAGAAAAGAAAAGAAAATATGGTTAATACAATTGGCCCTGTGATTAATGGATGCCAAATAGACAAATTCACTATCTGAGAAAACAAGATTAGAAAACTTATTTTCTTTCTTTCTTTTTTTTTCTTTCTTTTTTTTTCTTTTTGAGTCAGAGTCTCGCAGGCTGGATGGAGTACAGTGGTGCAATCTTGGCTCACTGCAACCCCTGCCTCCCGGGTTCAAGCGATTCTCCTGCCTCAGCCTCCCAAGTAGCTGGGGTTACAGGCACGCGCCACCATACCTGGCTAATTTTTGTATTTTTTATAAAGACAGGGTTTCACCATGTTGGCCAGGCTGGTCTTGAATTCTGGACCTCAAGTGATCCAACCCCCTCAGCCTCCCAAAGTGCTGGGATTACAGGCAGAAGAAACTGCGCCTGGCTAGGACATTTATTTTCTTATTTCATACAGGCCAATGGTTCTCATATTTTTTGGTATCAGGACAACTTTGCACTCTCAAATGAATTTTTTTTGTTTTGTTTTTGAAATGTTGTCTCACTCTGTTGCCCAGACTGGAGTGCAGTGTCGTGATCTCAGCTCACTGCAACCTCTACCTCCCAGGTTCAAGTGATTCTTCTGCCACAGCCTCTGGAGTAGCTGGGATTACCGGCTTGTGCCACCATGCCCAGATAATGTTTGTATTTTTAGTAGAGATGGGGTTTCACCACGTTGGCCAGGCTGGTCTTGAACTCCTGGCCTCTGGTGATCTGCCCTCCTTGGCCTCCCAAAATGCTGGGATTACAGGTGTGAGCCACCGTGCCCGGCCTCAAGAATTTTCGAGGGAGACAGGCAGGTGGCTCATTCCTGTAATCTCACACTGAGGACAACAAAATCACCTGGTGACAATTGAACAGGCCCCGGAGGCAAAATCTCCTTATCTAAGGAATTTAGAGGACAGCAAAGACCACCTGGTGACCATCTAACAGGCCACCCAGAGGCAAAACTCCTTCTCTGGGGAAATTAGTAGTAATTAGCCTTCCCTTTTTTATTTTTTTTGGGGTGGAGTCTCACTTTGTCACTCAGGTTGGAGTACAGTCACTGGGTCTCTGCTCACTGCAACATCCACCTCCCAGGTTCAAGAGATTCTCCTGCCTCAGCCTCCAGAGTAGCTGGGACTACAGGGGCCCGTCACCACGCATGGCTAATTTTTTTGAGTTTTTAGTAGAGATGGCGTTTCACCATGTTGGCCAGGCTGGTCTCCTGACCTCAGGTGATCCGCCTGCCTTGGCCTCCCAAAAGGCTTGAGCCACCACACCTGGCCAGTAATTAGAATTTCTATACATCTCTGGAACGTCATGCCAGAACTTGTTGAGCAACCCTTGCTGACACTGAGGCACCAAAATGTCTACAAACACAATTCTCAGAGATGTTTGAACCAGAGCGACTCCATCTTGAATAGGGGGCTGGTTAAATGAGGCTGAGACCTACTGGGCTGCATTCCCAGACAGTTAAGGCATTCTTGGTCACAGGATGAGATAGGTCAGCACTGTGAACTAACCAGTGATCTCTGACTGCTGCTCAGAAAAAACAAGAGGGATGGGTAATGTAGAAATCTGAATCAATATTCTAATTCTGGGCACACTGGAATCAGCTAGCAACCCCATATCAGCTTGGTTCCAACAGTTGCCCACTTAATGGAAAACGTTCATATTTAGATTACTTGGGATAATTTTACTTATTTTGCTTTATTGCTGTAAAATATATTGTACTTTTTGTGTAGGATTGAGAGTAAGCTTACTCAACTCAACATTTTCTTAAATTAAACACTTATTAATCTTCCAGATACCACCTTTTGTCAGAACTCGGAGTTATGAATGACCCTTACCATACCAATGCTTTCTGACTGGGCTCGTCTCTATCCTAAATGCAAGAGACCCAATAGTTAGGCAGGAATGTCATTGCCCCTATTCAGGCTGAAGAAGTTGCAGAAGATGGATCTTCGTCTGTCTGCAACCCTTAGGATTAAGGGTTCTCTTATAGAGCTGGCGCAGTGTCTCATGCCTGTAACCCCAGCAATTTGGGAGGCCAAGGTGGGTGGATTACTTGAGGCCAGGAGTTCAGAACCAGCCTAGCCAACACAGTGAAACCCCATCTCTACCAAAAAATACAAAAATTAACCGGGTGTGGTGGCACACATCTGTAGTGCCAGCTACTCAGGAGGCTGAGGCAGGAGAATTGCTTGAGTCTGGGAGGCGGAGGTTGCAGTGAGCCAAGAGTGTGCCGCTGCACCCCAGCCTGGGTGACAGAGTGAGATGCTGTCTAAAAAAAATAAAAAAATTTAAAAAAGAGTTATCTCGGCCAGGCACGGTGGCTCACGCCTGTAATCCCAGCACTTTGGGAGGCCAAGGCGGGTGAATCACGAGGTCAGGAGATCAAGACCATCCTGGCTTAACACAGTGAAACCCCGTCTCTACTAAAAAAATACAAAAAAAATTAGCCCGGCTTGGTGGCAGGCGCCTGTAGTCCCAGCTACTCGGGAGGCTGAGAGGGGAGAATGGCGTGAACCCGGGAGGCGGAGTTTGCAGTGAGCCGAGATCGCGCCACTGCACTCCAGCCTGGGCTACAGAGAGAGACTCCACCTCAAAAAATAAATAAATAAATAAATAAGAGTTATCTTATAAAAGGGAGGGGGGAGGCCGGGCGCGGTGGCTCACGCCTGTAATCCCAGCACTTTGGGAGGCCAATAGGGGGCGGATCACGAGGTCAAGAGATTGAGACCCTCCTGGCCAACATGGTGAAACCCTGTTTCTACTAAAAATACAAAAATTAGCTGGGCATGGTGGCGCTCCCCTGTAGTCCCAGCTCCTCAGGAGGCTGAGGCAGGAGAGTTGCTTGAACCCGGGAGGAGGAGGTTGCAGTGAGCCAAGATCGTGCCACTGCACTCCAGACTGGTGACAGAGTGAGACTCTGTCTCTAAAAGAAAAGAAAAGTGATTAAGCCTCCTAAATGCTTCATAAAAAGCCACTGTGACTCTCAACTGTACAACTTGCCTGCTTTACAGCTAGGTAAGGCCTGGCACACATGGAGTTAGATGCTGGAAAGAGTCAGACCTTATCTGGACTTCTGTCTGAGTCCTAGGCTCTACACCTACTACATCATTAAAATCCCGAACTTACAAAGGTTGGCAGTAAAAGTAAAAGTCACTAAGAGTTAACACTGTAACATGTAATTGAGACTACTGAAGAAACAATTTTACATGCAAGGTGTGTAAAAAAGTGAAATGTGTTTTTGGTAAAAGATTATAAGAAGTCATGGGAATGTACATTTTTTTGACTAGATTAATGGGTTAAATGATTGTATTAAGTTAGATGGAATAAAGCTGAAGGTTTAAGCAAATTGTGGAAGGTTTGTAAAAAATTAATCCTGTAGACTGGGCATGGTGGCTCACTCCCGTAATCCCACCACTTTGGGAGGCAAAGGCAGGTGGATCACTTGAGGTTGGGAGTTCGAGACCAGCCTGGACAACATGGTGAAACCCCATCTATACTAAAAATACAAAAAAAATTAGCTGTGCATGGTGGCACACGCCTGTAGTCCCAGCTACACAGGAGGCTGAGGCAGGAGAATTGCTTGAACCTGGGAAGTGGAGATTGCAGTGAGCCAAGATTGTGCCACTGCACTCCAGCCTGGGCAACAGAGCGAGACTCCATCTTGGAAAAAAAAAAAAAAAACAGAAAAAAATAATAATCTTGTTAAAAAAATTCAGTGTATGGGCCAGACATGGTGGCTCACGCCTGTAATCCCAGCATTTTGGGAGGAGGCTGAGTCGGGTGGATCACTTGAGGTCAGGAGTTCAAGACCAGCCTGGCCAACATGGCAAAACCCAGTCTCTACTAAAAATTAAAAAACATTAGCTGGGCATGGTGCTATGAGCCTGTAATCCCAGCTACTCAGGGGGCTGAGACATGAGAATCACTTGAACCTAGGAGGTGGAGGTTGTAGTAAGCCAAGATCATGCCACTGCACTTTAGCCTGGATGACAGAGTGAGACTCTGTCTAAAAAAAAAAAAAATTCTGTGCGTGAATATATTGGCTAAAGTTAAGGGGATATTATTCAGTTTTTCTGTAAATTAAACATTGGAATAAAAGCAAAATATGTTTTTCTTAAAGCAAAAACCTGCTTATAATATGCTCTTTAACAAAAATTTGTAAAGGGTTATAAAAGGTTTATGAGAATCTTACCTTATGGTTAAACATTGACGTTGGGTAGATATGTCTATAAGGTTTTATTGAGAATTGGGTTTAACATTAATAATACACTAATGTAAAGGTGAAAGTTTGTCTTATTTGGTACAAAAATCATACAGGAAACATTGTCAAATTGAAATGGTATTTGGCTTTCTTGAGGCTGTATTTTTATAAATATGTTCTTGGTATGTGTTCCAAAATAATGGGAAACTCATAATTCAGATATGACTTAGTATATGTTATTAATAATTATAATTGTTACATAAAGTCATTGTATTCCACAGAGGTAACCAAATTTCTTTGTCAATTGTGTTGTTGACTGTGGCCGTCCTAAGACATTTTGTCATCCATAAATAATTGTTGTCTTGTTTTGGTCCTCTTTAGAAGGTGGTTTATAATCAACTATAGAACTCTAACAGATGTTCTTAAACGCAGGTTTCTGATAACTTTTGAGATTGTGACATTAGAGTAGAGGAAAATACTTTCAGGACTCTCATGAAGAGCTGAAATGTTCATGAATATCAAACAGGAGTTAACTGCATGTAATAAACTAATAGAAGCCTGAAGTAATCTTTTTTAACATTTGCTTAAAATGTTACTAATCCTTTGCTTTGTTTTTCAGAGTTAAGAAAAAATTTCTTTTTAGCTATTTACAGCTTTTAACAATTGAGTAAAGTGAACAAAATTTAGAGCATATTTGTTTCTCTCTACCTGGTTTCTCCAGAATTTGGAAACTAGTTGTGAGTATTCTTAACTTATGGTGATGTAGTTATTGGCATAAGTGCAATAAGAATCTGTTTTTAGCCAGGCGCAGTGCCTCACGCCTGTAATCCCGGGACTTTGGGAAGCCGAGGTAGGTGGATCACCCAAAGTCAGGAGTTCAAGACCACCCTGGGCAACATGGTGAAACCTTGTCTCCACTAAAAATACAAAAATGAGTCAGGCATGGTGCTGGGCACCTGTATGCTGTCCCAGCTACTCGGGAGGCTGAGGCGGCAGAATTGCTTGAACCTGGGAGGCGGAGGTTGCAGTAAGCTGAGATCATGCCATTGCACTCCACCCTGGTGACAAGAGCAAAACTCTGTCCCCGCACCCCCCCAAAAAAAGAGTCTGTTTTTGCAACAGGACACGATTGGAGAAACTGGTTATTTTAGGCCAGGTGCAGTGGCTCACACCTGTAATTCCAGCACTTTGGGAGGCTGAGGTGGGTGGATCACAAGGTCAGGAGTTCAAGACTAGCCTGGCCAAGATGGTGAAACCCCGTCTCTATTAAAAATACAAAAAAATGGCCAGGTGTGGTGGCTCACGCCTGTAATCCCAGCACTTTGGGAGGCCAAGGCGGGCAGATCACGAGGTCAGGAGTTCAAGACCCACCTGGACAACATGATGAAACCCCGTCTCTACTAAAAATACAAAAATTAGCTGGGCACAGTGGCACACCCCTGTAATCCCAGCTACTCAGGAGGCTGAGGCAGGAGAATTGCTTGAACCCAGGAAACGGAGGTTACAGTGAGCCAAAATTACACCACTGCACTCCATCCTGGGTGACAGAGTGAGACTCCATCTCAAAAAAAACCCCAAAAACCAAAAAACAAAAAAATTAGCTGGGCATGGTGGTAGGTGCCTGTAATCCCAGCTACTCGGGAGGCAGAGGCAGAGAATTGCTTGAACCCAGGAGGTAGAGGTTGCAGATCATGCCACTGCACTCCAGCCTGGGCAACAGAGCAAGACTCCATCTCAAAAAAAAAAAAAAAGAATTGGTTATTTATTTTTTATTTTTATTTATTTATTTTTGAGACAGAGTTTCACTCTTGTAACCCAGGCTGGAGTGCAATGGCACAGTCTCAGCTCACTGCAACCTCTGCCTCCCAGGTTCAAGCGATTCTCCTGCCTCAGTCTCCCGAGTAGCTGGGATTACAGGCATGAGCCACCTCGCCCAGGCAGAATGTCACTTCTGACAATCCCAGGAGGCCCAAGTTATCTTGGAACATAAAGAGGAGAGGAATTTACCCAACTCATAGGTACTTGATGGTATAAACCCATGGCTGGGCTCGGCTTTAAAAGAAATTTTTTTGCCCGAGACAGAGTCACCTAGGCTGGAGTGCAGTGGCGCGATCTCAGATCATTGCAACCTCTGTCTCCTGGGTTCAAGCGATTCTTCTGCTTCAGCCTCCCGAGTAGCTCGGACTAAAGGCGTGCATCACCATGCCCGACTAGTTTTTGTATTTTCAGTAAAGATGGGGTTTTGCCATATTGGCCAGGCTGTTTTTGAACTCCTGATCTCAGGTGATCCACCCACCTGGGCCTCCCAAAGTGCTGGGATTACAGGCATAAGCCACTGCGCCTGGCCTAAAAAAAGTTTTATATGAGATTCCTTCTATGGAACAGAGTTCCATTAAAGCTAATTTAAAAAGCCTATATGACAAATAATTATTCTTGCTGGACTTTATACAAATAATCAGGCCAAGCATAATAAAGCAAATCAGTCTTACTATGATTTGTCTTTAGTGAAAATGGGGGAAACTGGAGAGAGAAAAATTAAGTTTCAAGAGCTATGTATGGTACACTTGTTATTATATTCTAATCTCATCAGTTGCTTTTACGTTTTTTTCCTGCAATTTAGACTAACTGCTTGTTTCTGTGAACCAACCAGTAATCTCTTGCTGCAGCTCAAAAGAAACAGAAGGGATGGGTAATGTAAAAATCTGGATCAGTATTCTAATTCTGGATGCATTGGAATCAGCTAGCAACTTCATATCAGCTTGGTTCCAACAGTAGCCCAGTTCATTGAAAGCCTTCTTATTTAGATTACTTGGGATAATTTCACTTATTTTGCTTTATTGTTTTGGAATATATTATTGTTGTACTCTTTGTGTAGGAACGAGGATAAGCTTACTTATTATTATTATTATTTTATTTATTTATTTTTTTTTGAGACAGAGTCTCGCTCTGTCGCCCAGGCTGCAGTGCAGTCGCAATCTCGGCTCACTGCAAGCTCCGCCTCCTGGGTTCACGCCATTCTCCTGCCTCAGCCTCCCAAGTAGCTGGGACTACAGGCGCCCGCCACCATGCCCGGCTAATTTTTTTTTTGTATTTTTAGGAGAGACGGGGTTTCACCGTGGTCTCGATCTCCTGACCTCGTGATCCGCCCGCTTCGGCCTCCCAAAGTGCTGGGATTACAGGCGTGAGCCACCGCTCCCAGCTTATTATTATTTTTTTTTAGATGGAGTATCACTTTGTCACCCATGCTGGAGTGCAGTGGCGTAATCTCGGTTCACTGCAACCTGCGTCTCCCAGGTTCTAGCGATTCTCCTGCTTCAGCCTCGGGAACAGCTGGGATTACAGGCGCACGCCACCATTCCCAGCTAATTTTTGCATTTTTAGTAGAGACAGGGTTTCACCATGTTGGCCAGGCTGGCCATGAACTCCTGACCTCAAGCAATCTGCCCTCCTCACCCTCCCAAAGTGCTGGGATTGCAGGTCTGAGCCACTGCTCCTGGCCCCAGATAATCACCTTTTGTTGGAACTCAAAAGTTATGAATGGCCCTTGCCATATCAATGTTTTCTGACTGGGTTCCTCTCTAACCTAAATGCAAGAGACCCAATAGTTAGGCAGGAATGTCATCACCCCTATTCTGGCTGAAGAAGTTACAGAAGATGGATCTTCATCCCTCTGCAACCTTTAGGATTAAGCGTTCTCCTCTAAAAGAGGGGGAGGGAAATGTCAGAGACATTTGAACCAGAGCAACTGCATCTTGAATAGGGGCTGGGTAAAAAATGAGGCTGAGACCTACTGGGCTGCATTCCCAGATGGTTAGGCATTCTAAGTCACAGGATGAGATAGGAAGTTGGTACAAGATACAGGTCATAAAGACCTTGCTGATAAAACAGTAAAGAAGCTGGCCAAAACCCACTCAAACCAAAATAGTGACGAGAGTGACCTCTGGTCATCCTCACTGCTACACTCCCACCTGTGCCATGACAGTTTACAAATGCCATGGCAACGATAGGAAGTTACCCTACATGGTCTAAAAAGGTGGCTTATGAATAATCCACCCCTTGTTTAGCATATAATCAAGAAATAACCATAAAAATGGGCAACCGCAGCCCTCAGGGCTGCTCTTTCTACGGAGTAGCCATTCTTTTATTCCTTTACTTTTTTTTTTTTTTTGAAACGGAGTCTCACTCTGCTGCCCAGGCTGGAGTGCAGTGGCGCAATCTTGGCTCATTGCAAACTTTGCCTACTGGGTTCAAGCAATTCTCCTGCCTTAGCCTCCTGAGTAGCTGGAATTACAGGTGCCTGCCACCACACCAGCTAATTTTTGCATTTTTAGTAGAGACAGGGTTTCACCATGTTGGCCAGGCTGGTCTCGAACTCCTGACCTGGTGATCCACCCGCTCTGGCCTCCCAAAGTACTAGGATTACAGGCTTGAGCCACCGTGCCTGGCAGAAGCGTTCTTCCTTTCTAATAAACTTTCCTTTTTCAAACCTATACTGTTGTCAGTAAATTCTTCCTACTAACCCGTGAGTCGACAACTTCCTGGTGCTGGACTCTGATACCTTGCCTGGCAAGCACTTTGGGAGGCTGAGGCAGGAGGATCGCTTGAGGCTAGGAGTTCAAGACTAGTCTGCATAACGTAAAAGACCCCATCTCTACAAAAGAACAAACAAAAAATATAGCCAGTTATGATGGCACATGCCTGTGGTTCTAGCTACTTGGGGGGCTGAAACCTGAGAAACACTTGAACCTGAGAGGTCAAGGGTGCTGTGAGCTGAAACTGCATCACTGCACTCCAGCCTGGGTGACAGAGTGACACCCTGTTTCAATATTAATTTAAAAAAAACCTAACATGTAGGTAGCCTGGGCAACAGTGTGAAAATGCATTTCTACAGAAAATACAAAAAGTAGCCGGGCATGGTGGCATGTACCTGTAGTCCCAGCTACTCAGGAGACTGAGGTGGGAGGATTGCTTGGGCCTGGGAGGTCAAGGCTGCAATGAGCCATGATCACAACACTGCACTTCATCCTGGGCGATAAAGCCAGATACTGTCTTAAAAAACAACCAACCGGCCAGGCATGGTGGCTCACGCCTGTAATCCCAGCACTTTGGGAGGCTGAGGTGGGC
Organism: Homo sapiens; assembly: GCF_000001405.40. Lineage (NCBI taxonomy): Eukaryota > Metazoa > Chordata > Mammalia > Primates > Hominidae > Homo > Homo sapiens. The sequence goes on along the minus strand of NC_000007.14, from coordinate 44,716,041 downwards.
GGATCACATGAGGTCGGGAGTTCGAGACCAGCCTGACCAACATGGAGAAACCCCGTCTCTACTAAAAATACAAAAATTAGCTGGGCTTGGTGCCACATGCCTGTAATCCCAGTTACTCAGGAGGCTGAGGCAGGAGAATTTCTTGAACCTGGGAAGCAGAGATTGCAGTGAGCTGCGATCGCAACACTGCACTCCAGCCTGGGCAACAAGAGTGAAACTCCACCTAAAAAACAAAAAACGAAGAACAAATAAACAGGCCAGGCGCGGTGGCTCACGCTTGTAATCCCAGCACTTTGGGAGGCCGAGGCATGCGGATCACAAGGTCAGGAGATCGAGACCATGGTGAAACTCTGTCTCTACTAAAAAAAAAAAATACAAAAAATTAGCCAGGCGTGGTGGCAGGCGCCTGTAGTCCCAGCTACTCGGGAGGCTGAGGCAGGAGAATGGCGTGAACCCAGGAGGTGGAGCTTGCAGTGAGCCCGAGATCGCGCCACTGCACTCCAGCCTGGGTGACAGAGCGAGACTCCATCTCAAAAAAAAACCCAACCAAACAAACAAAAACAAAAAACATGTAGGCAGTCGGGTGCGGTGGCTCATGCTTGCAATCCCAGCACTTTGGGAAGCCAGGCAGGTGGATCACTTGAGGTCAAGAGTTCGAGACCAGCCTGACCTATATGGTGAAAACCTGTCTCTACCAAGAATACAAAAATTAGCCGGGCATGGTGGTGCACACTTGTAATCCCAGCTACTCAGGAGGCTGAGGCAGGAAAATCACTTGAACCCAGGAGGAGGAGGTTGCAGTGAGCCGAGATTGCGCCATTGCACTCCAGCCTGGTTGACGGAGTGAGACCCTGTCTCAAAAAAATAAAAAATTCATTACGTAACTAAAAAGACAGTGTGGTATTGGTGAAGAATAAAGACAAAGATCAATGCATAGAGTAGCAAACCCAGAAACAGACCCAAACAAATAATACCCAACTAGTGACAGGTATGCATCACCATGCCCAGCTAATTTTTTTGTATTTTTAGTAGAGACGCAGTTTGGTCACCACGTTGGCCAGGCTGTTCTCAAACTCCTGAGTGTGATGGCTCATGCCTGTAATCCCAGAACTTGGGAGGCTGAGGGTGGATTGCTTGAGCCCAGGAGTTTGAGACCAGCCTGGGCAACATGGCAAAAACCCATGTATATTTTAAAAAAAAAATTGCCCGGCATGATGGCTCACTCCTGTAATCCCAGCACTTTGGGGGGCTGAGGCAGGTGGATAATCTGAGGTCAGGAGTTTGAGACCAGCCTGACCAACAAAGTGAGACTCCATCTTTACTAAAAATACAAAAATTAGCCGGGCGTGCTGGTGGGCACCTGTAATCCTGCTACTCGGGAGGCTGAGGCAGGAGAATCGCTTGAACCTGGGAGGCAGAGGTTGCAGTGAGCCTCCGAGGGGCTGCAGCCCACCCTGGCCAGGATGGTCTTAAACTCCTAACCTCAGGTGATCCACCTGCCTTGGCCTCCCAAAGTGCTGGGATTACAGGCGTGAGCCACTGCACCCAGCCTGAAATTTTATTATTACTCAAGTCAGTGTCCCTGAGCATTTGAGCATTTGGGGATCAGAGTTTTTAAGGATAGTTTGGTGGGTAGGGGGAGGCAGCCAGTGAGTCAGGAGTGCTGATTGGTTGGGTTGGAGATTAAATCATAGGGAGCTGAACTGTCCTCTTGTGCTAGGTCAGTTCCCGAGTGGGGGCCCCAAGATCACATGAGCCAGTTTATCAACCTGAGTGGTGCCAGCTGATCCATCTAGTGCAGGGTCTGCAGAATATCTCAAGCACTTATCTTAGGTTTTACAATAGTGATGTTATCACCAGGAGCGACTACTTGGGGAGCATCAGAATCTTGTAGCCTCTAGGGATATGACTCCTAAACCAAAATTTCTAACATGTTTGACTAATTTGTTAGTCCTATAAAGGCAGTCTCGTCCCAGGCAAGAAGGGGGTTTGTTTTGGGAAAAGGCAGTTATATTTGTGTCAAACTACAAACTATAAACTAAGTTCCTCCTAAAATTAGTTCAGCCTATGCCCGGGAATGGACAAAGACAGCTTGGAGGTCAGAAACAGGATGGAGTTGGCCAGGTCAGAACTCTGTCACTGTCTCAGTTACAATTCTGCAATGACAGTTTCAGGAGGCCCCTTCGGGGAAGTAGAAATGGCCAGCATTGGGCGGGAGTTAGAAGGTTCTTACAACACAGAATGAACACAACGTTTGTGGTGCCTTGAACCCCAAAGAGCAAGTGCCAGCCACTCAGTAAATAAGCCCTGGATGAAGGGTGGGGAGGGGGTAGGGGGTCCCATCCCAACTTTGGAAATCTAGGCAGGACCTGGCCCACCGTGGCATAAGGGGCTCTGGTATTGAGTCTTGGAAGGAAAGAGCTATGGTAGCTTCCCAAAATGATGGCCAAAGTCCTGTTCCATTTTCCTATTACCAGCCTTTCTGCTCAGTCTTTAGTTACCACCTCTCCAATAGAGGGAAAATGTAATAGACAAGCAAGTATCCCTTCATCCTGGAAGCCCAAGGGAGTCCCTGCCATGTGCCAGGCACTGCAGCCAATGTGGGGGACAGCAAACAAACCAGTGGCAGGATGGTGACACACACACAGCTCCTGAGTGACAGGGTGGGCTGGGAGGGAGTGGGCTCCGCAGACAAGGCAGGGAAAGGGATTCCAGGGAGAGGGAGCGAGGAGATGAAGGGGGGCCACCTAGTTCCTCTCCAGGTCCTCTTTGTGCAGCCTGGAGCACCAGTGGGGAGGGAGGACAGCCCCCTAAGCAACCAGACTGCTGGGGAAGGTGAGCTAGTGGTTTCCTACAGGGGACAGACAGGATCCAATCTGAGTTTGAAGATCATTTTGCAGTAACACGGCAGTCCTACAGCCCTGAAGAGACGAGCAGGTGGCTCCTGGCACAGCCCCAGCAGGGGAAGGGAATAAGGGGTACAGAATGCCCAGTGGCACTGCCAGGTTACTGGCATGGCTGATTAAAAACACCTAGGGAGGGACACCGGGTGTGGTGGCTCATGCCTGTAATCCCAGCACTTTGGGGGGCCAAGATGGGTGGATCACGAGGTCAGGAGATCGAGACCATCCTGGCTAATATGGTGAAACCCCGTTTCTACTAAAAATACAAAAAAATTAGCCGGGCGTGGTGGCGGGCGCCTGTAGTCCCAGCTACTCGGGAGGCTGAGGCAGGAGAATGGCGTGAACCCAGGAGGCAGAGTTTGCAGTGAGCAGAGATCGCACCACTGCACTCCAGCCTAGGTGACAGAGCCAGACTCCATCTCCAAAAATCAACCAACCAACCAACCAAACAAAAAACCTAGGGAGGGACAAGATCTGGGGCTGGGTGGAGAAGAAAAGGAGACTCCCCTTGGACATCTAGACTCACCCCCTGCTCTGCAGAGGCACATGGTTAGCTGTCGGGGGCCTGCTCCCCACCTCCTTTCTTCCCACTGTCTTATCCAGTGCCCCAGGGGCCAGGACCCCCACCCACAGATGATGCATAGGACCCAGTGCGTTTCCCTGCTCTGATCCATAAAGCCAATGGCCTCCCTGACATTTCCACCTGGAGGTCACAAAGATTTCAAATTCAGCCTCCCCCACCCCCTACACACCCCTCTGACCTACTGTCTCCCAGTTCCACGTTGCGGTTGGCCAGGCAAGCCTTCCTGACATCTATCTGCCTTCCGCCCAAGTTTTTATCTCACCTGGATCTCTAAGCTCCACCCATTTCCCTCCAACACCTCTGGGTGCCGGTAACATCTGCTCCCACAGACCACTACAGCCTCTGGACATACCAACCTGGTCACTAATCTGTTTACCTTCCTTTCCTGGCCTCTGGCTGTGACAAATGAGGCAATGCGGCTTTGCTAACTCCAGAACTAAGCAAAACTGTTCCTTGATCCACAGCCCAGACCCTTCATTGAACCTAGGTGCTAAACTCTGTTAAGCCTGACCTTCAGGACCAGAGTGAGCAGAGGAAATGAGAGAGAAGACCTGGCACAGAGGGAACAGCCCCTATCCTCGGGGCCTGTTCAGTAGTGACTTTTCCCACTAGGGCTGGTTCCCTACACAGGGTAGAGGTCTGGGAAGGGAAGGGACTCAGGGTGCCCAGGTCAAGAGTTTCAGAGGCAGACCAGAACCCAGTTCTGCGCTGGGGAGAGCTGGAAAGGAGACAGGGTCTTGGCAGGTCTCAAGGCTGACAAACCCAACCGACACACCAGTGGATACAGCACTGGAGAGGGAGACTCTGGCCAGGGGCCTGGGTGGACTTGGGCACTTTGGAGTTAACAGAAGTTCCCATGGCAATCTGGGGCCCTGAGCCCATGAGCCAGGTTGGGGGCCGGTGAAGCTCTAGGGAGGAGAGGTCTGGGAAGATGGGTGAGGCTGGGTGGGGGAATGAGGACTTAGGAGGTGGGTAACGTGGCCCCTTTGGGTATCCTGGAGAAAACCCCCTGCTCTGGCCGTCATTCAGGGAAGTCTTTGATGATTTATTTTGGGGACTGAGAGAGCCAGGTGTGCTAGCATACACTGGAGTGGGCAGAGCAGGGGTCCCTGAGCAGAGACCTGCTGGTCACAAGATCACGGAATCCTACACAGGGACATTTCTACCATCTCTGTACAGTGAAATCCCAGTCGAATACTATCCCGACAGGGAGCTCACTACCCTACCAAAGTTAGGCCTGAAGTATCACTGGACATTGATTCCAATTCTGTTTCTGCTGGAGGAAAGGGAGGGAATCCGGGTGTAGGGTTCCTAGTCACTCCAGTGGGGCTGGCAGCCTCTTCTCCCTTCTCAAGCGTGGACACCTTTGCACAAACATGCGGATGGAGTGAAGCCTCAGCCTATCATTCCCCATCCCCCATCCCCCACCCCCTCCAGAAGGCACTCTCAGACCACACTGAGTTCATGGGGCTGGTGATGCCCCTCTTTCACCCTCACCCACCCCAGCCATCACCAGCAGTAGTACTTGGGTGAGGGGGGCTGGCTCTGAAGTTCCCTCCCCAGTGGAGCAAGCTGACGCTCTCACATCTAGCTTAGATATTTCGGATCCAGAAGTACCTTTTTTATATCCAGAAAAGCGCAAGGATGTTGGCAGTGATGTTGGGTAGGTTATGTCCCTGTCTGCCCTGCCCCAACGGCGACAATTCAGGAGCTTCAGGGGTGAGTCAGGGCCAAGCTGCTCGCCAGTGACCAGAACAAGGCCTCTTTGTCCTAAAAACGGTTTGCATTTCCCTTCAGCTCACCCACACCACACCATGCCTGCTGCATCTGTGATGCTAACCCAAGGCTGTCACCTGATGTCACTCTGCTGTTCGACACACACACACACACACACACACACACACACACACACACACACACGGTCCTGACCCACTAAGTCTCATCTAAACACACAAGATGCTGCCTAGACTGCATGGAGCTTCTTCCAACAATTGTTTTCCAATTTTAGAAAATGGGACAATTAAAAACTGAAACAGAACAAAACCAGGGAACCATCTGCAAGACGTCATGTGTGAACACCTGGTCCAGCATGTTCTGACTGTTCCTGATCTTTCCAGAGCCCTTACAAAGCCCTGTTCTCCTTGCAGGGTGCTGAGGGCCACAGACCTGCAGTGAGAACTTACAAAGACCTGCACATACTTAGAATTTCCAGAGGAGCTTTGCCTGTTCCTGTGGTCACAACTACCACCAGGACAACCTAGGGGTCACCGTGCTGAGCCGCTTCAGGAACCAACTCAAGCCCCACTCCCTGGGAAGTGTTCCTAGATCCTCAGAACCAGTTTGGGCTCTGCTCACCCGGATGTTCCGCTTCCCTGGCCAGCTGGGAAGCATCGAGGCGAGTCCCAGCTTACCTTGCTGCAGCACACCGAGGCCATTTTTCCAAAATCTTTTTTTTGTTGTTGAGACACGGTCTTGCTTTGTCACCCAGCTGGGAGTGCAACCACAGCTCCCTGCAGCCCTGACCTCCCAGGCTTGAGTGATCCTCCCACCTCAGCCTCCTGAGTAGCTGGGACTACAGGTATGCGCCATCACACCCTGCTGATGTTTAAATTTTTTTGCAGAGATAGGGTCTATGTTGCCCAGGCTGGTCTTGAACTCCTGGCCTGAAGCGATCCTCCTGCCTTGGCCTCCTATAGTACTGAGATTATAGGTGTGAGCCACCCAGCCCGGCCAGGATTTTGGGTAAGTGGTGAGGCACAGGGAGGTGGCACTGGTCACCAGCAGACGTGTGCAGGAGCGCCTGTCTACAGCTCTGGGGGTGATGGCAGCAGCTCTTCACGCCCACCCCAGGACCCACTCCACTTGGCACTGGCTGGTGGTCATGCTTCCATCAGAAGAACCTTGGGCCATGCTGCAAAGCGACAACAGGACAAATCCGGGGACCCAGGCAGGTGCTCCCTAGAGAACAGGGTGGTGGGTCAGAGGCTTGACCCCACTTAAGCTCTTCCTCAGGGGTGAGATTGGTTGAGTGCTCAGGAAGCCAATACCTGGCTTGTTATGGGATGAAGCTCTTGGCCAGAGGGGACCCAGGTGTGTGCTGGTGAGAGGCCCCATCTCCAGGTTGGAATCGTTGCTTGGGCTCTGGGGAGCACTAATTAACAAACGTGTGGTTAGGGTGAACCCGCAGGCACGCTGGCTCAAACGGAGAGGCACAGAGTGCAGAGTACTTTTTCAAGGTGGAGCCAGGGGAAGGACCCAGAGCAGGGAAAGCTCAGAAACAGGACTGCACCCAAACAGCCCGGCAGCCCAGGCCGCCTCTGCCGCATTCACAATGACGGCTTTGCCGGCGAGGGCCTGCAGGTGGTGGTCATCACTCCCCCTGTCCAATGAGGAGGGGGCTGCTTCCCAGGTGGGTTAGGAGGGGACTGGCCCATCCCCATCCCCTCAGGGGAGAAGGCAGAACAGACAGAAAGACACAGCAGACATGCCCACGGATATAACTTAGTTTATGGGTCAAGCCAATGCAATGCAAAGTTGTTTCTGTTCCTTTTTTTTTTTTTTAACCAAAATAAATAAATCAGATCTGTCCCTGTGAAGGTCAGAGTGATAAATGAGGGGCAGCTGGCCCCTTGGCCATGGCCTGGCCCCTCACCCCCAGCCCCTCCTCTCCCTCTTCTGACCTGCTTTGGCACAGCAAAGAAAACGATGCATCAGAAAGTCTCCATTGGGTTAAAGGAGAAAGAAAGAGTGGTTGGGGTGGGGAGGGAGTCCAAGAGAGGAGGTGGAGGGTTAACAGGACCAAGACAGAGCAGCCAGTGCCCCGGTGGTGGCTACCTGAGCGGGGCTTCCTGGCTACACACAGACTCTGTGGGCTCCAGGTGCTGCCTGGGCCCAGGAGGGGTGGGTGGGGCATGCTTGGGCCCCACACACAGCCTGGAACCCTCGAAGGAACAGCAGATAATGGACACTGCAGAGACTGAAGCTGCCCTTTCTGTGCCAGGTCAGGCCAAGGCTCTCTCCTGCCAGCTGCCCCGGGTCATCCTCAGTTCACGCCACGGCTGGGGCCCACCCTAGAAACCTCTGCCAGCCATGGCTAGATCCGACTCCAGGCTCCTCTACAGATTCTAAGGCTCAGGCTCAAGATGAAGCTATCCTAGTCTCAAATACAGGAGCCTGTGCCTTGCTGGGTGACAGCGGAAGCCAGCACACAAGGCCCAGTTCCTATCCTAGTGGGTGAGACTGGTGGGGAGGATTGTGGCCAGAGCTGACCCCTCCCCAAGGACATCCCTCGGGGGCTACCTTTCCTCCTCCTGCTCCCCCCGGCCTCCTGGAAAACTGCTCAGAAGTCAGCAGAGCCTGGGCAGCGTGTGGCCTGTGGGGCAGCCAAGCACTGGAGGGGGACGACAGCCTAACTCCTATGAGAGCAGAGGGAGGGGTGGTGGCACAGCGAGGAGGGCGGTGGTGTGGGCAGCGCTGAGGCACTATTCTTTAGTTGAGAAGCAAGGGGCAGTCATGGGTGTGGAGAGGGCAGTGGCCCAAGCAACCCTAGGCAGCATCTACGAGAAGTTCTTGAAGACGTCCAGGTCGAAGGCCGTGTCCAGGAGGCGCTGCAGCTCCGTCAGGTGGGTCTTCTTGTTGCCGGTGGCTGGAGCAGCCGCTGGGTCCCGGCCGGCATACCTGAGAGATGGAGGGAGGGGGCAGTGAGGGCAGGGGACACTGAGTTGGCCCAGCCCATCCCTCTGCTGCATGTGCCTGGCTAACTGCCTACTGGCCTGAGGGGAGGGTCCCACAGCCTTCCTGGCAGGGACTGAAGCCTTACCAGACGGGCTTGGCGCGGCTGATGGTGGTCCGAAGTCTTGGCTTCACGTAGTCATAGTAGCCTTGGTTCTTGTGCTCCTCCTGGCACCAGGCCAGCTCAGCATTGGGGTACTTCTGCACCTCCTTCAGCAGGAGGTCAAAGGGGAATGGCGACAGCTAGGAGACAGCAGGGGTCAGATCAAAAAGAGGAAACTCAGAGGGCAGGCAAGATCCAGCAAAGGGAAACTGGTGTTCCGAGCAGGGAAGGTCAGGAACCTGAGGGCCACACCCCAAGCAAGGCTGTTCTGTGAAGGCACCAGAGCCCTGACCCCCGCTGGGGGGACACCCTGATGGCACCACCTGCCCTCACCTGCTCAATCCTTGTGATGGCCACCTGCCCCACCATGTCGCGTGCTTTGCGCTCCCGGGTGAGGTCATAATACACTTTGCCGGTGCAGAAGAGAAGCCTTTTGACATTTTCTGGGTTCTGAGCTGCAGGGCCATCTTCTGGGATCACCCGCTGGAAGTGGGTTCCTACAAGAGAGTTCCCATGGCTAGGCTGGTTCTCTCAGGTATGTGGCTGAGAGCTCTCCTGGGCCCAGGGCTGTGCCAGGGACTGCTGCCAGGAGACGCAGCTTTCAAGGGTTAGAGATGCTTCCCCTTCACCAGCCTCTGATGCCCTGTATTTGCTCAGACCAGGCACACTTTGAAAAGCACGTTACGTGTAACAAATACACAGCAGACATGGCCAGCTCTGGGTATCAAGTAACACCAGGCTAGCCTTCAAAACAGCTTGGCTCAGACTTCGGGGACAAGAGTATTATTAAAACATCCCGGCCGGGTGCGGTGGCTCACGCCTGCAATCCTAGCACTTTGGGAAGCTGAGGCGGGCGGATTGCCTGAGTTCAGGAGTTCGAGACCAGCCTGGGCAACATGGTGAAACCCCGTCTCTACTAAAAAAATACAAAAAATGAGCCAGGCATGGTGGTGTGCGCCTGTGGTCCCAGCTACTCGGGAGGCTGAGGTGGAAGAATCGGTTGGGCCCGGGAGGCAGAGGTTGCAGTGAGCTGAGATCATGCACTACAGTCTGGGCAACAGAGCAAGACTCCATCTCCAGACAAAAAAAAAAAAAAATACCAGCCGGGCGCATGGCTCACGCCTGTAAATCCCAGCACTTTGGGAGGCTGAGGCAGGCGGATCACCTGAGGTCAGGAGTTCGAGACCAGACTGACCAACATGGTGAAACCCTGTCTTTACTAGAAATACAAAATAAGCCAGGCATGGTGGCGCATGCCTGTAATCTCAGCTACTCGGGGGGCCGAGGCAGGAGAATTGCTTGAACCCGGGAGGCGGAGGTTGTGGTGAGCCAAGAATGCGCCATTGCACTCCAGCCTGGGCAACAAGAGCAAAACTCCATCTCAAAAAAAAAAAAAAATTATATAAAAAAAATCCCATGTTTACTCTGTTTCTGCTGCTCAGAATTTTACAAATATAAAAACTTTCAACACAATCAGAGAAAATATTCAGATAGAGAACAGTGGGTTGGCCAGCACTTTGGGAGGCTGAGGCAGGAGGATCCCTTGAGCTCAGGAGTTCGAGACCAGCCTGGGCAACATGGTGATACTCCGTCTCTACAAAAGTACAAAAATTAGCCAGGCACGGTGGTGCACACCTTGTGTTCCCAGCTACTTGGGAGGCTTTGGTGGGAGAATCACTCTAGCCTGGGAGGCAGAGGTTACAGTGAACCATGATGACCATGCCTCTGCACTCCAACCTGGGTGACAGGGTAAGAATCTATCTCAAAAAAATATAGAAAAGTGGGTTGAATGGTACAAACATACAGTTAGATAGAAGGAATTAAGTTCAACGTTTGATAAAGGAGTAAGGTTAACAAACATGTATCGTACTCGGGTGACGGACACCCTAATACCCTGACTTAAGCACTACGCATCATATGCACGTAACCAAAACCAGTTGTGTTTCTATACACTAACAATGAACAATAAGAAGAGGAAATTAGGCCAACAATTCCATTTATGATACAAACAGAATAAAAGTCTGGGCACAGTGGCTCACACATGTAATCCCAGTACTCTGGGAGGCCAAAGTAGGAGGATCACTTGAGCCCAGGAATTGAGGCTGCAGTGAGCTACGATTGCATCAGCCTGGATGACAGAGTGAGACTCTGTCTCAAAAAAACACAAACAAAAAATAAAAAACAAAACAAATTAGCTCAAAGTGGGTCAAAGATCTAAACATAAGAGCAAAAACTATAAAACTCAGAAGAAAACATAGGGCAAAAGTTTCACAACACTGAATTTGGTAATGATTTCTTAGATATGACACCAAAGTCACAGGCAACTGAAGAAAAAATAGACAAATCTGACTTCATGAAAATTAAAAACTTGGCCGGGCGCGGTGGCTCACGCCTGTAATCCCAGCACTTTGGGAGGCCGAGGCGGGCGGATCACGAGGTCAGGAGATCGAGACCATCCCGGCTAAAACGGTGAAACCCCGTCTCTACTAAAAATACAAAAAATTAGCTGGGCGTAGTGGCGGGCGCCTGTAGTCCCAGCTACTTGGGAGGCTGAGGCAGGAGAATGGCGTGAACCCGGGAGGTGGAGCTTGCAGTGAGCCGAGATCCCGCCACTGCACTCCAGCCTGGGCGACAGAGCGAGACTCCGTCTCAAAAAAAAAAAAAAAAAAAGAAAATTAAAAACTTTTGTACATCAAAAGATACTAACAACAGGCCAGGTGCAGTGCCTCACGCCTGTAATCCCAGCACTTTGGGAGGCTGTGGTGGGCAGATCACCTGAGGTCAGGAGTTCAAGACCAGCCTGGTCAACATGGTGGAACCCTGTCTATACTAAAAATACAAAAATTAGCTAGGCATGGTGGCGTGCGCCTGTAATCCCAGCTACTTGGGAGGCTGAGGCAGGAGAATCACTTGAACCTGGGAGGCAGAGGTTGCAGTGAGCTGAGATTGCACTAATGCACTCCAGCCTGGGTAACAGAGTAAGACTCCATCTCGGAAAAAAACAAAAAACAAACAAAAAAAACACCCAAACCCAAAACCAAAACCAAAGATACTAACAACAGAATAAAAGAACAACCCATAGAACGGGAGAAAATATTTGCAAATTATATTTCTGATAAGGAATTAATATCTAGAATATACAGAGAACTCTTAAGACTCAAAAACAAGCAACCAGATTCAAAAATGGGCAAATAATTTGAATAGGCTGGGTACCGTGGCTCATGCCTGTAATCTCAATACTTTGAGGCCAAAGTAGGAGGATTCCTTGAGCCCAGGAGTTCAAGACTAGCCTGGGCAACATAGAGAGATCCTGTCTCTTAAAAAAAATTAAATTAAAAAAAAAAAGGATTTTAATAGACAGTTCTCCAAGGAAGATATACAAGTGGCCAATAAGCATATGAAAAGATGCTCAACATCACTTAATCATTACAGAAATATAAATCAAAGCCACAATGAAATATCATCTCACACCCATTAAGATGGCTACTATGAAAAAACCAGAAAATAGTAGGTGCTGATGAGGATGTAGAGATGGTGGGATCCTCATATACTGTTGGTGGGATGTAAAATGCAGCCACTGTGGAAAGTTTGGCAGTTCCTCAAAAAACTAAAAATAGAATTACCATATGGTCCAGCAATTCCACTTCTGAGTACATATTCAAAAGAACTGAAAGCAGGGACTCAAAGAAATATTTGTACACCAATGTTCATAGCAGCTCCTCTAATCATAATAGCTGAAACATGGAAGCAACCCAAGTGTCCATCGACAGATGAATGGATGAGCAAAATGTGGCATACACATATAATGGAGTATTATTCAGTCTTTTTTTTTTTTTGAGACGGAGTTTCGCTCTTGTTGTCCAGGCTGGAGTGCAACGGCGTGATCTTGGCTCACCACAACCTCTGCCTCCCATGTTCAAGTGATTCTCCTGCCTCAGCCTCCTGAGTAGCTGGGATTACAGGTATGCGCCACCACCCCCGGCTAGTTTATTTATTTATTTTTTTTGAGACGGAGTCTCTGTCACCCAGGCTGGAATGCAGTGGCGCAATCTTGGCTCACTGCAACCTCTGCCTCCCAGGTTCAAGCAATTCTCCTGCCTCAGCATCCTGAGTAGCTGGGATTACGGGTGCGCGCCACCATGCCCAGCTAATTTTTGTATTTTTCGTAGAGATGGGGTTTCATCATATTGGTCAAGCTGGTCTCAAATTCGTGACCTCAAGTGATCGACCTGCCTCAGCCTCCCAAAGTGCTGAGATTACAGGTGTAAGCCACTGGGCCCAGCCTATTCAGTCTTTTTTGTTTTGTTTTGTTTTGAGATGGAGTCCTACTCTGTTGCCCAGGCTGTAGTGCAGTGGTGCAATCTCAGCTCACTGCAACCTCTGCCTCCCGGGTTCAAGCAATTCTCCTGCCTTAGCCTCCAGAGTAGCAGGGCGTGCACCACCACACCCTGCTAATTTTTGTATTTTTAATAGAGACGGGGTTTCACCCTGTTGGCCAGGCTCGTCTCAAACTTGTGACCTCAAGTGATCCACCTGCCTCGAACTCCCAAAGTGCTGGGATTATAGGCATGAGCCACCATGCCTGGCTATTCAGTCTTAAAAAAAAAGAAATTCTGACACATGCTACACAACATGGATGGACCTCGCAGACATTATACTAAATGAAACAAGCCAGTCGCAAGGGACAAAGACTGTATGATTTCACTTATGAGTTCCATAGAGTAGTCAAATTTATAGAGGCAGTAACACACTGAACTGGATACTTAAAAATGGTCAAAATGGTAAATTTTATGTTGTGTATTTTACCATAATAAAAAAAGACTGGGGGCTGGGCATGGTGGCTCATGCCTGTAATCCCAGCACTTTAGGAGGCCAAGATGGGTGGATCATGAGGTCAGGAGATTGACACCATCCTGGCTAACACGGTGAAACCCCGTCTCTACTAAAAATACAAAAACAAAATTAGCCAGGCGTGGTGGCGGGCGCCTGCAGTCCCAGCTACTTGGGAGGCTGAGGTGGGAGAATGGCGTGAACCCGGGAGGTGGAGCTTGCAGTGAGTCGAGATTGTGCCACCACACTCCAGCCTGAGCGATAGAGCGAGACTCCGTCTCAAAAATAAATAAATAAATAAATAAATAAAATTAAAAATAAAAAAAGATTGGGAAAAAACCCCCAAAAAACAAGGGGCTCACCTTGATTGAAGACTAAAGGGGGTTTGGTGACTGGTGGGATGCAGGCTTCCTGGCCTGGTGACCCCTGGTGGGTGGTAAAGGCTGTGTCAACATCCTGCACTCCACTGTCCCTATAGAAATCTCAATGTTATGGGTCTCCCTTCACACAAGTGCAGCTGGCATGTGACTTGGCAGGACCTGCCGTCCAGTGTTTTTTTCTCTGTCCTGAAGGGCTTGCTTTGGGGCTGGGCCTCTGAGCCAGTGGTGAGCTGCCACTCACCTGCTGAAGGAGGCCGCAGGCAGCGGCACTAACCCTCAATCTTGGACATACTTAATTGCCTCTAGTGGAGTCCTTGGGGGCATTTGCAGGTGAGAGGCAACAGCTCCTGGGCTGCATGTTAAGACATGTCATTTGACCAACGTGAATGTAAGCTGTGACCTCCCTCATCTGGTATCATGGGACTTTTTTTTTTTTTTTTGTGCCGGAGTTTTGCTCTTATTGCCCAGGCTGGAGTGCAATGGCGTGATAGCAGCTCACTGCAACGTCCACCTCCTGGGTTCAAGCAATTCTCCTGCCTCAGCCTCCTGAGTAGCTGGGATTACAGACATGTGGCACTACGCCTGGCTAATTTTGTATTTTTAGTGGAGATGGCGTTTCTCCATGTTGGTCAGGCTAGTCTCGAACTCCCGACCTCAGGTGATCTGCCCTCGAACTCCTGACCTCAGATGATCTGCCTGCCTCGGCCTCCCAAAGTGCTGGGATTACAGGCGTGAGCCACTGTGCCCAGCCATGTATCACGGGTCTTTACAACCAAAAATCTGGCAAGAGCCAGTGAGAATCACAAATGTCAGTCCCATGAGCTGTAAAAGAGCAGCAGCAAAGAAGCCCCAAACATAGCTTCCCCCAAGGAAATGCCCATCTCCCTCACACCCACCTGGAAGCATCTCATCAAAGCTGGATCTGGCCTCGGGGTGGCGCAACAGGGATTTGGGGGTGAAGATAATTAACTGAAATACAGAACAATAGGCTCGTGAAGGATCAGATTCTGAAGATTCCAGAAGGAAGGTCAAAAGCAAGGCTACCCAAGCCTTGACCTTCAGGCCATGAAACACACCTGCCCTCCCACTCAACAGGAGCCTCAGGTCAGAAGAGGCAGAGAAGGAGGGAAAAGGAAAGATGACCAATTTCCCTGCTGTTCACCTCCCCTAGCTGGGTATCCACTCCTGGCAGGGCCCATCCCAGCCTGCTCGGACTCCCAATACTCCCTTCCCTGCTTCTCTGTACCTAGGAAAGAGCTCTGACCCTCTCCTTGGCAGTCTCAGAGCAAATGCACCCAAAGCCCATGTAAGGCTGTGACATGGCCCAGCACCAAGAAGCACCAGGGCTGTCCTGCCCTGTGGGCCCTTGGACTGCTGGGGACACTCCGAGCTGCAAGCCTCCACCCCATACTCCCACCCCCGCGGTATCCCAGGGCAGCAGGGCACTCCCTCGCTGTCCCCCACACTCCTTCCTTTTTTTTGTTTTTTGAGACGGAGTCTCGCTCTGTTGCCCAGGCTGGAGTGCAGTGGTGCGATCTCGGCTCACTGCCAGCTCCGCCTCCCGGGTTCACGCTATTCTCCTATTCTCCTGCCTCAGCCTCCTAAGTAGCTGGGACTGCAAGTGCCCGCTGTCATGCCCGGCTAATTTTTTTGTATTTTTTTTGGTAGAGACGGGGTTTCACTGTGCTAGCCAGGATGGTCTCCATCTCCTGACCTCATGATCCACCTGCCTCGGCCTCACAAAGTGCTGGGATTACAGGCGTGAGCCACCTCGCCCGGCCTCCTTCCTTTTTATGAATCACTTCTCCAACGTATCCCTCCACTCAACTTCTACTCACCCTTCAACACCCAGCTCAGGAGCCGCTCCCTGGGGACCCTGCACTCCCTTGGCCTCTGCCAGGGCTCACCTCTCTTCCAGAGCTCAGCACACCCCCTATGACCACCTGTTCAAACATCCGTCCTCCCCACCGGGCTGGGGCCTGCAGCCTATGTGATTGCTCCGCATGTGGTGCTCAGCAGTATGCAGGGGCCCAGTCGGGGAAGAGGACACACAGAACACGCAGTTCCCTCATGGCAGCAGTGAGGAGGAAGGGCGAGGCTCCCTGACACCATGTCCTGTCCACACTACCCCTGCAGGTGCCCACCTAGCTAACCCCAAGCAAGAGGCTCTCTGAGGAGCCCTTCCCTGCACCAACAGGGCAGGGCCAGGCCTCGTTTGAGCAAGGGAGGCCCTGCCACTGACCGGCTTCCGGAATGGCAGCAGGATCTGGCGTCGTAGCACGTGGAAGAAGTTGCCAGGAGTGGAGCAGTTGACAACAACCCAATTGCAGTCATATAGCTGATTGATGTCGAAGTTGGCTTCTTTAAGGTCCTGCAGCAGGGAAGGAAATGGCCAGAGGCCAGGACACAGCACTGAGTCTTCTGGGGCATGTGGGGGCCCTCAGGTGATCTAGTTTGGATATTTGTCCCTGCCCAAATCTCATGTTGAATTGTAATCTCCCACTGCTGGAGGTGGGGCCTGGTGGGAGGTGTTAGGATTAGAGCTTGGGCCATCCCCTTGGTGATGAGTGAGCTCTCACTCTGAGTTCACACGAGATCTGGTTGTTGAAAGTGTGTGGCCCCTCTCCCCCACTCTCTTACTCCTGCTCTGGCCATGTGACATGCCTGCTCTCCCACTTCATCTTCTGTCATGATTGTAAGCTTCCTGAGGCCTCCCCAGAAGCTGAGCAGATGCCAGCATCATGCTTCCTGTACAGCCTACAGAACTGTGAGCCAATTAAACTTTTCTTTATAAATTACCCAGTCTCAGGTTTTTCTTTATAGCAACACAAGAATGGCCTAACACACTGACTCCCCAGGAGACATAAGCTGACACTAACAAGTGAGTCCAGCAAGCTCCTTCGGCCAGCCTCATACCCTGGAGGAGAGCCTCAGTCCCACTCAATCCATACTATTTCTCTGAAAGCTATTGCCCAGCATGAAACAAATACCACTTTAAGAGACACAAGTTCTACCTAAAACCAATTTTCCTTAGACACTGACACCTAATCATTTTCTTTGAGTTTTTTTTTTTTTTTTTTTTTTTTGAGACAGGAGTCTCCCTCTGTCGCCTAGGCTGGAGTGCAGTGGCGCAATCTTGGCTCACTGCAACCTCCACCTCCCGGGTTCAAGCGATTCTCTGCCTCAGCCTCCTGAGTAGTTGGGACTACAGGTGCCCGCCACCACGCCTGAATAATTTTTGTATTTTTAGTAGAGACGGGGTTTCACTATATTGGCCAGGGTGGTCTCAAACTCCTGGCCTCGTGATCCACCTGCCTGGGCCTCCAAAGTGTTGAGCTTACAGGCGTGAGCCACTGCGCCTGGCCAGTTCTTTTTTTGTGAGACGGAGCTGCCCAGGCTGGAGTGCAGCGGCACAATCTTGGCTCACTGCAACCTCTGCTTCCCGGGTTTAAGCAATTCTCCTGCCTCAGCCTCAGACTAGCTGGGATTACAGGTGGGCGCCACCATGCCCAGCTAGTTTTTGTATTTTTAGTAAAGACAGGGTTTCACCATATTGGCCAGGCTGGTCTCAAACTCCTGACCTCATGATCCGCCTGCCTGGGCCTCCCAAAGTGCTGGGATTTCAGGCTTGAGCCACCACACCCAGCACAGTTCTTTTTTTTTTTTTTTTTAAGACAGGGTATTGCTCTGTCACCCAGGTTGGAGTGCAGTGGCACGATCTTGGCTCACTGCAGCCTTGACCTCCCAAGCTCAAGCAATCCTCCCACCTCAGCCTCCCAAGTAGCTGGGACTGCAGGCGTGCACCATCACGCCCAGCTACTTTTTAAAATTTTTGTAGAGACGGGGTCTCACCATGTTGCCCAGGCTGGTTCTTTGAGTTCTTAAAGTTTCACTGGAATCGCCCCAAAGTTCTCTCCTCCTCAGGGCTTCCAGACCTGAATCAGGGTCTGGAAGCATCCCGCAGGAGCCCTTGCTGAGGAGCTCACATGGCGTTTCTGTGCTTGCAGCAACAGCAGGAAGCCAATGGAGGCAGTCCCTGCACCTTCCTCTGTGCTCTGAGGAAGTCTCTCATCCCAGGGCGCCCAGAAGCATGGGGCCACACCTGTCCACTCACGTGAGCTCCCCAGGATGGAGAAAGGGACAGAGGCACGGTCTGCCACTTCAGGATGACCAGATAGATTGCTCTTCCCCAGGTTTCCCACCAGACACCCCGAGAATGGCTGGGCTGACAGGGCCTGTATTACTCACTGGCAGGACATCTGGGTCATCGTTGCACATCTGCAAGAACCGCTCTGGGCGGGCGGAGGAATGTTCTGGACCCTGGAACCACACACGCAAGTTACAGTTTAAGAGCTCTTGCGTACTGACATTTGCCGCATCTGCTGTTCCTCCTCAACCAACTAGCTCATTTCTGGTTATCTTTTTTCTTGATGGCAGGGTTCAGTTCCTTCCCCCTCCCACCAGCAAAGCACTTGGCTCATCATTTCCACACTTGGACGCCTGTGCATCTAGGGAGTCTGCACCAGCAGGGACGGGGCATGCTAGCCACATCCAGATGGGCTACTCTGGCTTTCTGAAGTGACATCCCATCTGAGATGGATGGGAAGCACCAGCAGAGTCCTTAGGAGGCTGGTGTGAGCCACTGGCTCTCGTGCCAGTCTTTGGGGTCAGGGTCCTACACAGGCCCTTCCCAAGTCCTAGGTCTGGCAGGGAAGGGCCAGAGGCTCACCATGCCCTCCATGCCATGGGGCAGCAGCAACACGATGCCATTCTGCCGCACCCACTTGGCTTGTCCCGGGCAGATGAACTGGTCGATGATACACTGGGCCGTGTTGTGGAAGTCACCAAATTGGGCTTCCCAGAGGACCAGGGCATTAGGACTGGCCATGGCGAAGCCCAGCTCAAAGCCTACAAGGGACAAAGGAAGGAGAAAACCATGTCCAGGACACCAGCCAGTAGGCCCAGCGGGGGTGGGTGGGTGACAGGCCCTGGTGGTGTGGCTCCAGGCACTCACCCAGCACGCCGTACTCAGACAGTGAGCTGTTGCACACAGTATAGGGGGCCTGATTGGGCCAGAGATGGTTCATGGGGATGCAGGTTCTCTTGTCCACATTCTGGTCATGGAGCACATGGTGGCGGTGGCTGAGACAGGACAACAGAGGTAATAATTAGGAGCTCTGACTTGACAAGCAAATACGCTGGGGACCCGCACGAAGCACCAGCAGATGCCATGCTCTGTGACCTGGACTTCTGGCCAGGCAGCTGCAGGGTCGGCCCCACCCAGGTCTTAACAGAAGCACCCATAGCAAATGAGGGACAGAGGTTTTCAGCCTGAGAGCAATGTGACTCTTCCGGTTTCTAACCGTCTTCCGGAAAAGAAACACCAGAACCCCTCCCTTTCCATCTTCTACTCTTTGGAGGGCAAACAAAACTGCCCAGAACGTTACCTGAATGTGCCCCGCTCCACGTCCTGGCCGCTCAGCCGAATGTGGATGCCCTCCTTCAGGAGCGAGCCAAACGCCATGTACTCCGCTAGAGCCCAGTCCACAGTCCGGTTCT
Organism: Homo sapiens; assembly: GCF_000001405.40. NCBI lineage: Eukaryota > Metazoa > Chordata > Mammalia > Primates > Hominidae > Homo > Homo sapiens. The sequence continues at coordinate 44,696,952 of NC_000007.14, read as the reverse complement.
TCACCATTTCCCCACGAGTCTTCAAGATCCGGCTCAGCCCTGCAGAGACACAGCTCTCACCAGCTGCTGCAGGCCCTGCCTGCACATGCCTGCCTTGCTTCTCAGCGTGCCCATGGCAAGAGCGGAGCCTTCTTTACTCGTAGTTTCTGGGTTCCTGACTTGCTGGAAAAGCTGTGACCTCAGTCTCTCCTTTACCACTGAGGAAGTGTAGGATCGTGCTAAGGGCAGGGAGTGGGAGAGGTGGCTCCATCCAACCACCCCAGAGGCCTTGAGCAGGGCAGGAAGGGAGTCTCTGTAGGACACATGATGGGTGGGGGCCAAGGTCACAGTCCTAGACAGTCGTCGCCCCTGGCCTGGGCCCCAACATTTCCACAGGTCAGCACAGAGCGTGTTACCTCCATGAATAGTAAAGTTTTCCACAGGCACAGAACTAGCCACATTCCCGATGTGTGTCAGAATATCCTCCGTCAGACCCGTGGAGGGGCAGGACATGCTCCTGGGCTGCCCGTCCAGGGTGAAGAAGCCTAGGAGAAGAAGAACAACTGAGGCATGACATCTGCTCTACTTTTCCAGGGACCACAAAATGGCAGACACGTGATTTTGGGGAGAAGCAGGGTGAGAGACAATGTAGCTCACACTGTGTTCCCCAGAAAACATTAATGCAGGGGTCTGGGTCCAGGGTCTGCAGGGGGCTTTGCTGAAATGGTGCATACAACTGTGCATTGTGGGTACAAAGTGGAAAGCATGAATTTTTTCTGGGAAGAGGATGCCTCGTTACATCAGATCCTCAAAGGAGCTTATTTGTGGCACTGTTTCTTCACTCACCAGGCCAGGGAGAGTCCAGCCAGTGCTTAATGTGCAAGATCTTCTCATCTTTAGATCTGGCAAAAGCTTCCTCACAGATCTTATCATACTTGGAAATTTCCTCCTGGAGGGTTGGGCACAACACAGCGTGACTGGCACAGGGCATGACTACTGCACACGCCCACCTGTACCCCCACACTTTCTGACAGCCACCACGCAAGCCCAACCATACCCCTGGCACAACTCCCGTGCATGCCCACCCATAGTCCCACACTTCGTGGATGCAAAACATCTCAGCCTCTGGGCCTGCTCCTTCTCAATAGGCATAACACCTTTCTAAGATTTTATTCTTTTCACTCCCAAAAGTTTCTTCCTCACATTTGCTGGGTAGAGATTCTGCTCGGAGTTTGAACCCCTAACCCTTCACCACTTTTTTTTTTTTTTTTTGAGACGGAGTCATGCTCTGTCACCAGGCTGGAGTGCAATGGCGCGATCTTGCCTCACTGCAACTTCCGCCTCCCGGGTTCAAGCGATTCTCCTGCCTCAGCCACCTGAGTAGCTGGGACTACAAGTGCGTGCCACCACGCCCAGCAAATTTTTGTATTTTTAGTAGACGGGGTTTCACCATGTTGGCCAGGATGGTCTCGATCTCTTGACCTCATGATCCACCTGCCTCAGTCTCCCAAAGTGCTGCAATTACAGGCATGAGCCACCACGCCCAGCCCACCACATTTTTTCTTAAGAACTGGTCCAGGCCAGGCGCAGTGGCTCATGCCTATAATCCCAGCACTTTGGGAGGCCAAGACAGGCAGATCACTTGAGGTCAGGAGTTCAAGACCAGCCTGGCCAACACGGGGAAACCCTGTTTCTACTAAAAATACAAAAATTAGCTAGGCGTGGTGGCTCGCACCTGTAATCCCAGGTACTTGGGACGCTGAGACATGAAAACTGCTTGAAGTAAGGAGGTGGAGGTTGCAGTGAGCTAAGATCATGCCACGGCACTCCAGCCTGGGTGACAGAGCTAGACTCCGTCTCAAAAAACAAAACAAAACAAAAAAAAAACTGGTTCACAAAGCTCTGTCTCCAGCATAGGCTACAGGCTATCAGGTTGTTCTGATCTGGGATCTGTCCTGTTCCCATGCTCAGATATAGCTCCTCACACCCACCCTCTCCCTCTCTAGGGCAGCTGCTTGGCCTTCCCACTCACAACCAACCAGCACTTACTATCCAGATTACAACAGGCCCCTTACCAAGCTGGATCCACCACCCACCTCTCAACCATGCACAATTTGTGAAATCTGAGAAAACCTACTGGGCTGCTACTACCTCAACCTGAAAACATCCCCTTCCCTTCCCCAAAACACTGTTTAAGGCCCACTTCCTTTATAAAGCATCTCAGTGGCCCAGATTCTCCAAAAAGTTATGCATTGAAATGCTGTAGTTGTAAATATTTCACATCCTCTCACGTGTATCCTCATAACTGGCAAAAGTGAGAACTGGCCCTGTGGCCCACCTTTTCTAGTCATCGCCAGCCCTGGAAAGGCGCACTGGGATAGAGCCGCAGGGACGTACCTCATACTCAGGCTGGTTGACCACACCCTGCGACACCAGCAGCTCAGCGTACTTCTGTAACACAGGCTTCTGCTTGCGGATCTGCTTGTACATGAGCGGCTGCGTGAACATGGGCTCATCCATCTCGTTGTGGCCGTTGCGCCGGTAACACACCTGCTCAGAGCAGTGAGAGGATGTCAGAGACAAGGGCTGGCCCCTTGGGAAGAAGTGCTGTTCAGGCACCTGCCCCATCTCTCCTAGGTGATGGCCACGTTCTTCATTCCTCATGCCTGCCCTGGAGTTTACCTTCTCTAGAATTAGGATTCTGTGTATCTCTCCTTCACACAGTAGAGCTGCTCTGTCAATGAGGAGTGGCCCTCCTCACCACCACAGCTCCTGCCTGGGAAGCATTCCTTGGTGCTTACAGGCCTGAACTATTTGGAGCTCAAAGGAACCAGCATGAGGCCTGGCAGTAGAGAGCCCTGAGGTGACTCATCTAGACAAGCTCCTCTCCTTGGGACACAGGGGTGCCGAGGGCAAGAGGGGTGGGTCAGATGCTCTGCCCAGGACGTGCTGTCCCCAGAGTCACTCACCAAATCGACAACCACGTCCTTGTGGAAGGTGCTCCTCCACTCGGCCGCCACTTTGCACACGTACATGACAGCCTCGGGGTCATCTGAGTTCACGTGGAAAATGGGGGCATTCACCACTCGGGCCACGTCAGTGGGGTAGGGGGAGGAGCGGGCCATCCGAGGGTCGGTGGTGAAGCCGATCTGCAAGGAACATGTAGCCTAGCAAGAGGGCACCTGGCACAGCCGGCACAGGGACCAGAGGGCGGGGCTGAGGCCGGGCATGGCATGCACTTGCCATCTGGCTACTCTGAGTACGTACCCCAAAATGGCTGTTTACACTTTTTCTTTTCCTTTGTTTTTTCCTATTCTGATAACAAAATCCATATATATTTAACATAGAGAATTTAAAAGACATAGTATGAAAAGTTAAATTAAGTTACCTATAATTCCACAGGCTATGGGGTAAATATTCTGATGTTTTCCTTTCCAGATTATTTTCTTTGTATGCATATATATGTAAATAAATACTTAAATTTGGGATCTTATTATTTCTATTATTTTGATTAATTCTTTTTATTTTTTGTAGAGATAGGGTCTCACCATGTTGCCCAGGCTGGCCTCAAACTCCTGGGCCTAAGTAATCCTCCTGTCTCGGCTTCCCGAAGTGTTATTATAGGAGTGAGGCACTGTGCCCAGCCTAAGAATTTTTTTTTTTTTTTGAGACGAAGTCTCACTCTGTTGCCCAAGCAGAGTGCAATGGCGTGATCTCAGCTCACTGCAACTTCCACCTCCCGGGTTCAAGCGATTATCCTGCCTTAGCCTCCCCAGTAGCTGGGAATACAGGCACGCACCACCATGCCTGGCTAATTTTTGTTATTTTTAGTAGAGACGGGGTTTCACTATGTTAGCCAGGCTGATTTTGAACTCCTGACCTTGTGATCCACCTGCCTCAGCCTCCCAAAGTGCTGGGATTACAGGAGTGAGCCACCACGCCCAGCAAGAATTTTTTTTTTTTTTTTAAAGAGAGAGTCATGGTCTGTCAACCAGACTGGAGTGCAGTGGTGCAATCGTAGCTCACCTCTCATGCCAGCCTTCTGTGTAGCTGGTGTTATAGGTGTGCACCACCAGGCCCAGCTAATTTTTAAATTTTTTTTGTAGAGATGGGGTCTTGCCATGTTGCCCGGGCTGGTCTTGAACTTTGGGGCTCAAGTGATCCTTCTGCCTCGGCCTCCCAAAATGCTGGGATTACAGGTGTGAGCCACAGTACCCAGCCAGAAAAGAAAATTTAAAGGCTTCATAACATTCCCTACCAGTTAGATGTACCAAAATTTAATGATATATTCATAATTTTATGGTTTGCATTTAAATTTTTATCTTATGATATATTTCAAACACAAAGCATGATAATACCACACTGCTCATCCTTAACGCCTTCACCTAACATGAACAAATCCCAACGGTTTCGCCATATTTGTTAGTGGACCAAAATGTTTCTGTCACAGAGGCTCAAGCCCGCAGGCCTCCTTACCCTTAAATCAGAGGAGGACACTGCCACAAGTTGCTATTTGTACTTCATATGTCCGTAAACAGTATATAGTATCTTCTGAGGCTTGTTGGTAACTTTGCAGTTTGCCTTTTAACATTTGCTTTTATGATACACCCAGGTTGAAACATGTAGCTATACTTCCTTTAGTCTCTACTTTCCAGTGAAACTTAACCAGACACAGTATACCCCACAGAGTATTTATCCATTCTCCTGTTGGTGGACATTTCTTTTGTTTCCAATTTGTGGTAAACACAATGTTGCTGTACACATCCTTATACAAATTTTCTCCCTCAAACGCTGAGTTTTTTTGCAATCTAATCCTAGAAAGGGAAAACTGAGCCACAGGCATGAGCATTTAAAATTTTTCTAAATGCTCTCCTGAGTAGCTGTTCTACTTACACTCCTACTAGCAGCATATTAATATCCTGCAATTTCCATTTACCATACTGTGACCATTTCCCCAGGATATCAAACTTTTTTTTTTTTTTTTTTTTTTTTAAGACAGAGTCTCATTGTGACTCCCAGGCTGGAGTGCAGTGGTGCACCTCTGCTTACTGCAAGCTCCACCTCCCGGGTTCACACCATTCTCCTGCCTCAGCCTCCTGCGTAGCTGGGACTACAGGTGCCTGCCACCATGCCTGGCTAATTTTTTGTATTTTTTTTTTTTAGTAGAGATGGGGTTTCATGGTGTTAGCCAGGATGGTCTCAATCTCCTGACCTTGTGATCCCCCGCCTCGGCCTCCCAAAGTGCTGGGATTACAGGCGTGAGCCACTGTGCCCGGCCATTCCCTAGGATATTAATCTTTTTTAGTGGTTGTTTAATATCCCTTCCTATGGCTTTGCCAAATTTTATGCAAAGACGCTTCTGCTGTTGGACATAGGTTTGTTTCCTAACTTTGTGGTAGCGCAAATATGGTTTTGACAAAAACCTTTTTTTTTTTTTTTTTTGAGAGAAGGTCTCACTCTGTTGCCCAGGCTGGAACGTAGTGGTGTGATCACGGCTCACTGCAGCCTTGACCTCCCGGGCTCAAGCAATCCTCCTGCCTCAGCCTCCTCAGTAGCTGGGACTACAGATGTGTACCACCACGCCTGGCTAATTTTTGTTTTGTTTTGTTTTGTGTAGAGACAGGGTCTCACTTTGTTGCCCAGGCTGGTCTTGAACTCCTGAGCTCAAGCAATCCTCTTGCCTTGGCCTCCCAAAGTATTGGGAACAGGTTTGAGCCATTGCATCTGGCAGACAAAGAGTCTTATGAAAAAATATTTACCATCAGATGGCTTCCTTAGGTGAAATTTCTGGAAGGGAATTTCTAAGTATGTTCTAAAAGAAATAAGAGACTCAGCTAAGAAGTTACTTCCTCTCCTTCTACAGATCTTCCTGATGCCACACTACCTCATGAGCAATGAGTCAAAGCAGTAAAGAGATAAAGAAAATATTAGCAAAATCTAACTCTATATTTATGTTTAATGGCTTTTACATAATCTCCCTTCTCACACTGACTAAAGAAATGATCAGAAATAGTCAGACACTGATGAGATTAAAAAAAAAATGGTGTATCAGAGCCTGACACATAAGAGAGCCCTGAACAATCTCAGCTGGTATTGAAGCCAGCATTGCCCATCTTGGGCTTCAGCATGTAAAGAAGGGCCTGCAGCAGGAAGTCAGTGATCATAACATGCCTTACTGCTAGAACCTCACAGAAAGAAACCCATTTTGCAAGGTTGAGGTCTCAGCTGCCCTCTCCAATGTTCACCACTGTTATGAGCTTCTGTGCCTTCATGCACATATGGATGGCAGCACACATGACGGAGGTGCACTCTACCAGCAGGATTATCTACTTGGGTGGATGTGCACACACGTGTGATGGAGATGCACTCTACCGGCAGGGTTATCTATACTAGTGGCTGTGCATACACACATATGACAGAGGTATACTCCAAATATACGCTGTACTTTTTTCCACTATGGGTGTATTAATAATACCTCTTAGTATATTATTTGAGGCAGCTATACTTACCACTATACCACCAATGTACTCTCTTAGTATACTTTTGGGAGTTAGTGTTTTAGTAGGAAAATCTCGCTAAGAGGAAAAGCTGGTCTGGGAGACAAAGGAACCTTTAGGGCCAAATGGTTTCTCCTCTCACCTCTAGCCCTTCTCACCCCTCCCATTTACTTCAACCCTGACAACTCGTTCACTAGCTGTGCCAATACTTCCAATGAGGAGGAATCCAAAACTTCTGGAGGAGCTGGTTCCCCTGTTGGAACAGGTCTCACTGTTAGGAGTTCTTCCTTTCATTCAACTAATATCTGCTTCTTGGGTAATTGTAGCCACCCACTGGAGCTAACTCTGTCCATTAGATGCTTTGCTACTCAATCATTTATATTTGAAAATAGTATCCAAGTGCAAAAGAATGAAGCGGGACTCCTTTGCACCATGCACAAAAATTAACTCAAAACAGATCATAGATGTAAGGGCTAAAACTATAAGACTCAGAAGAAAGCATAGGAGGTAAAACTTTGTGACCTCGGATTAGGCAAAGCCTTCTTGGATATGACACCAAAAATCACAAGCAACAAAAGAAAAAACAGATAAATTATGCTTGATAAAAAATAAAACTTTTGTGCTTCCAAGGACACCAAAATTGTCCCATATTTGCAAATCATCGGATACATGGCTCATATCCAGAATATATAAAGAACTCTTACAACTCAACAATAAAAAGACAATCCAGTCAAAAAATAGGCAGAGGATCTGAATAGAAATTTCCCCAAAGATATACAAATAGCCAATAAGCAAATGAAAAGACACACACATCATTAGTCATTAGGGAAATGCAAATTAAAACCAAAATGAGATATCACCTCACACCTTCTAGGATGGCTAGAATAAAACAGACAATAACAAGAGTTGGTGAGGACATGAAAAAACTGGAATCCTAGCTGGGGGTGCGGTGGCTCATGTGTGTAATCCCAACATTCTGGGAGGCTGAGGCAGGTGGATAACTTGAGGTCAAGAGTTCAAGACCAGCCTGGGCAACATGGCAAAACCCTGTTGCTACCAAAAAAAAAAAAAAAAAAAAAAAAAAGAAAAAAAAATTAGCTGGGAGTGGTGGTGCGTGCCTGTAATCCCAGCTACTTGGGAAACTGAGGCAGAAGAATCGCTAGAACCTGGGAGGCAGAAGTTGCAGTGAGCTAAGACTGTACCACTGCACTCCAGCGTGGGTGACGGGGTAAGACCCTGTCTCAAAAAAAAAAAAAAAAAAAAAAAAAGGAACCCTGATATATTTCCAGTGGGAATGTAAAAATGGCACAGCCACTTTGAAACAGTCTGAGATTTCCACAAAAAGTTGAACACAGAGATACCACATGATCTAGCAATTCTACTCCTACGTATATACCCGAAAAGGAATTCAAACATATGTAGACACAGGCTGGGCACAGTGGCTCATGCCTGTAATAAGAGCACCTTGGGAGGCTGAGGCAGGTAGATCACCTGAGGCCAGGAGTTCGAGACCAGCCTGGCCAACAAGGCGAAACCCCATCTCTACTAAAAATACAAAAATTAGCCGGGCATGGTGGTGCACACCTACAGTCCCAGCTACTCGGGAGGTTCAGGCACTAGAATCGTTTGAACCCGGGAAGTGGAGGTTGCAGTGAGCTGAGATTATGCCACTTGCACTCCAGCCTGGGCCACAGAGAGGAGAGTAGGTGGCACAAAAAACAAACAACAACAAAAAATGTATATATAAGGCCTGGCGCTGTGGCTCACGCTTGTAATCCCAGCACTCTAGGAGGCCGAGGCTGGCGGATCATGAGGTCAGGAGATCGAGACCATCCTGGTTAACAGGGTGAAACCCCATCTCTACTAAAAATACAAAAAATTAGCTGGGCATGGTGGTGGGTGCCTGTAGTCCCAGCTACTTGGGAGGCTGAGGCAGGAGAATGGCGTGAACCTGGGAGGCAGAGCTTGCAATGAGCCGAGATCACACCACTGCACTCCAGCTTGGGCGACAGAGCGAGACTCCGTCTCAAAAAAAAAAAAAAAAAGTATATATAAACACTTGTACATAAATGTTCACAGCAGCATTATTTTATTTCTTTATTTTTTGAGACAGAGTCTTGCTCTGTCACCCAGGCTGTGGTGCAATGGCGTGATCTCGGCTCACCGCAATCTCCGCCTCCCAGGTTCAAGCGATTCTCCTGCTGCAGCTTCGAGAGTAGCTGGGATTACAGGCACGAGCCACCACGCCTGGCTAATTTTTGTATTTTTAGTAGAGACGGGGTTTCATCATGTTGGCCAGGCTGGTCTTGAACTCCTGACCTCAGATGATCCACCTGCCTCGGCCTCCCAAAGTGCTGGGATTACAGGTGTGAGCCACCATGCCCAGCCCACAGCAGCATTATTTATAATAGCCCAAAAGTAGAAACAATCTAAACGTTCGCCAACTGATATAGGGCACATATTGTATGATTCAATTAATATGAACTTTACAGAATAAATACATCTATAGAGACAGAAAGTAGATTAGTGGTTGCTTAGGGCTTGGGAGGATGGAGGGGTAGGAGTAAGATAACTAAGGGATGCAAGGTTTTTCCTTGAGGTGATGAACACTCTGAAATCAACTGTGATAGTTGCACGTATTTATAAATATACTAAAAACCACTTAATTGCAGACTTGTGAAAGGGGTAAATTACATGATAAGTGAACTACATTTAATAAAGCTATTAAAAAATACAATTTAAAAAAGTTGAGCAGGCGGGTGTGGTGACTCACGCCTGTAATCCCAAGCACTTTGGGAGGCTGAGGAGGGTGGATCACTTGAACTCAGGAGTTCAAGACCAGTCAACATGGTCAACACAGTGAAACCCTGTCTCTACAAAAAAAACCATAAAAATTAGCCAGGTGTGGTGGTGCATGGCCATAGTCCCAGCTACTGAGGAGGCTGAAGTGGGAGGATTGCTTGAGCCTCGGAGGTGGAGGCTGCAGTGAGTCTAGATTGTGCCCCTGCACCCCAGCCTGGGCAACAGAGTTAAGAACCTGTCTAAAAATTTAAAAAACAAAAAAAATTTCTTTTTTTTTGGCTGGCCATGGTGGCTCATGCCTGTAATCCCAGCACTTTGGGAGGCCAAGGCAGGCGGATCACTTGAGCTCAGGAGTTCAAGACCAATCTGGCCAACATGGTGAAACTCTGTCTGTACTAAAAATACAAAAATCAGCCAGGGGTGGTGGCAAGCGCCTGTAGTCCCGGCTACTCAGGAGACTGAAGCAGGAGAATCGCTTGAACCTCGGAGGTGGAGGTTGCAGTGAGCCAAGATCACTCCACTGCACTCTAGCCTGGGTGACAGAGCCAGACTCCATCTCAGAAAAAAAAAAAAAAAAAAAAAATTAAAAAAAATTTTTTTAAAAACATGAGCATATCCCAAACAGAAATCCCAAAGAAATTCATGCCAAGATACATCAAACTTCTGAAAACTAGACAAAGAAAAATATGGCCGGGTGTGGTGGCTCATGCCTGTAATCCCAGCACTTTGGGAGGCTGAGGCGGGTGGATCACCTGAGGTCAGGAGTTTGAGACTAGCCTGACCAACATAGTGAAATCTGTCTTTACTGAAAATACAAAAATTAGCTGGGTGTGGTGGCAGGCGCCTGTAGTCACAGCTACTCAGGAGGCTGAAGCAGGAGAATCCTTGAACCCAGGAGGTGGAGGCTACAGTGAGCCGAGATCATGCCATTGCACTCCGGCCTGGGCGACAGAGCAAGACTCCGTCTCAAAAAAAAAAAAAAAAAGAAAAAAAGAAAATAAAAACCTTCCCACAAAGAAAACTGTAAGCCCAGAAGTCTTTCAGTGGTGGATTCTACCAATCATTTAGGAAGGGAATAATATTAATTATACAGAAACTCATTCAGAATATAGAAGAGGAACCTCCTCTTAACATTTCACGAGGCCAGCATTACCCTGATAGCAAAACCAGATAAAGGCATTACAACAAAAGATCAATACCCCTCATGAACATAAGACAAAAATTCCACATTTGAAAATTAATGTACTTCATCATTAGCAAACTATATGGTCATCTCAATGGATGCAGAAGAGCACTGACAAAAATAAGCATCCATTCATTATATATACTGTCCACAGATTAGAGACAGAAGGGAACTCCCCTAGCCATGGTAAGGGACATCTACAAAAAAGCTACAGCTGACATCATACTTAATGATCAAATACTAAACACTTTCTTCCAAAAATTGGAAACAAGAAAAGGATGTCCGTTTTTATCCACTTTGACACTGTGCTGAGGTCCTAGCCAGTGCAATAAGAAAAAAGAAAATACAAAGCATAGATACATGTGGATTGGAAAGGAAGGAAAATAACTTTCTCTATTTGAAGTCACATGACTGTCCATCCAGAAAGAATCCTCAAAAAAAAAAAGAAAGAAAGAAAATTAGAACTAATAAGCAGTTACTCAAAAAGTTAAAAATAGAACTATCATATGATGTAGCAATTCCACTCCACTTCTGGATATATACTCCAAAGAACGGAAAGCAGGATTTCAGTCAGGCACAGTGGCTCATGCCTGTAATCCCAGCACTTTGAGAGGCCTCAGAGGAGGGACTGCTTGAGCCCAGGAGTTCAAGAGCAGCCTGGGCAACATAGAGAGACCCTAACTCTACAAGAAAATTGAAAAAAAAAATAGCTGGGCATGGTGGTGCACACCTGTAATTCCAGCTATTTTGGAAGCTGAGGTGGGGGGACTGCATGAGCCCAGGAGTTGGAGGCTGCAGTGAGCTATGATCACACCACTGCACTTCAGCCTGGGCAACAGAGCAAGACCCCGTCTCAAAGGAAAAAAAAAAAGAAAGCAGGGTGTCAAAGAGATATATGGACAGACATGTTCATAGCATCATAGCAGCATTATTCATAACAGGAAAATGTGGAAGTAACCCAAGTATCCACTGATGAATGAATAAGCAAAATGTGATATATTTTACTTATAGAGTGGAATATTATTCAGCCTTAAAAAGGTAGGAAACTCTAACACATGCTATAACGTGGATGGACCTTGAGGACATTCTGCTAAGTGAAATAGCCCAGGCACAAAAAGACAAATACTATGATTCCATTTATATGAAGTCCTTAGAGTACTCAAAATCATAGAGACAGAAAGTAGAGTGGATAGTTGCCAGGGGCTGGGGGTCAGGGAAGCAAGGACTCGGAGTTCATGTTGAATGGGTATGGAATTTCTGTTGGAGACGAAACAGTTTTGGAGATGGGTGGTGGTGATGGTTGCACAATATTATGAATGTATTTAATACCACTAAACTGTTCACTTAAAAATAGTTAACAATGTAAATTTTATGTATATTTTACCCTAGTAAAAAAACAGAAAAAAGGCCAGGAGCGGTGGCTCATGCCTGTAATCCCAGCACTTTAGGAGGCTGAAGCAGGCGGATCATGAGGTCAGGAGTTCATGACCACCCTGACCAATATGGTGAAATCCCATCTCTACTAAAAATACAAAAATTAGCCAGGTGTGGTGGCACGTGCCTGTAATCCCAGCTACTTGGGAGACAGACAGGAGAATCGCTTGAACCTGGGAGGTGGAGGTTGCAGTGAGCCAAGATCACGCCACTGCACTCCAGCCTGGGTGACAGAGCAAGACTCTGTTTCAAAAAAAAAAATAGAAAAAAACTCAGTTCAGTAGTGAGGTTGGTTTTTTTTAGACATCTCTGTTCCCTTGGTACAGGGAACTTTTCAGGTTTTCTAACACTATTCTTTCAAAGAAAGCAGATCAAATACTGACTCTTATCATTTCCTCTAGTAAGCTATTCAATCTCTCTGCTCCTCAATTTTCACTTCTGTAAAATGGGAATAGTACCACTCACTGCATGGGTAACTACCCTACAAATTAAGTTAATATACATAAAGTACCTAATTCAGCATCTGGGACACAGTAGGCAGTAAGTGGTAGCTTTTACCATATTGTGTGTTATATTTGCACTGGATAATGTTCTTACCCTCTCTTAGTATTTGACCTCTTAAATTTTGAGCTCTTTAGTATTTGCTACTTAGTGAGCATATTTACTTATTTAAATTTAAATTTTTCCCTCTCTCTACTTCTTGCTGAGACAGCTGCATGTGTTTCTCTGTCCTCCTCTAATCAATTCTAAACTATAACAAATCATCTTTATAACCAACCAGTATCTCATCACTTCCTTGCGTCAGTCTCTCCAATGGCCTCCCAATGCCATTGGGAGCTTTCCTCAGGCGCTGGCTGATGGCAGTTCTCTCTTGCACTAACGATGAGCTGCGATGGCCTTGTCCACTCCTTCAGACACTAGGACCTCTCTCCTGACTTGATCTGATGCTCCCCAATATTTGCCTACCTGACCTTGAAGTTTCCATTTAAATGTCAAATCCTCAGTGACTTGTCTGCTGACTAACCCAGTATCTTGCAGAACACCTCCCACACCCACTTCATGGCACTGTCTATGAGCCCCCTGACCCTGCACTAAACTATAAGGTCTGTGATGATAGGGAGCACACCGGTGCTCTGCCTGGTACCTAGGAGAGTGCCTAGAGTTAAAAGGCACTAGAATATCTGTTATGGAAACTTCACACGCATCGATGAGGGGAACCCTTAGCTACGGCTGGTGGAAGAATCTAACAGGTGATATGTATCAGGCCTGTGCAGAAATATTCATGAGAATGTTCATCACAGCCTTACTGAAAATAAAAAATGAGAATCCTAAGAGTCCATTTTATGAAACAAGTTATAAGATATTTCTATTAAAATTATTTTAAAAGGGTACGTAATGATATGAGCAAATATGTGGTAAATAAGAGTGGATATAAAGCTGTGTACATGGAACCCAGTTTCTTAAAGAAAGAGAACGTCCCCATGCACAGGCCATCTGTATGCCTGTGGAACCAGAAGAAAATATTCTTGTCGGGCATGGTGGATCACACCTACAATCCCAGTGCTTTGGGAGACCAAGATGGGAGGATCACTTGAAGCCAGGAGTTCAAGAGCAGCCTCGGTAACAGAGTGACATCCCGCCTCTACACAAAATAAAAAAAAATTAGTCAGGAGTGGTGGTGCACGTCTATAGTCCTTGCTACTCGGGAGGCTGAGGCAGGAAGATGCTTGAGTCCATGAGTTCAAGGCTGCAATGAGCTATCATCATGCCCCTACACTCCAGCGTGAGCTATGGGGCAAGACTGGTCTCAAACAAACAAACAAAAATCTAAAACAATAATGCCATCTTAAAAATAATGTATTAAAATCTATTTTTTTCTTTTTTATTTATTTATTTACTTATTTATTTTGAGACAGAGTCTTGCTCTGTCATCCAGGCTGGAGTGCAGTGGCGTGATCTCAGCTCACTGTGAGCTCCACCTCCCGGGTTCACGCCATTCTCCTGCCTCAGCCTCCCAAGTAGCTGGGACTATAGGTGCCCGCCACCACACCCGCCTAATTTTTTTGTATTTTTAGTAGAGACGGGGTTTCACTGTGGTAGCCAGGATGGTCTCGATCTCTTGACCTCATGATCCGTCTGCCTCGGCCGCCCAAAGTGCTGGGATTACAGGTGTGAGCCACCACGCCCAGCCTATTTATTTTTTTCAAGACAGGGTCTCACTCTGTTGCCCAGACTAGAGTGCAGTGGCATAATCATGGCTCACTGCAGCCTCGACCTCCCAGGTTCAAGTGATCCTCCTATCTCAAACCCCCAAGTAGCTAGGACCACAGGCATGCACCACCATGCCTAATTTTTTTAATTTTTTTTTTAGACAGACTCCTGCTCTGTCGCCCAGGCTTAGTGGTGTGATCTTGGCTCACGGTAACCTCCGCCTCAAGGGTTTCAAGTGATTCTTGTGCCTCAGCCTCCCAAGCAGCTGGGATTACAAGTGCGCGCCACCAAGCAGGTAGCTTTGTATTTTTAGTAGAGATGAGGTTTCTCCATGTTGGCCAGGCTGGTCTCGAACTCCTGGCCTCAAGTGATCTGCCCACCTTGGCCTCCCAAAGTGCTGGGATTACATTTGTGGGCCACCATGCCCGGTGCTAACTTTTTTTCTTTTCTTTTTTTTTTTTGAAATGGAGTTTCGCTCTTGTTGTCCAGGCTGGAATGCAATGGCGCAATCTTGGCTCACTGTAACCTTCACCTCTCGGGTTCAAGCAATTCTCCTGCCTCAGCCTTCCAAGCAGCTGGGATCACAGGCATGTGATCCCATGGCTAATTTTGTATTTTTAGCAGAGACGGGGTTTCACCACATTGGCCAGGCTTGAACTCCTGACCTCAGGTGATCCACCTGCCTCGGCCTCCCAAAGTGCTGGGATTACAGGACTGAGCCACTGCACCCGGCCACCCAGTGCTAATTTTTCAATTTTTTTGCAGAGAAAGGGGGTCTCACTATATTGCCCAGACTGGTCTCAAACTCATGGGCTGAAGCAATCCTCCTGCCTTGGCTTCCCAAAGTGCTACGATTACAGGCGTGAGCCACTGCACCTGGTTTTTAATAACAGATGTATTTTTATAATCAGAAAACAGTGAACGTCCTAAATGACTCAGAGATGTCATTCTAAGTAAGACTGATGTGAGCAGCAAAGCCGCAGGCTGGTGTGAGGTACCTGGTTGTTGACGACCACGTGCACGGTGCCATGAGTTGTGTAGGATGGCAGGTCGCTGAGGTGGAAGGTCTCGTACACAATGCCCTGGCCAGCAAATGCAGCATCCCCATGCAACAGGATGGACATGACCTGTAAACACCAAAGGAGACCCCAAATCCAGAATGTTCTGATTGCCAAGTCCACAAGGTAAACAGAGGAAATGCATCATTTGTTTTTCAAAAAATAACGTTTTGAGATAATTTCAAACATAGAAAGTAGCAGGAAAGTCCACAGGGCCCCAAATCCCCAACATGCTAGCACCTTGGTATATCTGCTCAACACCAACACACCCTGCCATCATCATCTGTTCTCAGCACTGAAAGAGCTGTAGACCTGATGCATTGCTAGGACACTCTCCAACATGACTACCCGGACCCTCTGTTCCGGGAGGGCAGCACTAGCTTAGCCATTGGCCCCAGACCCCACATGGGAGGGCAGCATCACTTGCCAGGTCTCTTTGGCTCCTCCAACCAGGAGCAGCTCCTCATCCTTCTTGTCTTTGCACCCTTGACAGACCTTGGGTCCCCACTTGGGAAGGACATACTGCATCAGGTCAGGTTAACTCTGCTCACCTGGGAGGCTGCTGTCTGCTATCCTCCCTTTCACTCACCATTGTTTTCCTTGGCAATGAGTATAGTGGTAGTATTTTGTGAGAAGAAACTTTACATCCTGTTCCTCCTCAAACCTCCACCCCAGCCTCAGCAGTATTGACAACTGCGTCTGAACCAGCCCCTTGGGTGGTTGATGGATGGCAAACACCAGTTTCGATTACTCCTAAATTTATTAGTTGGCATTCTCTGCAAGGAAGAGCTTTCCCTTCTCCCTTGTTTATTTACTCGTGTTAGTATGTACTCATGGTTCCTATTTTATTCGACAGGTTGCATTAATATTGTTAGTTATTTTAATGCTCACACTGTTCCAGGTTGATAGGGAGAGCAGCTCTGTCCAGCTGCCTCCCTTTCCTGTGAACAGGGACAGGTCTCTTTCATTCATGAGCACCTCCTTGCTTCCTGACCAACAGAACATTGTAGCTTCCATGTTGTACTGTCCCTGTCCAGCCCTGGACAATATCAGCTGTTTCTCTAAGAAGCCAGCTTCCTCCAGTAGAGGATGGGATTTAAGACCAGTATTTGTGTGCTCATCACTGCCAGGATATCATCATTTCTAGGCCCATTCCGCATACATCTAAAAAATACATGTGTGCATATGCAGGCGCACATATACATGGCTATTTCTGTGTGTGTGTGTGTGTGTGTGTGTGTGTGTGTGTATGCAATAAAACTATGAGTTTGTATTGATACCTCCAAATTTTAATCCAACACTTTCTAGGCCACCTCCTTCCACACCTATAAATATCTCCTACAACTGCAAGACACTCCATCCTCACTGCCTTTGATATGTTTACTCATTTGCTCAGTGTCCCCAATGCCACAATCATGTAAGCCCACCACCTCTACTCCTTGGATACACAGCCTATACCTCTTTAAAACCCTTGTATTAGTCAGAGCTCTCCAGAGAGACAGAACTGAGAGGGTGAAGAGGAAGAGGGAGAGAGAGAATGATTTTCTTTCTTTCTTTTCTTCTTTTTCTTTTTTTTTGAGGCAGGGTCTCACTCTTTCACCCAGGCTGGAGTGCAGTGGCACGATCTCAGCTCACTGCAACCTCTGCCTCCCAAGCTCAAGTGATTTTCCCACCTCAGTCACACAAGTAGCAGGGAATACAAGTACATGCCACCATGCCTGGCTAATTTTGGCATTTTT
The DNA here is from genome assembly GCF_000001405.40 of Homo sapiens. Lineage (NCBI taxonomy): Eukaryota > Metazoa > Chordata > Mammalia > Primates > Hominidae > Homo > Homo sapiens. The sequence goes on along the minus strand of NC_000007.14, from coordinate 44,680,049 downwards.
TTGTAGACACGAGGTTTCACCATGTTGGTCATGCTGGTCTCAAACTCCTGGGTTCAAGCACTCCTCTTGCCTCAGCCTCCCAAAGTGCTGGGATTACAGGCATGAGTCATCGTGCCTGGCCGAGAAAGATGGGTTTTTAAGGAATCAGGCTGGCAAGTGCAAAGTCTGCAGGGCGGGCTGGCAGGCTGGAGACCCACAGCAGAGCTGATGTTGCAGCTTAAGTGTGAAGGCTGTCTGGAGGCAGAATTCCTTCTTTTCTGGGAACCTCAGTTTTTTCTCGAAGGCCTTGAACTGACTGGATGAAACCCACTCACATTGTGCAAGGTCTTCTACTTTACTCAAAATCTACTGGTTTAAACGTTAATCTTATCTTTACAAAATGCCATCTAGATGGGTGTTTAGCAAAAAAAACCTGGACGCTGTGGCTAGCCAAGGTGATATACAACACACCCTCTCCTGCTGTGTCCTCAGCCTACGGGCCTACTGACCTGCACCTCCCTGAGTTCTTGTGATTACCCTGGTCCTCAGCGCTGTGCTGAGTCATCCTTGGTTAAGACCCATGATTTGTGTGTCAGGGACAAAACCTAGAATTTTTAAAAACAGAACTGCAGGTGTCCTGCCTTTTGGTGGATGTGGCAGGTGCTCACTAGGATAGCAGCATGTGGACGTAAGGATCTGGTTTGCTTACGGGGCCCCCTTGGAGGTGTGCAGCTTTGCTACGATGCCCAGGCTGCCTGAGTGTAAAAGCCATTGGTTTTGAGTCACTGACATTTCATGCTTTCCTGATCCCGATAGTGTGTTGTTTCTTCCCGCAGATACTTTTCTGTCCAGTCTGTCTTCTGCTGACAGGGCACCTGTAGTCAGTCTTCCTCTTGTCATGGTATTTGCTCTTGATCATCCTGGTGATGTTGTACTGCGACTACCATGCCATACTGCACTGTGGTAACTGTCTGCTGAAATCACAGCCAGGACACATGGGGAATCTCCTTGTGTCTGGCAGCCTGAGCCATACCTCTGGCAGGAGCGGGTTCTCCCTTTGCAGCAGGTTGCATTGCTGCACTGAGGAAATGCTTTCATGAACAAAGATCCCAAAGGCCATATTAGCACTGAGCCAAATCAGGTCTGTTTCACAATCATGCATGAGGTTATGGGATGACCTCAGCTGCACTTACAGAAAGTATGTAATTCTTCACGAAAAATGCTGAGAGTTACATAACACACACTCCAGCTCCCTGAGTTTCTGGATTTAATAGAAATCAAATCATGTCCTATGGGTGTCAAGAGGAGTAAGAAGAACAGGCAGATGGCTGAGCCTGCAATGACCCCACACTGACCCTGCTGGGGACATGTGAGGGCTTGAGGCAAGGTGACGAGGAGGCTCAGAAAGAGGGCCTGGCAGCTATCCACATTGGGGCAAGGGCAAACTTGTGACAACAAGGTTTGTGTAGACTGGAAAACAAAGGGACTGACAGTTCGGACTCAGCTGCATGCAGACTTATGAGCAAATCAGGGACTAACCAGCCTCTCCTGTCCTGGCATCTCATGAAGGGACCAATCAGTGTGACCATCTGTAGCAGTTTAAAATATACTCTATTGCTTTTACTCTAATGATTTCATTCCTTTTTGGGAAATTTCCAGCATTATGAGGTGAGTACTGCTAGAGTGGATTTCTGTCCACAATCTATGAATGTGGGAATCACCCAAAGTTTTCGGTAATCTCATTCCACTACTCAGCCCAAATGCCTGGGCGAGTGTCCTAGCCAAGGAGGGTGCAAATACCAGAGGCACTGGTCATCACAATGCTGATCTCCCCATGCCGATCTCACCTTAGCCCAGGCCATCCCAGACACCCAGTGTTGTTACTGCCTGCGGGGGCTGCAGGTTCCCCAGAGCTAAGGCCTCTTTGCATCTAGTTGAAGTTTCTGTGGCACTGTCCTGGCCCATGAGCTTGAAGCCATGGAATGACCTCTGCGTCCCTGTGGGTCATACTCGTTCTTTACAGTGAGCATTGATCGATGCGGGAATCACTTCCCCAGCCCAGGCTCCATTACCTATGATGACAGTTTCCCTTCCTCTAACACTGTAAGCATGACAGTAGTAGATTTACAGTATTTAAAATTATAGAGCCTGGTAAAGTAATAATTGGTTCCACTTCTTTTTTTTTTTTTTTTCCTTTGAGAAGGAGTCTCCCTCTGTCACCCAGGCTGGAGTGCAGTGGCGTGATCTCAGCTCACTGCAACCTCCGCCTCCCAGGTTCAAGCAATTCTCCTGCCTCAGCCTCCTGAGTAGCTGAGACTACAGGCGTGTGCCACCATGCCCGGCTAATTTTTTTTTTGTATTTTTAGTAGAGATGGGGTTTCACTGTGTTAGCCAGGATGGTCTCGAACTCCTGACCTCAGGTGATCCACCCGCCTCAGCCTCCCAAAGTGCTGGGATTACAGGCGTGAGCCACCGCACCTGGCCAATTGGTTCCACTTCTAACATAGACCTGACTTCTTTCCAGGGCACAACTAGGAGGCCGGCCCCTCCCTGCTCTGTGTCCCCAATTCCCCCTACATCTTTGCTCTTACCTTTCATCTCCAGAAAACATTCTTCCCTTCCCACCTCCCTAAATCCTGCCACTTCTCAAATAAAATGACAACTACCTGCTCTGCTACTAAGGGGTGTGCCTTCTATCCTTGGTCCAACTCTAGCCCACACCCCTGCACACCTCTTCCAAAGCTCTTCACGGCTAACTCCAGTTTCCTATCATGCCGTGTATGTGCTATTTGCTTCTTTACACACGACCTTTTTTCTAAAAAGAACAGGAGGCTCTGGAGAGAAAAGTGGTGATGCCTTCTTTATATGTTTCCCAGAACCCATACATAAGACATTACAAATATTTGATTTTTTTTCTGATTATTTGGTTTTTAGGTCATCATTAATAGGAAATATAAAATTTGTCAGACAAGATTCTATCTTGAAGTTAAATAAGGGCAAATTGTTACAATCTGTTGAGACTATTTCTACACAAGCAGGCAGGCGAGTCAACCCCCAACACTCAGTCACATGACCAGAAATGGTGAAGCAGGACCCCACCTGCCTGCAGTCTGTGCCCTCCTCCGTCTCCTACCAGCCCGTGAACTCCCGCCTCTAATCACAGCAAGCATGACTCTCCTGACAAGTCTCAGTTCTACAATTTCTCCTTCAGGCTCACCTACACTTTTTCCTTACAGAGACTCTCAGACTCCCCTCCTTTTCAGTGAAAACATCTCTGTCCATTCAGAATAACTGCAACCTGGCTCCTTAACAGATTTGGTGAAGACAAAAGCAAACTTCCCACATAGTTCTGACAATTACAACTTCAGGAAAAGGAACACTGTAAGCAGGACTGTTTTACTATTGCTATTCTTTAAAAGTTGATTTTAAATATATATATATATATATATATATATACACACACACACACATACATACATATACATATATTTTTTATTTATTTATTTTTTTCTTTGAGACAGAGTTTCGCTCTTGTTGGCCCAGGCTGGAGTGCAATGGCGTAATCTCGGCTCACTGCAACCTCCACCTCCCGGGTTCAAGCGATTCTCCTGCCTCAGCCTCCTGAGTAGCTGGGATTACAGGCGCGCGCCACCACGCCCAGCTAATTTTGTATTTTTAGTAGAGATGGAGTTTCTCCATGTTGGTCAGGCTGGTCTCCAACTCCCGAACTCAGGTGATCTGCCCACCTCGGCCTCCCAAAGTGCTGGGATTACAGGCGTGAGACACTGCGCCCGGCCGACTTTAAATATTTTTTTAAAGTCTAGATGCACCCAGGGCTCTGGGTTATGTTGGTGAGCGGAACTCCATGCTGGAACATGGGGCCTTGACGATCTGCCTTGCACGCCTCTCTCTGGGCCTTACCTTTTTCCCTTCAGTGTCGCCACAGTAAAACTGTTCGGCTTTGGTCTTGCCCATCACCACGGGGTCAGCGGCCTCAAGGTGGGAAGGGTTGGCCACCAAGGACAAGGTAATGTTCCTGTCGGTGACACGATTGATCCTGCGGTGATACATGCCCAGGTGGTACTTCACATCTCCGGAGCCCTGATGGGGTAAACAGTGAATTTGCACCCTGGCCAAGGAGATGCTCAGTCTCCAAAAGAGCCCTTTTATACGGGAATTTTTTTTTTTTTTTTGAGATGGAGTTTCGCTCTTGTTGCCCAGGTTGGAGTGCAATGGCGCGATCTCGGCTCACTGCAACCTCCACTTTCTGGGTTCAAGCGATTCTCCTGCCTCAGCCTCCCGAGTAGCTGGGATTACAGGCATGCGCCACCACGCCCGGCTAATTTTGTATTTTTAGTAGAGATGGGGTTTCTCCATGTTGGTCAGGCTGGTCTCAAACTCTCGACCTCACGTGATCCGCCTGCCTCAGCCTCCCAAAGTGTTGGGGTTACGGATGTGAGCCACCATGCCCAGCCTTATATGGGATTTCTACTCCCAGGAACCCAACGCAGAAGGATATGGAGGCCTTTTCCCAGGATCATTCCCATCCAGGGCATAAGGAGAACGTCCCTCAGCCAGAGGGGACACACCCCTGCACTCAGAGTGGGGCTGCTGGACCTCTGACCAGGAGGTGGGCCACTGGCCACCTTTGTCCCAACACTAAAATTCTCCCAACAAGGAAGGCAAATCACAAATGGTACAGAAGAACCAACCCCCCGTAAGTCATTCTAAGAAAGAAGTGGAGCCAGGGGTCTTGTGTAAGTTGGGGCTATGCTGGATGTGTCTCTATGCAGGTGCCTCACCTCATCAGCTGCCTCCAGCTTTGAATCGAATTGACAGAAGATCTGTTCCAGCTCCTTCCTGATGACATTTGCAAGCACGTTCAGCCGCCCTCTGGAACGTATGGGCGAGTAGGGTGAGCAGAGCCTGAGGTCATGGTTTCCAGATGGCAGATGAGGGTGTTACAATCCCCCCCTCCCCCTCCCCCCAGGACACGGCACCTCCTCGGTTTGCAGCCCAAGGATAGCTGTAAACTGGAGCTAATGTGGGAACCGAGCCTCTCCGTGCTGGGCAATCAAGGCCACAGTGGGCAGCAGAAAGATAGAAGATGCAGCAATGCCATGGGCCTGAGGCTTCCTTACCCTTCTCCCTCCCCACACCTTCCCTATTTTCACAGTCTTGGCCTCCCCTTCAATGTCAGGAAGCAGCCTTCCCTCCAGGTTAGACCCCAACAAGGGAACTTGGGTTTAATTTTCATAAAGATGCACTGTAAGGCCAAATGCCAGTCTGAAACTACATGTGGCTTTGGAGGTGACCATGACTTTGCAGTCCTCCAGAGGCAGGCAATGTGAGAATCCCCTGCAAAGCAATACACCCTCAGGTACCAGATGAGCCCAGACTCACAACTGGCACTCAAGGAGGAAACAGCTGCTCTCTCAGTGCCTTTACCTGGTGCCTCCTACACAGCCCACAGGGATGGTGAGAAACCAGGTTGGGCGCGCCCTTGGCTGTACCTGTGTGGCATGCCCATGATCACGTAGTCCACGCCATTCTCACTAGACTTGTCAATGATGGTCTTGAGGGCAGGGATCAGTACCTCGCAGCCTTCTAGACCAAAGCGCTTCTCAGAGGACCACTTCCGCTGTAGGAACTCCTCAAACCTGGACAGGGAACCAAGCCACCTTGAAGGGCAATGTCACTCTTCCTGACCAAAAAGAGGGGATTCTGGCCAGGCATGGAGGCTCACACCTGTAATCCCAGCACCTTGGGAGGCCGAGGTGGGCAGATCAGCTGAGGTCAGGAGTTCGAGACCAGCCTGGCCAACACGGTGAAACCTCATCTCTACTAAAAATATAAAAATTAGCCAGCCGTGGTGGTGTGCCTCTGTAATCCCTGCTACTCAGGAGGCTGAGGCAAGAGAATCACTTGAATTCAGGAGGCGGAGGTTGCTCTGAAGGCTGACTCTACTTGTCTGGTGTCTCTTCACACATGTGCAGATGGAGCTTTGCCTGTACCACCCCAAACCCCCTCTCACCTCGGCCAACAGGCTGCACACAGGCCCGATCAACACAGACAGGGTCACTGCTTCCCTGGGAATGTCTGCCCCATGGCCCAGGGCCAGACCCATACCTGGTGGACCGCACAAGCCTGGCCAGCAGGGTCCGTTTCTCCTCATTTGTGAACTGCATGATCCCAGGGGTCTCAAACTTCTGCCGGATCCACTGGCACTGCTCCAGGTCATTGATGAACATGAACTCCACCCCAATATGCTGGCAGTAGGCCATCTATTCCATACAGAAACACACAGTCAAGGGGATTTCTAACCAGGCCTGGCTGAATGAAGACTGCCGACTGCCCATTCAGCCAGAAGGAGGGGATAAGCAGGAGGCTTGTTCTGAAATGTACTCCAATCAAGTGTGACTGAGGATGGGATGGAGTGGGTGCCAGGCAGAAGCCCTCTTCATAGGGTCATGAAGTGCTTCCTTCAGGGACCTGGGTCACTTGTACACAGAGAACCTCCTAGCCTTCCAAGGGCAGGCCAAGGGACAACCCCAGTTCTACTCTGTTACCTTTGTGGCAAGAAGCACAGACCGCAACAGTTGTGGAACTGGGTCCTTCCCCAGGGAAGACAGGCTGTCATCAAGGTCAGACCTGTACCAGCACCCATGACAGGAAATGCCCATAGGGTGTCATAGGCTCAATGGCTGTTAAAGATTTGCAGGTTTTAAAAATTATTTATTTATTTATTTATTTTTTTGAGGCAGGGTCTCTGTCATCGAGGCGGGAGTGCAGTAGCGCTATCAGAGCCCGTTGCAGCCTCAACCTCTTGAGCTCAAGTGATCTTCTTGCCTCATGTTTTGAATTTTTTGGAGAGATGAGGTCTCACTATGTTACCCAGGCTGGTCTTGAACTCCTGGGCTCAAATGATCCTTCTGCCTCAGGAAGCAAGATTGCCCATAAGACAAAAGTCAGGATCCTGAGCAGATCAAGATGTCCTGTACCACGTTCACACTGCACAGCTGGGTGAGGAAGCAGCATCCAGATCTGCAGAGCTCGGCAGGGAGGAATTCAGGAAGAGGAGAGGTGCCAGGAGCGAGAGGAGGCACCAGGCTCTTAGAAGTCCATCTCGGGGCCAGGCGCGGTGGCTCACGCCTGTAATCCCAGCACTTTGGGAGGCTGAGGCAGGCAGATCACAAGGTCAGGAGTTTGAGACCAGCCTGACCAATATGGTGAAACCCCGTCTCTACTAAAAATACAAAAATTAGCCAGGTATGGTGGCATGTGCCTGTTATCCCAGCCACTCAGGAGGCTGACGCAGGAGAATCGCTTGAACCCAGGAGGCGGAGGTTGCAGTGAGCCAAGATCATGCCACTGCACTCCAGCCTGGGCGATAGAGTGAGACTCCATCTCAAAAAAAAAAAAAAAACAAAAAACAAAAAGAAATCCCTCTCGGGCTGCCCTCATCCTGGTACTCCTGCAGAGGCCCAAAACTCGACCTGCACAGCTGCCCTGGAGGACCAGAATGAGAGTCTGAGAGCAAACTGCAAGTCAGCATGGAATAAAAAGAAGATAGGCCCTAATGTGGGCCAACAGACACTTTACAGACCCCCAAAGCCTCCTCTAACTGCCTTTACAGCAGCCACTGCTGCCAGAGTACTTAGAGTGTTAGGTCCTGCTCAGCAGCTCTCATCCATGACCCCACTTGGTTTTCACAACAGACAATGAGACCAGCTGGCATGAGCAGTTAAAGGATGTGCTGAATCTGAGACCAGCCCTGTTCTTTGCAGAGGAGGGTGGGCTATCCCTGTACACAAGCTCCGTGACCATGAAACAAAGCAAACTTTGCCTAAACTCAAAATTATGGCCAACCACAATACTCTAGTTATTATCCAAGTCAACAGAAGAAAAATCTTGCCTAGGAACTAAAAGAGAAAGTGCTGCTGGGAAAGACCCTAGTATTTAAGGTTTTTTTTTTAATTAATTAATTAATTTATTTATTTTTGAGATGGAGTCTTGCTCTGTCACCCAGGCTGGAGTGCAGTGGCACAATCTCGGCTCACTGCAAGCTCTGCCTCCTGGGTTCACACCATTCTCCTGCCTCAGCCTCCCAAGTAGCTGGGACTACAGGCGCCCGCCACCACACCCGGCTAATTTTTTGTATTTTTAGTGGAGACAGGGTTTCACCATGTTAGCCATGATGGTCTTGATCTCCTGACCTCGTGATCCGCCTGCCTCAGCCTCCCAAAGTGCTGGGATTACAGGCGTGAGCCACCGCGTCTGGCATTTTTTTTTTTTTTTTTTTTGAGACGCAGTCTCGCTTTGTCGCCCAGACTGGAGTGCAGTGGTGCAATCCCAGCTCACTGCAACCTCCGCCTCCCGGGTTCAAGCGATTCTCCTGCCTCAGCCTCCCGAGTAGCTGGGACTATAGGTGCATGCCACCACGCCCGGCTAATTTTTTTTGTTGTATTTTTAGTAGAGACGGGGTTTCACCGTGTTAGCCAGGATGGTCTCGATCTCCTGACCTCGTGATCCGCCCGCCTCGGCCTCACAAAGTGCTGGAATTACAGGCGTGAGCCACCGCGCCCGGCTATTTAAGATATTTTTATTAACCCGTTTGTTCCCCCACAAACCTCCTGATGAAATTTGATCCCCAATGTTGGAAGTGGGGCCACATGGGAGATGTTTTGTTTGTGAGGGTGGATCCCTCATGAATAGATTAATGCCCTTGCTCAGAGGTGAGTGGGTTCTTGCTCTATTAGTTCTTGAGAGAGCTGGTTGCTAAAAAGAGCCTGGCACCTCCCCACACTCTCTCTTGCTTCCCCTCCCACCATGTGATCTCTGCACAAGCAGGCTCCCCTCTGCCTTCCACTAGGAGTGGAAGCAGCCTGAGGCCCTCACCAAATGCAGATGCCCAATTAGATTGTGAGCCAAATAACCCCTTTTTCATTATAAATTATCCAACCTCAGATATTCCTTTATACTTTATAGCAATACAAAATGGACTAAGACAACCCCAAACCATATTTTCTTTTTTTTCTTTTCTTTTTTTTTTTTTTTTTTGAGATGGAGTCTTGCTCTGTTGCCCAGGCTGGAGTGCAGTAGCACGATCTCGGCTCATTGCAAGCTCTGCCTCCCGGGTTCATGCCATTCTCCTGGCTCAGCCTCCCGAGTAGTTGGGACTACAGGTGCCCGCCACCACGCCCAGCTAATTTTCTTCTATTTTTAGTAGAGACGGGGTTTCACTGTGTTAGCTAGGATGGTCTCGATCTCCTGACCTCGTGATTCGCCCGCCTTGGCCTCCCAAAGTGCTGGGATTACAGGCTTGAGCCACCACGCCCAGCCCCACAAACCATATTTTCTAATCACATCTAAGATAAAACTATGAACTTCTAAATTAGATGCACAAAAAATACAAGAAGAGGGTGTAGTTGGCCCCCTAATCCCTAATTTCAGAGTCAACATCAGTCCACTGTACCATCTCAACTTTACAGACACTTGGGGATCCATAGTGCCCAAGGTACTGACCAGCAGAAGAAACTACATTTCTGCAGAAACCCATTCAAGAAGACATGGCCAGCCCCAGAGTGGCTGTTAATGAGAACCTTCAAAGAGGACCTACCCTCTTTGGATGGGGTCCATGCCTGAGTTGCAAACCCAGTAACTGGCTATCTGTCCCTTCTTCATCATCACGACCCCAAATGACCCACTGGTGAGGGGTGCTGTGAGGGAAGGACTCTTCCCTTCATCACTACTGCTGTTTCCAATTACAGAGCTGGCAGAACTGTGCTACCCAGGCTCTGCCCATGCCTTTCCTCTCTCCCTTTTACACCTGACGGTGGCAGAATTTCCATTATTGAACAGAAGAAACTATTGGGTTAAAAACTCTAGAAATCAGTATCTCTCCAACATCAGCATTACTTTAACAATTAACTTGGAGATGTAGTTACCGGGCCACTAGATCATGCTGTGTTTTTCCTGTTCTTGGCCCTGTCTCCAGGAGAAAAGGGCAGCAAGATTCAGGGGCTGATTCTTTGTTTTTCCCTCTAATGAGACAATTTTTAGGAAGCCAATAAGTTGAATTTCCTCTAATTTTTGAAAAAGGTACAAATTGACCACCACATCACGTGATCAATAGCTTAAGATCTGTCTGATTATATCACCAATCTAACATACACACACATTAAATGTAAGTAAAGCATCACCATCAGGCAGGGCAATGAGAACTTTATGCAAATGTCTGTAAACTGTTGTGAAAATGGAGTCTTCTAAGTTGGGGCTGCTCTGGGGCCAGGAGCGCATACAGCCTTAGACTCCTGGGTACAGGTCCAACCATCTCAGACAACAAGAGCCAACTCCAAGGCTCTGGCATCAACTGGACTGAAAGGGAGGCAGCCCTTCAATGTGCTTCAGGCCCTCCACCCCCTTCATATGATGAAATCGAAATTACCTGGGATTCAAGATTCAGATAGGAAGTTAGCCATAGGGACATCAATGCCTATGCTCTCTGGGAAGGAAGGTCCTGAACAGGCCCCTGAGAGGTGACACTGTGACGTGCTATGGAGACAGTGACTCCATGGGAGCTTTCCAATGTGAGAGCATGTTTAAGGATGAGCTGCTGGGGCCAGGAGCAGTGGCTCATGCCTGTAATCCCAGCATTTTGGGAGACGAAGGCAAGAGGATCACTTGACTCCAGGAGTTCAAGATCAGCCTGGGCAACGTGGTGAGATCTCATCTCTATAAAAAATACAAAAATTAGCCAGGCATGGTGGTGTGCTCCTATAGTCCCAGCTACTCAGGAGGCTGAAGTAGGGGGATTGGTTAATCCCAGAGGTTGAGGCTGCAGTGGGCCATGATTGTGCCACTGCCCTCCAGCCTGGGTGACAGAGTGAGACCCTGTCTCAAAAAAAAAAAAAAAAAAAAAAAAAGCTGCCGGGCTCCCCACAGGGGACTCCTCTGAGGTAAAAGGTACTAGTGCTGAGTCTGCTCTCAGCACAGGCTGGTATCACCAGATGGCTGTTGTAACAGAAAATACACTGAAGGAACTGGGTGGAACACATGAGCAGTGAAATAACTTGGGGGTAGGGCCACTTGGAGAAGCTATATGGGGTGCCATTTGTGGGGGGTCCAGGCAACACAAGAACTTCACAGATCAGCAACATTCAACAGAAACATTATGTAAGCCACATATGTAATTTGTTTTTCTAGTAGACCCACATGAAATTTTCCTATTTTATTTGACCCGATGTATCAAACATTATCTTTTCAACATTTAAAAAGTCATTCAAATATTTTGTACATTTCAAGTGCTCAATAGTAACATGTGGCTAGTAGGCAGAACTAGAAACTATAGTCAGTGTGGTGATGTGGGTGCAGATAAAGGTGACAGGAAGGACCCAAAGGTTCATTCTTCTTGGATTAATCCTTATCACTCCCCCCTGGTGCCCAATACATCCCACTGGCCACAAGCTTCTGATGCTGGCACATAGTTCTGGTTTCTACCCCTTTCTCCTCAACAAGTGAGGAAGGCAGGCGGTGAAGCAGCTCCAAGCTGAGATGCTGACAATACTTCAGGATGCTCATCACAAACTACAGAAAATGCCAGCACTGGACACTCAGTTTTTTTTTGTTTGTTTTTGAGATGGAGTCTTGCTCTGTTGCCCAGGCTGGAGTGCAGTGGCGCGATCTTCGCTCACTGCAACCTCCCGCTCCCAGGTTCAAGCAATTATCTGCGTCAGCCTCCCATGTAGCTGGGATTACAGGAGCCCACCATCACACCCCGCTAATTTTTGTATTTTTAATAGAGATGGCGTTTCACGATCTTGGCCAGGCTGGTCTTGAACTCCCGACCTTATGATCCACCTGTCTCGGCCTCCCAAAGTGCTGGGACTATAGGCGTGAGACACTGTGCCTGGCCTGGACACTCAGATCTTTTTAAGCCACTGTGCAGCCAACTGGAAACACTGACAAGAGAGTTTTAAATTAAAATTCACTTGCGGCAGCAAGCATTAATCCCTGGGGTGCTAGAGGGCTTCTGATTTAGGGGACCTGGGCTGTGGCCTGGATATCAGTTCTGTAAGCTCTCCAGGTGGTTCTAATGTCCAGCCATGAGAGGAACAGCCTCAGAGAGCCCTGATGGCCAGTGTGGTTCAACCTGGGTTAGTTAGGGACGTCAGGATTCAGACTCTGCATGATAGGCAGGACCCCAGCTGATATATATACTCAATTCTGAGGGTCCCCATTCCAGGGTATTTCCTCAGTTTATTTTAACCTCGATCCTTTAGCTCTGAATACCAGGAACAGCATTAAGTAACAGTAATAGCCAACTCTTGGCATGCACCTCTCATCAAATCCATTCTCCCCTCTGCAATGGGCATAGAAGTCACCCTTATACTGAGGGAGGCTATGACTTGCCCAGGATGGAAGAACTAGACACAGGTAGCCTAACAGCAGAGCCACAACTCTTAGCCACTGTCTATAATGTGTGTGAATGAAAGAATTTCCTGGCAGGCTTAGTACTAACAGAGTCCAGAGAGAAGGAAAAAAATGAAACAAAACACAAGGATGAGAGGAACAGAGGGAGAGAGGAAAGAAGAGTGGCCACCACTCAGCAGCCCTGACACTGAGCTGTGCACGAAGCCACCCCTGACTTGAGGCCTGTCCCTCAGGGTTGAAGTGACTCTCCTTCCATCTGTAATAAACTCCTAGTGGGATCTGAAAGCAGAATTTACTTCCCCTCTCTATGGCTGATCACAAAACCACTGGTTTCTATCTATAAAATGGCAACAATAGCCACAAAAGTCCTCCTTCCCTTACAATTTTTAAAAAGACAGACAGGTTCATGTTTGTAATCCCAGCACTTCGAGAGGCCGAGGTAGGAGGATGACTTGAGCCCAGGCATTTGAGACCAGCCTGAGGAACACAGCAACACCTCATCTCTACAATAAAAAATTAAAAAAAAATTAGCTGGGCATGGTGGTGTGTACCAGTAGTCCCAGATACAAGAGGTTGGGGTGGGAGGATGGTTTGAGACTGGGAGGTCAAGGCTGCAGTGAGCCAAACTGTGTCACTGCATTCTAGCCTGGGTGACAGTAACTCTGTCTCAGAGAAAAAATAAAATAGAAAGATAGGACAAAGAAAAAAAATAAAACTAGTCTCAAAGCCATCCTGCCAATACAAGTTCTTAAGAAGTCCATTAGATTTTTCCAGAAACTGCTCTTACCTCCAGCCGACGGATGATCTCCCGCAGAGGAAGTGCTGATTCCTGTCCCCCGATGAAAGTGGTGGTGGGCAAGTGGAAGACCTTGTCGAGGTCAGACTCATCCAGGCCATAGAACCCTGCAGGGCGATGTGGGCAGGACAAGCCAGATGAGGAGGGATGGGGCACAGCCATGCAGGGACCACAGTTTATGGAAAGGGGAAGGAACTCCCCAGGTGAGCAAAAAGAGAAGAAAAAAATCATATAAAAAGCCCCTGATATATGTGAAATAAGTAATATTTTACAGCCAGAAACACAAACTTTAGCAATAAATAGAAGCTGAGGCTATTAGAGTATGACAGGTAAGTCACAATAAAATTCATATTATGCATAAGTTAGTTAAGTACACCAATTATTCATAATTTAGAGACAAATTTATTTCAAGGTCCCAAAGATAACCAATTTTGGGGGTGGGAAGAGAGGTCCATGAAAAGGCACTGGGTAAGTCAATCAAAAATCAGTACAATAGTTAAGGAGGAATTAAAGTAGAAAATGAAGAACTGATATAGAAGAACAGATCATATGACAATAATATATGTATGTGGTGAATGTCAAAAAGCTGGAGGAGGGGGACTAAGAAGTGAAGGAGAAACAGTCACCAGAAGTCAACTTGTCTGTTGGAGCTCCAGGCAGGGGTGCACCACAGGGCAGCACAGCAGCGTGCAAACAACCCCCAGCCTTGGATTAAGGACCATCGTCTTCTCCTGAAATTCCTGAACTATGCGTTCTGAGCCCATTCTGCAGGCAATACTCAGCAGTCACAGGTACAACCCTCCCATCTCCTGACTCCAATCACTCAGCGGGAACCAACTGAGTAAGCACTAATATTCGCTGCAGCACTGTGGGGGAAGACAACACCTCACCTGAAAGTGCATCTCAGTCTGAGAAAGAATAATGCTGGAAGAGCTCTTTCTGTGGCATTATATGCTTGTTTCATCTTGCTGTATCAAAGAGGAAGACTGTCAAATGACACCATACATTCTTTTATCCAGTTTGGCATCTCTCCTGACATAATATATCAGCTAGAGTACAGCAAAAAGCACAGTTCAAGAATCACTAGCGCTTGAATACCTTACATCAGCATTTTCTCAGGCTCCAGGAATGCACAGTGAACTGGTATTTTGCGAAGTCTCCAACATCTGACTAGACCTGATGAAATGTTCTTATTGTTTCCTGGCCAAATTAAGACTAAAAGGAGCCATAAGTGTCCAGCACGGGATTAACGGTGGTAGTTTGCAAACACAATTGTGTATTTTGATCTCCTTGGAGATTTATAAAAAGGCTTGTTTCTAGGCTCCAACCCTGGTACTGAATCAGTGAGTCTCAGGGTGGGCCCACAAATCTCCCAAGGTGATTCTGATTCAAGCATGGTTTGGGAACTACAGCCTTTATTTATCTAATGCTTTCGGAGAGGTTTTTTTTGTTTGTTTTGTTTTGTTTTTTAAGTCTTAAAAGCAAACTCTACATTTTCCAAGCCCTGTTTGTTTTATTAAAACAAAGCAAATCTGGCTTTTTTTTTTTTTTTTTTTTAACCTGGAGGGTGGTGATGGTAGTAGTGGCTTAGTTAAGCCTGAACACCCATTCCCTCCTGTTAGTCTGTCAACACTGAGGGCACAGCAACCACTTGGGCCTAGGTGAAGCACGTGGCTCTTGCCATTTATGGCCTGGCTTTTGGGCAATTGCCCTATAGTATTTATGGAGGAAAAACAGAATCATCTTTGAGAAATTTTTCCTGACTAAAAAACTCAGGCCAGGTGCAGCTGACTGGGGACCAGAATAACAGTGCACATTTTGTTGGGAAATATTTTGATTGTGAAACTATATCGGTCCAGTGTATGCCCCCAGATAAGCGCTGTGTATTGGTTGCAGTCTTTCAGCATGGACCCTGTGAAGTAGGTGCCTACAGATATCCCTTGACCTCACCATGTGATGGTCTTTCACTTCTATCATCCTGAGTTCATAGTTCTTGGGCTATACTGCTGAGCCTCAGAACTGCTGGTACACTTTTAGTTCTTTAGCTATTTGAGAAACTAGATCTATATATGAGTGCTTTGTGAAAGCGGAGTACACATATTCTTCCCTATTCCCCCAATAAGTACAACTAAAAATCCTAGACATTATATGCAAAACAATCATAAGACAACTCTGAAAGGTGGAGAGAATAAGGCACACCAGCTAGGGAGGTCTCAAGGCAAAACACACCAGGGAGTTCCCTGGAATTTCTTTTTTGCTTCAAATATTGCAGACCTGGAGCAGAAGAACCAGCAACCCCAAAACTTTAAGAGGTGTATTTGATAACAAAAGCCTGACAAAAGCTGCTCTCTACCAAAAGACCAGGAAAGAGGTAGCCTATCAAGACAAAAAACTTTTAGACAAAAACTGCTCTACTACAGGCAAATACCAGAGAAAACACTGTGACCCCACCCTCACCAGGCTGTAATGGGCCCTAGCACCCAACCCCATCACAGAGGTTTCAGCGAAGGCCCAAGAGGGAATCCAAAATGTCCTTCTCTCTGGGAGGTAATGCATCAGCCCCTTCCCCTAATCCCAGTAACGGTGGATACTTGAGTGGGAGAAGGACTTCCACCTCTGCTGGCAATAACAAGGTGGTGCCCTCCCCTTCCCCCACCACAGTGGGGAACAGTGTCTACAAAAGGTCTGCTATAACAGAAGATTTAAATAAGATCCTGACTCTCACCATACCCAAAATGTCCTGGTTTCAATAAACTATAATTCATAACAAGACCCAGGAATATCTCATAGTGAATGAGAAAAGAAAATCAACAGACATCAACACCATGATGACCAATATGTTAGAATCGCCTGTGATTTGAACAGTCATCATCAAACAATTTCTTTTTTCTTTTTTTTTTTTTGAGACAGGGTCTCACTCTGTCGCATAGGCTGGAGTGTACTGGTTTGATCACTGCTCACTGCAACCTTAACCTCCAGGGCTCAGGTGATCCTCCAACCTCAGCCTCTTGAGTAGCTGGGACTACAGGCACACAACACCACGTCCAGCTAGTTTTTGTAATTTTTTTTGAGATAGCATCTCGCTCTGTTGCCCAGGCTAGAGTGCCGTGGCACCATCTCAGCTCACTGCAACTTCCGCCTCTCGGGCTTGAGCAATTCTCCTGCATCAGCCTCCTGAGTAGAGCAGCTGGGACTACAGGCGTGCACCACCACACTCGGCTAATTTTTGTATTTTTAGTAG
The DNA here is from genome assembly GCF_000001405.40 of Homo sapiens. Taxonomy (NCBI): domain Eukaryota; kingdom Metazoa; phylum Chordata; class Mammalia; order Primates; family Hominidae; genus Homo; species Homo sapiens. The sequence goes on along the minus strand of NC_000007.14, from coordinate 44,663,601 downwards.
CGACGGGGTTTCACCATGTTGGCCAAGCTGGTCTAGAACTCCTGACCTCAAATGATCTGCCCGCCTCAGTCTCCCAAAGTGCTGGGATTAAAGGCGTGAGCCACAGCACCCGGCCTAGTTTTTGTATTTTTAATAGAGATGGAGTTTTCCCACGTTGGCCGGGCTGGTCTCGAACTCCTGAGCTCAAGCAATCTGCCTGCCTTGGTCTCCCAAAGTGCTTACAGGCGTAAGCCACTGCACCTGGCCCAAACAATTTCAATGAGCAATTAAGAACACGATAGAGACAAATTTTTAAAAGTGAGTTACAAATTAGAATGTCTCAGCCAAAAACTGAAGATGCAAAGTAGTACCAAATAGAATTTTTTTAAAAAATCAAAAAACATTCAATGGATAGGCTCAATGGCAGAATGGAGGGGCAGAGAATCAGTATATTTGAAGACGGAACAACAGAAATTAACCAATCTGAAGAACAGAAAGGAAATAAAAAATGAACAGAGCCTCAGGGGACATGTGACAGTATAATCAAAGATTTCACATACATATAAATGGATAAAATCAAAGAAGCAGAAAATAAAGAGGGTGGCTGAAAAGGTACTTAGCTAAAAACTTCCCAAATATGGTAAAAGACCAAACCCAAAGATTCAAGAAGCTGAGTGAATCCACAGGATATTCCCAAAGAAATCCATGCCAAAACACATGATAATTAAACTTCTGAAAAACAATATCAAAGAAAAAATCTTAAAAGCAGTTGTTGTAAAGTGACACTTTACCTATAGGGAAAACAATTCAAATGACAGGAGTTCTCATCAGAAACCATGGAGGGTAGAAAGAAGTGGTATAGGCTGGGCACAGTGGCTCACGCCGGTAATCCCAGCACTTTGGGAGGCCGAGGTGGGGCAGATCATGAGGTCAGGAGTTCGAGACCGGCCTGACCAACATGGTGAAACCCCATCTCTACTAAAAATACAAAAATTAGCCAGGCGTGGTGGTGCGTGCCTGTAATCCCAGCTACTCAGGAGGCTGAGGCAGAAGAATCGCTTGAACCCAGGAGGCGGAGGTTGCAGTGAGCAGAGATTGCACCACTGCACTCCAACCTGGGCAACAGAGTGAGACTCTGTCTCAAAAAAAAAAAAAAAAGAAAAGAAAAGAAAAGAAAGAAATGGCACAACACTTTTCAGGACCTGAAAGATAAGGGAAAAGGATTATGTCTAACCAGAATCTTACATCCACCAAAAATGTCCTGTAGGAATGAAGGAGAAATAGAGGTTCCCAGGCAAAGGAAAACTAAGTTTGTCATCAGCAGACCTGCCCTAAAAAATTGGCCAAAGGAAGTATTTTAAACAGAAAGGAAACAATAAAAGAAGGAATCTTGGAACACCAAGATGGAAGAAAGAACACAAAAAGCAAAAATCTGGGTAAATACATCAGATTCTCCTCCTCTTGGGTCTTCTAAATTATGTTTGATGGTTGAAGCAAACTTATAACTCTGTCTGATGAAGTTCTAAATGTATGTAGAGAAAATATCTAAGATAATTATATTATAAATGCAGGACAGTAAAGAGATATAAAAGGAGGTAAGGTTTCCATACTTAATATGTATTGAAAAGTTATGACACTAGTAGATGATAAGTTATGTCTATATAAAGTAGTAATACCTAAAACAACTACTAAAAATGCTATATAAAAGGATACACTCAAAAACACGCCAGGCGTGGTGGCTCACGCCTGTAATCCCAGCACTTTGGGAGCCCAAGGCAGGTAGATCATGAGGTCAGTTCAAGACCAGCCTGGCCAACATGGTGAAACCCTGCCTCTACTAAAAATACAAAAAAATTATCTGGGTGTGGTGGCAGGCACCTATAATCCCAGCTACTCAGGAGGCTGAGGCAGGAGAATCGCTTGAACCGGAAGGCAGAGGTTGCAGTGCACCAAGATCACGCCCCTGCACCACTCTAGCCTGGGTGAAAGAGCGAAACTCCGTCTCAAAAAAAAACCCAAAAAACCATAAACTATACATAATTAAAAAAAAATTTTTAAATGTGGGTTTAAAAATCCACAGCACAGGAAAATGAAAGCAAAGCAATGAAAAGCAGAACAAAAAATAAATAATAAAATGGCACACTTGAGCCCTAACATACCAATAATTACATTAAATATAAATGACCTAAATATATTAAATAGAAGACAGAGATTATGAGAAAAGTGGATAAATATAAAACAAAACCCACCTATATGCTTATCCACAAGAAACTCACTTCAAATGTGATATAGACAAGTTGAAGTAAAGGGAGGAAAAAATGCATCATGTAAACATTAATCAAATGTAAGTAGGAATGGCTTATATTAATATGAGATGAAGTAACTTCAGAGCAAAGAAAATTACTGGAGACAAAGAGGGACATTCCATCATGGTAAGAGGGTCAATCTACTGAGAAGATACAGCAATCTGAAATGTGTATACACCAAAGAACAGAGCTGCAAAATAAGTGACCCCAAATCTGATAGGACTAAAAGGAGAAAGAGACAAACCCACATTTATAGCTGAAGACTTTAATACCCCTCTCTCAATAACTGACTAAAAAACTAGACAGAAATTCAGCAAAAATACAGAACTCAACAGCCATTAACTAACAGGATCTAACAGATGTGTGTGTGTGTGCACACGCGCGTGTGTGTGTAGTTTACAGATAGGGTCACCCAGGCCAGAGTATAGTGGTGCAATCATAGATCACTGCAGCCTTAAACTTCTGGGCTCAAATGATCCTACCACCTTAGCCTCCTGAGTGGCTAGGACTACAGGCACGCGCGATCATGCTTGGCTAATTTTGTTGTTGGTGGTGGTGGAAACAGGGGTCTCGCTATGTTGCCAGGCAACAAACTCCTGGCTTCAAGTGATCCTCCCATCTTGGTCTCTCAAAGTCCTGGGTTTATAGGCATGAACCACCATGCCTGGCTCTAGCAGACATTTAGAGAATACTCCACCCAACAATAGCATTTCAACAGCAGCATTCTTTTCAAGCACCCATGAAACATATGCCAAGACAGACAATATGGTGGGCCATTTTTTAAAAACCCAACAAATTTAGCACAATTCAAATCATATAGGGTGCATTCTCCAACCACAATGAAATCAAACTAGAAAGCAATAATAAGAAAGGTAACAAGAAATCTCCAAACACTTGGAAACTAAATAACACCCTTCTAAATAATCCAAAGGCCAAAGACAAAATATCAAGGGGTATACAAAGAATACAATAATGACCAGCCCGGGCAATACAGTGAGATTTCACCTCTATAAAAAATTTTAAAAATAGCCAGGCATGGTGGCATACACCTGTAGTCTTGGCTACTTGGGAGGCTGAGGTGGGAAGATAACTTAAGCCCAGGAATTAGAGGCTGCAGTGAGCTGTGACCATGCCACTGCACTATAGCCTGAATGACAGAGCAAGACCTTGCCTCAAAAACAACTGAAAGAAAATGAAAATATAACATATCAAACTTTGTAGGACAGCTAAACCAGTACTGAGAGAAACATTTATAGTAGTAAATACATCAGAAAAGAGGGACAGTCTCTAATCAATAATCTAAGTTCCCATTCCTAGAAAAGAGGGAAAAACAACAAAGAAGCCAAAAGCCAATAAGCAGAAGTAAGGAAACAATAAAGAGCAGAAATCAATGAAATTGAAAACAGCAAAACAACAGAAAAAAACCAATGAAACAAGTAACTGGTTCTTTGAAAAGATTAGTAACATCGACAAATCTCTTACAAGACTGACAAATAAAAAGAGGACACAAATGACCAATATCAGGAATGAAACAGGATATCAATACAGACCCTTCAAATATCAAGAAGATTCTGTTCCTTTTCTTGAAGTTGAAAAAGAAATTTAAAAAATGACTATCAAAAATAAGGGAATACTATAAATAACACTACACACATTTGACAACTTAGATGAAATAAACCACTTCTAGAAGAACACAAACTACCATTACTCACCCAATATGAAACAGATAATTAGAAAAGCCCTATGGCTAATAAGGAAATCTAATTAATAAATAAAAACCTTGTGAAAAACTAACCTCTAAGCCCAAATGATTTTGCTGGAAAATTCTATAAAGTATTTGAAGAAGAGTTAACACCAATTCTATTTACTGTCTTTTGGAAAATAGGAGAAACACTTCTCAATTCATTTTATGAAGCCAGAATTACCCTGATACCAAAAGCAAAGATAGTACAAAAAAAGAAAATGACCAATATCCCTCATCAATATGGATGCAAAATATATAAAGAGACAGATACAAAGACATATAAAGAGAATTATATACCATGATCAAATGGTGTTTATTCCACTAATCCAAGGCTGGTTGAATAATCAAAACTCAATCAATACAATCCACGACATTAGCATTAAATCGTCTACCACGACATTAGCATTAAATCATCTACATTAAAGAATAAAAATCGGCCGGGGGTGGTGGCTCATGTCTGTAATCCCAGAACTTTGGGAGGGTGAGGTGGGCAGATCACCTGAGGTCGGGAGTTCTAGACCAGCCTAGCCAACATGGTGAAACCCCCACCTCTACTAAAAGTAGAAAAATTAGCTGGGCGTGGTGGTGCACACTGGTAGCCCCCTGCTACTTGGGAGGCTGAGGTGGGAGAATTGCTTGAACCTGGGAGGTGGAGGTTGCAGTGAGCTGAGATTGCACCACTGCACTCCAGACTGGGTGACAGAGCAAGAATCAGTCTCAAAAAATAATAATAATAATAATAAATCACAAGATCATATCAATGCAGGAAAAACATCTGACAAAATTCAATATACATTCATAATTAAAACTATCAGAAAAAATATGAATACAGAGGAACTTCCTCAGCTTGATAAAGAGCATTTACAAAAAATCTACAGTTAACATTATACTTAATGATGAAAGACTCAGTGCTTTTACCCTTAGATCAGGAACAGGGCATAAGGCTATCCACTCTTACCTCTCTTATTCAGTACGGTGCTAAAAGTTGTAGCTACTGTAATAAGGCAAGAAAAGGAAATAAAAGGCACACAGATTGGGAAGGATGAAATAACTTCCTATTTTCAGATGACATGACTGTCTATATAGAAAATCCTAAGGAATCTACAAAAAAAAAAAAAAAGCCCTAGAATGAGTTCATCGGGATCTCAGAATGCAACATAAACACTAAAATCAATTATATTTCTATATACTACCAATGAATATGTGGACACCAAGGTTAAAAAAGAAAATAATAGTTAAGTGTAAATATAACAAAACATATACACAATGTATATGCTGAAAACTACAAAAAGCTGATTAAAAAAATCAGTGATCCAAATAAATGAGGAGACATACTATGTGCATGGATTGGAAGACAACATGGTAAAAATGTATTTTCTCCCTAAATGGATCTATAGGTTTAAGCCAATTCCTATCAAAATGGCAGTAAGGTATATGTAGACATAGATATGCTTATCCTCAAATTTATATGGAGAAGGAAAAGGCCCTTGAATAGTTAAAACAATTTTGTAAATGAAAAATAAAGTTTAGTAGCTACAGTAATCAAGACACTGTGGTATCGATGGAAAAACAGACACACAAAGGAAAATAACTGAAAATCCAGATATAGACCCACACCAATAAGTCCAACTGATTTTTGGCAAAAGTACAAAAGCAATTCAATGAAGGAAAGACAGAGTTTTCAGCTAATGGCACCAGAACAACTGGACATCTACACACAAAAATATAAAATGAACAATAAAAGAATCTTGATCTAAACGTCTTATACAGAAATTTACACAAAATGGATGATAGATTTATATGTAAAACACAAAACTATAAAACCTTTAGAAAAATGTATAGGAGAACATTTTGGGGATCTAGGGCTAAGGAAAGAGTTCTTAGACTTCATACCAAAAGCACAATCCATAAAAGGAAAATTAATAAACTGGATGTCATCAAGCTTAAAAACTTAGGGCATAGAAGCTGAGGTAGGAAACGAGGGGGAAAAAAGATTAAAAACTTCTGCTCTGCAAAAGATCCTATTAGCCAAAGAATGGAAACAATCCATTCCAATGAAGAGGTCCTTCAACAGGTGAATGGTTAAAAACAATCATAGTACATCCACACCATGGAATACTACTCAGCAATAAAAAGGAACAAACTATTGATTCACACCAACAACCTGCATGAATCTCTAAGAAAATTATGCTGATTGAAAAATGCCAATCCCCAAAGGTTACATACTGTGATTCTACATTTATAATATTCCTGAAATGACAATTTCAGAAATGGAGAACAAAATAGTGGTTGCCAGGGAATACAAGTAGTGGCTGGGATGGGAGGGAAGTAGATATGGTCATAAAAGGGCAACAGGAGGAATCCTCGTGGTGATGGATGTCTAGAGTCTTACTTTATCAATTTAGTGTAGTGGTGTGATGTTGTACTATAGCTTTTCAAGATGTTACCACTGGGGAAGCTGGCCAAAGGGCACAGAACTGTTATTTGTCACAAGTGCATATGGATCTATAATAATCTCAAAATTAAAAGTGTAATTAAAAAGTAGAGTTTCACAGATATTAGAAGGATGATAAAAAAGATAACTGCTTAGAGAAGCCAGAGTGTAAAGAAGAGACTGGCCACCAGGGTGGATGACAACAGGCTGATGATCCCCCAGCATTTCGACTCTGGATTCCTCAAATGTGTTTTGCCCAACCGAGGGTCACTAAGAGTTCTCAGTAAGTTTTTATTAATACTTCAGTTGGCCTTCAAACATAAAACATTTTGGAAATCTTGCCCAAAATGCCCAGGAAGCAGAATCTGGAAGAATCCAGAGTCCAGTCAAAGCCTCAGCACAGAATGTGGAGGACAGGACAAGCCACCATGCAGAGCTGAACATGGCTTCATGTGCCCAGCTGGCTATGGCAGCAGCTAAAGGTGAATTATGCTGAAGATGGCAGCTCACAGTGAAGCGATGAAGCACACGTGAAGATGAAAAGTGCTCTTTGAAACACAAATGAACAGAAACAAAACGATACCATATAAGTAGCTCTACTTATTGGTTAATAATTAAAGGAAGGGAAAAACACATTTCAGAACAATTAACAAACTTAAAAACACGTGACAGAAGTTGCGTCAACTTTCCCCATATTGCATGCTAGGAAAAGTTGCACATCCTATTCAAATGAAGTCCTCAACTCTGAAAAGGTGAAAAGCTCATTATTTTCATACCTCCTACTGTTAGCATTCGAAGTCGTTCCTTGAAAACTGCAAGATCTGAGAGGCAGAGTGGGGTATCATGGGTGAGCGCAGAAGGAAAAAGACAGGTGAGAGTTAGTTTAAAAAAGACCCAAACACCAAAACCCTACACCATTACCACAGTAACAGGTAGCACAGACACCATCACAGGGACACACACACACATCAAGGGAGAAGTGGGTGGGTTACATGGTCAGGGGGTCAATTTTATTAAACATGGAAATGATTCATAGAACAGCTGGAATAAGGTGAATCAGAAGGAGGGGAGGTTAGCACCCTGACGATGGAAAGCCATCAGGCAGCGTCATTTGAGAGCTCCTCATCTCCTTAGCTTCAAGAAGTGGCGGATAACAGCACTTTCCTGGGAAGTCACTACTTTGAGATGAAAATTGAGGAAAAGAAAATGAAAAAGCCTAATTTTTAGAGCAGATATTTCTCAGCACTAGATTCAGGTGGCAGACTACTCTAAACCGTAAGATTTTGAAGAATTCTAAAGAATGGAAGGATTCCTTGATCTCCCATTTCAAGAAGGCAAACTAGGAAAGAAGTGCTTGCTAGCTGAAAACAACCCAAGAGCCACAGCTGCATCTCCACAGCTGTACACTTCCTTCTACCTGTAAACTTTTCATCGGATTTCTACTATACATAACAGCTTTCTGAGCCACTGGTGAAATCAAGGCATTTATTTGGATACACAAAACATGCTCCTGACCCTTACTGTCTGGGCTTGTGGGCCTGGGGGATGGGGTCAGGAAGGTAGGCAGTAACACAGGCACACAGAGAAGCTGATGGTTGAGCACTCAGAGTGCTGTCACTGGGTATGCTCCCTGTACTGGGAGTGCAGAGAAAGGCCAGCAAGTGCTTCCTTTGAAGTCAGACTCAGACCCCAAGAAACAGGCCTGCTTCCTAGGGCTGTGACAGGGGCTAGTCTCCAGTCCTGGGCAAGCCACACTGTCTCCTTCCCCCAGGGAACAACAACCACTGAAGAACTCAGAGCCAAGTGGCTCTTAAGACAACAGAATATCTAAATGTCGATATTTTGCTTAAGGCAAGGATGAAGAATCTTAAATTTTCTCCTTCAATCTTCAAAACCAAGACATGAGACCATGTCAAGATGCCATAAGTGAGGTGTATGTTAGCTACCCTGGAGACTCCAGGTAAGGATCTACACAGGGGAGGGCCTCGAAAGGAACCTTAAATACTCATACCCATTTTTAAAAATCTAAAGGCAATGTGGTAAAATGTTTACATTCTTAGTACTGAGTATGTGAATGCTCTTTTATCTGTACTTTTTTATATTTTTAAAATAAAAGGCAAACAAAAGACACAAACCAAAGAAGAGGAGAGTTAAGAGAACAATAGAAGATATTCTGGTTGTCACAATTTACAGAAAGCACACAGATTTTCCAACACCTGAGTGCTTTGAAGCATTGTAAATTACTTCTTGAAGAGTGCAGGTGCTGTGAGGGAGGAGAGAGGGAGCGGATGGAGATTTGGCCACAGTACTTCCAAGTGAAGCACAGAAGCAGGAATGTGACGCTGGGAACTAGGGGACTCGGTTTACCAGTTTCTGGGTATCTCCAGTCAAAGAATCTTCTCAAATGTCAGATGTCTGCTTGGCCAGCTTCATTCTCCTTGAGGGTGACCATATCGCCCATGGCTTCAACCACCCTGGTTATGTTCTTAGCTTGGCCCCGCCCTCCCGAGTCACTTAGGAAACCTCGTCTCCAGCTCCTCGGTTATCTGTGGCACACAGCACGCTGCACATAGCAATCAATGCTTACTAAATGAACTGCTCTATATCACTCTGAAATTACAAAAGCTAATTAAACGTCAACTCTATTTTTAGCTTATTTTTCTCAGCCATCAAAGGAACAAACCGGAGAGCCCTGGAAGGTCAGGAGGATATGTGGAAACTTTGTCATGACTCGCTGTGCTGTTAATGACAGCAGGTTGTCAGAGAAAGGCAAGAACTAAGTAGTTGACATTTTGCCACATTTTTCAACTTTTAAATTGACTTTTTAACTATTTAACTCACGTTCATTTCCTAAAATGGTATTAGCAATTTGTAAACATCAATGGTAAATGGGAGAGAAGTTTCACACTTTCTTCCCATTTATTTATACAATTGGTTTTTAATTCTCTTTTAATTATGTTTAAATCTCACATTAAAGTACATCTCACGGAGCGTGGTGGCTCATGCCTATAATCCCAGCACTTTGGGAGACCAAAGCAGGTGGATCACTTGAGCTCAGGAGTTTGAGACCAGGCTGGACAACATGGTGAAACACCGTCTCTACTAAAAATACAAAAATTAACCAGGCATAGTGGCACATGCTTGTAATCCCAGTTATGTGGGAGGCTGAAGCAGGAGGATTGCTTGAACCTGGGAGGCAGAGGTTGCAGTGAGCTGAGATCCTGCCACTGCACTCCAGCCTGGGCAACAGAGCGAGACTCCGTCTCAAAAAAAAATAAAATAAAATAAAAATAAAAAAAAACAAATTTAATTAGGCCAGGCACAGTGGCTCACGCCTGTAATCCCAGCACTTTGTGAGGCCTAGGCAGGTGGATTACATGAGGTCAGGAGTTCGAGACCAGCCTGGCCAACATGGTAAAACCCTGTCTCTACTAAAAATACAAAAATTAGCCTGGTGTGGTGGCGCATGCCTGTAGTCTCAGCTACTCAGGAGGCTAAGGCAGGAGAATTGGTTGAATCTGGAAGGAGAGGTTGCAGTGAGTCGAGATCGTGCCACTGCATTCCAGCCTGGGCTACAGAAAGAGACTGTCTCAAAAAACAAAACAACAACAAAAAACCCAGTAAAGTACATCTCAATCATTTTTGTCACTGTGAAAAGTTATACTCAGAATTTATACCGAAACCACAGACAGTGGCATTTTTAAGTGGGAAACTAATTCGAATGCTACACTTGAAAGATAAAATTGGGCCAGGCGCAGTGGCTCACCTCTGTAATCCCAACACTTTGGGAGTCCGAGACGGGCGACTCACTTGAGGCCAGGAGTTCAAGGCCAGCCTGACCAACACAGTGAAACCCCTTCTCTACTAAAAATACAAAAATTAGCCGGGCATGGTGGTGCACATCTGTAATCCTGGCTACTTGAGAGGCTGAGGCACGAGAATCACTTGAACCTGGAGGTGGAGGTTGCAGTGAGCTGACATTGCACCACTGCACTCCAGCCTGGGCGACAGAGTAAGACTCTGTCTCAAAAAACAAAAATAATAATTAAAAAAAACCAAACAACAGCAAGAAAAAACTGAGGGCAAGAATTTCTAATTAAGCAGGAGTTTCTAACTGTTTCTAATTAGGCAAATGAGTGGGCCTCACTGTCTAGACCTTTCCATTGATAATACTCTGGTTCTAGTGTTTTGCAATATACACCCATATCTACCGTGGTACCCCAACTGATGACCCTTCTTCAAGAGCCAGTGGAAAAAGACTCCCTAGGAGCCCTCCTACCAGAAGACGTTGGGCTGCCACTACCTCCCACTCTGACTGGATCCATTCAGGGATATTATAACATGAGGTTGGTGCCTCATTCTCCAGATCTGCAAATTTGCTGTCAAGGAACCTCACTATGGAATGTGAGTGAAGAGAAATGTGTATTTAATACATGTCAGCTGGGCGCGGTGGCTCACTGCTGTAATTCTAGCACTCTGAAAGGCCAAGGCAGGAGGGTTGCTTGAGCCCAGGAGTCTGAGACGAGCCTGGGCAACATAATAAGACCCTGTCTCTATTTTAAAAATAAAATAAAATAAAAAAATAAAGTATCTCATGTTGGAACTCTCAACCCTCTTTCCCCAGGGAAATGAGGTTTATAGTATAGCCTGGCACAAATTAAGATGGGCATCTGGAGATTTACCTGGAAACTGGCCCCTAACTTTAACACTTCATTAAAAAGTTATCTCTGGCCAGGTGCGGTAGCTCACACATGTAATCCCAGCACTTTGGGAGGCTGAGGCGAGGGCATCACCTGAGGTCAGGAGTTCAAGACCAGCCTGGCCAATATGGTGAAACCCGGTCTCTACTAAAAATACAAAAAATTAGCTGGGCATGGTGGTGGGTGCCTGTAATCCCAGCTACTTGGGAGGCTGAGGCAGGAGAATTGCTTGAACCCGGGAGGCGGAGATTGCAGTGAAATGAGGTCGTGCCATTGCACTCCAGCCTGGGCAACAAGAGCGAAACTCCATCTCAAAAAAAAAAAACTTATCTCTGTTCCAGCCATCACCTGGCACAATTACGGAACATAATTCACACATAATTGAGAAACTGTTCTAAAATTAATTTTAAAAATTGTTAATGAAAATAATCACTAGGCTGGGCACGGTGGCTCACTCCTGTAATCCCAGCACTTTGGGAGGCGGAGGCAGGTGGAGTGCTTGAGCTCAGAGGAGTTTGAGAACAGCCTGGGCAACGTGGTGAAACCCTGTCTCTACTTAAATTTTAGAAATTTAATTAGGCTGGGTGTGGTGGCTCATGCCTGTAATCCCAGCACTTTGGGAGGCCAAGGCAGGTGGATCACCTGAGGTCAGGCGTACGAGATCAGCCTGGCAACATGGTGAAACATGGTCCCTACTAAAAATACAAAAATTAGCTGGACATGATGATGGGTGCCTGTAATCCCAGCTACTCAGGAGGTTGAGGCAGGAGAATCACTTGAACCCGGGAGGCGGAGAGTGCAGTGAGCCGAGATGGTGCCATTGCACTCCAGCCTGGGCAAAAGAGCAAAATTCCATCTCAAATAATAATAATAATAAACCACTGGCCCTACCATCTCAACAATATTTTTTACTGTATTCATAACAAGTTCTGTCATGCTACACTTGAAAGATAAAACTGAGGGCAAGAGTGTGTCCATAACATCTGATGGTAAATCCTGACACTCTGGCGCTACTGTGGAGTTCTGTGTCTGTACAGTCTCTCCTAACTGGTAAGAGTCTACTTGTTAATTATCTTTCCTTATTACTTCAGGGACCAGGAGAATTTCTGAGAAGTGAAGACAGGTGCCCTAAGCCAGGATTTCCCAAACTTTTCAAAAATGGTCATAAAAGGTCAACTCAGTGGAAACTATAGCATATATTCCACTTTATTAAAAAACTCAGAGTGGACAGAATTCCCTGCTTGCACTGCAGACCAAACTGGCCAACCACCCAGGTGCTCAGCTGGCAGACTGTTTTCAGGGCAGCATCATCAGTGCCCTTTGAGAATGAATGGCTTTGCCAACGGCTCCTGCCCTCCATCACTGCCCCCTACCTGGAGCTTTTCCAACAAAAGACAGAACAAGCTCTGACGGAAGCACCAAAGGCTATGTTCCAACATGGGTATGATCACTGCTGTGAGCCTGTTTCCCCAAGGAGAGGGAGAAACTGTGCCTGCATCCACAGGGAGGTGGGAAGGGCGGCTAAGCGGAGGCATGGCAAGAATCCTAGCTCTGGGGAAATAGTCATGTGACACAGTACACCACTACACAACAGTCCCTGACCCGTCTACACACTGGTCAGGTCACCAGGTTGCCATTCAGCCTATCCCCTTCTACTGCCTCATTCCTAAGCTGGCAAACAGTTCTCCTGGGCCCCAAACATCCCCCATACAGAGTCCTCACTTCTTAGTTTGCAAACTCCTGCACTAGATGCTACGCTGCTTCCTTATAATTTGGCTACAGGGCAGTCTTCACCACTAACTCCTGTGTGTTCCTGGTCTTTTTGCTTGACCTCTCAGTTTCTGAATTTATCTTATTATCAGAGAGTTTGGCAGCTACTCATCTCAAAAGATTGCTAGTAAGCCCACTTGGAGCATAGTTAAGGTCAAGGCACTACTTTAAGGAGTTTATTCAATTTTGAAACCACCTGAGGAGGTAGGTACCATCACCCCTGCCTTACAGATGAGGTGATGAGGCACAGAGAGGTTAAGCAACTAGCCCAAGGTCACACAGCTAGTAATAGTGGGCTGGGATTCCAATGCAGGGAGTGTGGCTCCAGAGTCCCGGCTCTCTGAGGTTCAAATGAGACGACGGGTCTTGAAGTGTTCTACAAACTGTCTAGCGGTCACATCTGACCTGCTGTTTTCTTGAAGACCTGCATACATCAAGGGTGAGAGTTCGAGACCAATTTTCCTACAGATACAAATGTTTTAACAAGTTTACGCGGTTTCCATTTTTTGTACCTGAAGACTAGTGGGATTTTTAGGTCACACTATTTCAAATCCACAGGATTAAAATGCACCTTCCTCTTGAAACGTGGAGACTACTCCCTGACTCTCTCTCTCAGTGGTTCCAAAGGGCTCCTGGCCAGAGATGTCAGAAGTTTTCCTCCTCAAAGGATTTCAGGAAGCTTTAGGGCCACTTCTGTATGTTTTAGTTTCTTGGTTTATAAAGTCCTCTTGTCCTCTCACCCTCACCATGATGTTGTTGCTGAATCTGGAACCACAAACCTCACAGAAATACTGAGGACACTATTCCAGAGTGAAATATATGGTAAGACCTTGTGATGGCCTGGGAAGAGATTCCCAGATTCTGGCCCTGCCTCGGCCACTAATGAGATGGGAAATTAGTGCGTATGTTGACAGTGCTTAGGGTTTCTCACCCTTAAAAGACTATGCTGGGTTGGGTTTACCTAGGTGTGGCCCCTCTTGATATTAGTCTGAAGGGGAAGAGAGGAGAGCTTTAGAGCTCCCCTGGTTATACTAACGTGCACAGTTGGGACAAAGAGCTGGGACAATGCAGGTTCTGGAAGGAGAGGGAGAAGTCAGTCACTTCATCTGCTCCTCTCCTGTTCGAATGTTTTGCTGCTTGTAAAAAATGAGCATTCCAGCCAGGCGCGGTGGCTCACACCAGTAATCTCAGCACTTTGGGAGGCTGAGGTGGGCGACATGGTGAAACCCCGTTTCTACTAAAAATACAAAAATTAGCTGGGTGTGGTGGTGCGCTCCTGTAGTCCCAGCTACTCAGGAGGCTGAGGCAGGAGAACTGCTTGAACCTGGGAGGCAGAGGTTGCAGTGAGCCGAGATTATGCTGCTGCACTCCAGCCTGGGTGACAGAGCAAGACCCCATCTCAAAAAAAAAAAAAAAAAAAAAACAACAGAAAATGAGCATTCCGCAGCTCTCCTACCCTGCCTAAATGCAGAGGGAGGTTTTCCTCTGAAGAGGTGGCTTCCAGATGCAAGTCCCTGTGCTCTTCATCAGGGAGCAGCAAGTCTACCAGCTGGGGAGTTTGGCCTGCTCTGAGCACCTGAAGAGGATCCCACAGGTCTAGAAGTCTCTGGGGGCTGGAGAGGCACAGGGCAGACAGGCTGTGATGGGACTGGGGGTGCCAGCAGGGAGGTTTGCTGTACTAAGGGGTGAGCAGTAGGGAAGAGGCTCCAAGACCTCCGGGGACACTGCAAAGAGAGGCCCTCTTCTTGGGAGCACAAAGTTGTCACCACGGAATGAAAAAGCAGGGTTCAACTCATGCCCAGTCTACCATCTGAACTGGCCTTAATCAATAAAATTCAAGAGGATTTCTCTAAACTCCCTTCCTAAATCCGCTAAAGGGCTGGTATTAAAAAAACAATTACAAACCATCAATGCCAATTCCAAAGTCAATGATGTTTGATGATTAATGCCTCATCCCCTAGACATAACTTAGTAATGCCTATAAAGATATCCAGGCACTGCAGAGCCTTAGAGACTGTCTGTACCATTCCCCAAAAGTGCCTGTGAGGAGGCTAATTTCGTACCCATCCCAAGAGGAGTATTAGGCAAGTAAGTGATCATCAATTTCATCAGCATGCACAGTGTCTATTGTGAACACCCTGGCCATTTAAAAATTAGTCACATCATCATTTCTTTAGTACAGGTTAGCAGCACAGTGACATAAAGCAGACTAACTCTGCAAAGCAACTGCAGGTGAGAGCCCAGCCACAACACCCACCTCACTTCATGAGGAGGAGGGGGTGTAGGTGGGACTATCTTCTGGCAACCGTGACAAAACCCCAGTGTGCTCCATACATGCACCTCCCAAAGGCCCTGACCTCCTGACGCTGTGGGAATGCCTTCCAAAGTTTCCTCAGTGTGATCACCAGCAATTACAAATCAGGAGACCCAACTGCACAACTTGCTCTAGAATTCGTCCCCTAAGGGACATGGCCTCCAGTCAAGGGCAGGCCACACTGGGCTTCAGAAAAGGATGGCTGTGTCAGCAGTTCCTGAGCAAGGCCTCATGGACATGCCTCACTGAAGGCAGTGCTGCACTGACATTTGAAAACCTGAAGCCAAAAGAGCTATACTCTGAAGTGCTTCTGATCCACCTGCCCCAGGTGGACAAGCTTTTTCCCTGTGCCACAAACCTTTCTGTCCAAAATTTTATTTTCAAATTTTGAGACTTAAGACAATCTGGCTGAAAAAGTAAGATAAAAATAACTTGCCCAAAACACACTAAGGCTACAATACCGATAAATTTCAAGTGATCAGAATGAAAGGAAACTTAAGAGCCTTTCCCTCCTGCCTGGACATCCTGGCTACCACAGGTCGTGGCACAGCGAGAGGAGCTCAAGCAACGCAGCTGACTGCTCTCAGACCCTCACCAAGTTTGTCTGTGGATGAGATAATGTCAGCGGGCACGGAGGAGTCCAGATCAGCATCCAAAATCCCCAGGGGGTCCAGCTGTGCTACATGGTGCCCTCGTATCTATGAGTGGCCAACGATGAGAGGGAAGGACACACACAAAAGGACAGAAGAAAAAAAAAGAGGGAAGGGGTAAAAAAAAAGTAAAATTACATTAAAATTAGCATTTACAGCTTAATTCTCACCCACGTTTGAAGAAACAGTTACTGGAGCATCATCAAAATTTACACAACTAATTCCGAGAGGATCAAGTTTTGCAATGTGGTGACCCCTGACCTGGAAGCAATAACACAAGCAAGTCATTAAGCAGATCCAGTGAGCTGTGGGGAGGGTTAAAAGAGTCACAGGTTATGCAAACCTTTTCCAAAGAGGAACACAGCACCAATAAACCCATACGACAAAATTAGTTTTTAAAAGTCTTGGAATAACTTATTTTAAAAGCACTATTGTGCATAAATGTACTTTTATAAAAAAGAGATAAACTCAGGTTATGATAAACTTAGGAGTCTGAAAGGATCCATTTCTTGTGATCTTTATACAGTTTCCATGGATAAACAGAAATGAGATATGCTGGGCAATTCTTACTCCAATGTGAAGCCTGCCTCAGCTCAGAACATAAACATTTCCCTAAGGTGCTGGGTACAGTGGCACATGCCTGTAGTTCCAGCTACTTGGGAGGCTGAGGTAGGAGGATCTCTTGAGCCTAGGAGTTTGAGGCCAACCTGGGCAACACAGTGAGATCCCACCTCAATTTAAAATAAATCAAATTTAAAGAAAAATTTTTCTAAGTAGGAAAATGAAGGCTTAAGTGTTGGCCTTAACTGGGGAGGAGTGCAGATAAGAGGTCATCTCACTAAGAGAAGGTTTGCCTTTATTATATATCCCCGTGAGGAGTGAGGGCTCTGGTCCTGCTGCTGCTGAGTAGGTCAGCACACAGTAGTCAGAACAAAAAAACCCTGCTACACCACAGACTTAAAGCATCTGATTTGAACTATTTAAAAACCAAAAGGAGAAAGAAAATCCCTTCCAATTTAAGATTCTTTCACAACTTCTTGCTAGCAATTTGAGAAGGGAGCAGCTGCTGGTAAGTCACTGCAAGATCAGGCTGAAGTTGTTACTGAGGCCAACTGCGTGCAGGCAGTGATAAAGAAACACCACTGGGCTTCCTCCTTATGCAAATATCCACATGGATAACACTTTAAAGCATATAGCATTTACAAAACTCCATGCATCTCCTTTCTAAGGCAGAATACACTTGCCCCAGGGAGAGAGCCTTACTTGCCAGGCCATGGCATGAAGGGCCAGAGACCCAGGACCTCCCCTATGTTGCCCCATTACAACACCTGCCCATGGCCCATGCCACCAGAAACCAAAGCATGAGAGAAAAGACAGCCCAGGGACATGAGTCCCCTTGTTGCCACCAAAGCAGTTACACAAGAACAGGTGGCAGGGTCCTGGATGCCCATGGGAGCTTCCAGAAGGGAAGCACCAGGCTCACTTGTCTCTACCTGTCGTCCTTAGAACTATCACAGATGAAGTCTTAAGATCTGAACTCTAGGCTCTCCCCATGTATCAGGTGGACATCCTAGAAAAACTTTGGTTATTGTGCTCTGGGAAAGGATGGGGGGAAAAACCTTGTCCTGCTCAACACTTGCCTAACGAGACTGGCCACTAACTGCAATACTTTTGGAGAGTTCCCCTGCCCCTCATCACTCTCTGTAGGCTCAGCTGTACCCTCAGCTGCCTCTCCCTGCCTCCACATCCCCAAACTCTATAGTATGGTTTTCTTCTCTTATAGTATTCAGTTGTTAGCAACTGAGAAGGGGGCATCAACCACCCAAAAGCACCACCCCTCCCAGTCACTGCTCACTGGCAGATGGGCAGCACTTCTCCTTGATGCCCGGGTACTGACTTGTTTTCCCTGCCCACAAATATTTCTTGCCAAGGAAGGAAAGGAAATAAGGATCCCTTTTATAAGGCAGGCATTAGTGGTGCTGGGAGATTTGCTCAAATAGGGCTAGCCTGGTTCTTTTTCTTGTGTATTTGTTTTTTAGCCTCCCAAAGCAGGGAGAAAGCACCTAGTATTTGAGGAGGTATAAGTAAAGTGACAACATACACTCAGAAAGGCCAATAGGGCCCATGAGGCATGACCTAAGGAACACTGCACCCTTTCCCGTGTGCGGGTAAAGCACCCGCCTTACCTGATATGCCCTGATGAGCGACTGCACTGCCAGGTGGTCCTCCACGAGCTTGTCCACGTTGGGCTGTGCTTCTACCAGGGACTGTGCATGGGCCACAGCAGCCAGGGAGCCTCGGCTCAGGGGAAGGGGACTCTGGTAGGCAGTGCCCGGTGGGGCTCCGGCATTCGTGTTGCGAAAAAAAATGTCCCATGACTAAAGACAAAGAAGGTACAGGGTTACCTCACTGCTCCCCTAAGTCCAGGATGCATCTGTGGCCACAGAGAACTGCTCTCTGCAGGCAAGGCAAGTCTACCATAGGCTGGCTGAGCCTGCTTCCTCCTGGACAGTGGGGTCTCTGTCTGTTCCCAAACGGTGGGTTTCTCTCAGCATTCAGGCTCCCTGCTTTCCACAACTTTTGTCTTCGGGATGCACTTTCTGACCCCCACAGCTATAACACAGATGCCCTGTGGCCGCCTTCCATCAACACACATAACCCAAAGGCCCAATGCCAACAGCTCTCCTCAGTTCCTATTCACTGGGCCTGGGGACAGATTCAGGATGTAGGTCAACAGAGACACTTACTGTCTCAGCCTTCCCCCCGGCCCCAGCACCTGGGAGGTGATCTCTTGACCTTCTGTCTATAGGTCTGCAAACTCTACCAGTTTTTCTGTGGGATCAAACACCCCATCAAACACCTCCCTCAAGGCCCCAAGGGCTCAGCACAACCTGTGAAGAGCCCAGGGTCACCTTGCTCATGTCCTTTCACTTCCCTGGGAACAAAGTGGAACCTGATCCTTTGTAAGAGGCAGCACTAACCCCACAGAGAAATAATATCATTGCTACCTCAGGAGAAACTCAGGAGCTAAGAGCTCAAAGTGTGGGGTCAGAGATGGAAATTCAAATCTGATCTCTGTGTCAGGGATCAAAATTCAAATTCAAGAGGTAGGCTCTTAGTGAGTTACCTTTCTGTGCTGTTTTCTCATCTATGAGGAGAGAAATATATACATTCTTCATAGGTATGCTGTAAAGACTACCCTAGTTAAAGGCATTAGCACACAGTCTAATACTTCACAAAGTCAGGTGTTAGTTATCAGTTTGAATTTCCTTAGAAAAACTATAAACTAATTTACTTATATTCCTACTATTTTTGGCTATTCCATGTCTGAATTATTTGATTTACAATTTGCAGATACTGTGAACTGTAATGGTTTATTCATCTCATACAAAGATGCAAGTTTTTAAAATATTTAAGAGATCAGACATACTAAGACTTCACAAAAGTTCATTGTAAAAAGAAAAGAAAAGCACAATTAAACATCAGTTTATTTTAATTTTTTTGAGATGAAGTCTCGCTCTGTTGCCCAGGCAGTGTGGTGGCATGATCTTGGCTCACTGCAACCTCCACCTCCCGGGTTCAAGTGATTCTCCTGCCTCAGCCTCCTGAGCAGCGGGGATTACAGGAGCACGCCACCAGGCTTATAATTTTTGTATTTTTAGTAGAGATGGGGTTTTATCATGTTGGCCAGGCTGGTCTCAAACTCTTGACCTCAAGTGATCCACTTGCTTTGGCCTCCCAAAGTGTTGGGATTACAGGCGTAAGCCATCGCGCCTGGCAAAACATCAGTTTAAAAAAAAAATAGAAACATTGTTTTTCTTTTCTGCAATACCTTTTCCAGCCTCTAAAATTCTTCCATCAATAAACTCTGATAAGACTGTCTTGAAAAACTTGGAGAGGCAAGGCAAAACTTTATGAGATCTTTGCATTCTCCTTCTAACAAGATGCCACCCAGATGTGCTCCTTGTCTGGGACATGGCTGGATATCAAATGGGTCTGTCTGAGTCTGGAGACCAGAAGGTAGAGATGGCTACAGAATCCAGTATGCTGGTCCTTAAGGTCTTCTGTTTTTTTCAGACAGGTTCTTTTATAATGCTGGCTAGGGCACAGATGTACGTCACTCAGATGGTCCCACTACCAAGAGCACTGCTATATACTGCTGCTAGACACAAACTAGAAAAGACACAATGATAATGCACAGGCCTGGACCATCTGCCTCATGCAGGGGAGTCTGATCTCTCAGTGAAATCTGTTTTTGAGGGGAGTTTTGTGGAATACTTTTTTTTTCCTTCCCTTTTTCTTTTTTGTAGAATATTTAAAACATTCTATAATAAGCATGTATTTTTTGGTATTCAGAAAAAATAACTTAAAGAAAACAACCACCAGAGATGTGACTGCACAGTATTGTGAACATACTAAAAACCACTGTAGCTGGGTGTAGTAGCATGTGCCTGTAGTCCCAGTCACTTGGGAAGCAGAGGCAGGAGGATCACTTAAGCCTAGGAATTCAAGGCTGGCCTGGGCAATACAGCAAGAACCCATCTGTTAAAAACAAAACTCCACTGAATGGTACACTTAAAAAATGACTTTTTTTTTTTTTTTTTTTTTTTAAAGAAACAGGGTCTTGCTCTGTTGCCCAAACTGGTCTCAAACTCCCAGCCTCAAGCAATCCTCCTGCCTCAGTCTCCCAAAGTGATGGGAATCCAGTTGTGAGTCACCAGGACCAGGCCAAATAATTACATTTATGTTATGTGAATTATATTTAAAAATTTTTTTTTTTTTTGAGACAGAGTCTAGCTCTGTTGCCCAGGCTGGAGTGCAGTAGTGCAATCTCGGCTCATTGCAACCTCTGCCTCCTGGGTTCAAGCGATTCTCCTGCCTCAGCCTCCCGAGTAGCTGGGATTACAGGCGCCTGCCACCATGCCCAGCTAATTTTTGTATTTTTAGTAGAGACAGGGTTTCACTGTGTTGGCCAGGCTGGTCTCGAACTCCTGACCTTGTGATCCACCCGCCTTGGCCTCCCAAAGTGCTGGGATTACATGCGTAAGCCACTGCACCTGGCCTTTAAAATGTTTTTACAAATCAAACTATTTGAGGTTTTACGGTTTTTACCTTTCTGGTTAATTTCTGGTGTATTGTCTGATGTAGAAGACAGATTTGGGGTTCTCTTCTGGCACCTCCCACAAAACCTATTACAGAAGCATCTTATACAAATGTAACCCAACAATCAGGAACATGAAAAAAGGCTGCAAACTTTCCTTTTCTTTCTTTTTTATTTTTTGAGACAGGGTCTGGCTCTGCTGCCCAGGCTGGAGTAGACTGGCACGATCTTGGCTCAATGTAACCCCCACCTCCGGGGCTCAAGTGATTCTCCTGCTTCAGCCTCCTGAGTAGCTGGGACCACAGGCACGCACCACCACGCATGGCTAATTTTTTTACTAAATATTTTTTTGTGGAGATGAGGTTTCACCATGTTGCCCAAGTTGTTCTTGAACTTCTGAGCTCAACTGATCTGCCCGTCTCAGCCTCCCAAAGTGCAAGGATTATAGGCATGAGCCACCATCTGGGCCTAAACTTTCCTTTTCAACAGATGCTATCAAAATGTTTGCTAAAGAAACCCAGGGTTTGGAATCTCCAAAGAGATTCTCACCTTCCTCCATTAAATCGGTTCTCATGAAAACTCAGTGTTCTCCTCCAACATGAGAAAAGGCAGTATTTCCACCAGAGGAAAAAACTGACTTACTCTTAGGAGAGAAAACAGAGGATGTCTCAGCATCAACTCCCTAGGCAAAGTAAAGGCTGCCTCCCACTCAGTCCATGACTGGTTCTGTCAAGGACACAGGGATCTAAAAGGTGGCTGTGCACAAATACACTGGACACCCTCAGGTACTTCTGACTTCATGGAGCTTTTCCAGCAGGACTGAGAGCTCCATACATTCTAGAAGCAGAGATGACTGGGGACCACATGCATTGGACATCCATCTTCATTGTGAAAGCAGGGATGACCAATGACTGCACTTCTTGGCCTCTACCCAGGCCTCCAATAACTGAGGACCTGACCTAAAAGGAGAAACCCCTTGAATACAGCAGGAAACTGAGCAGGAGTCAGTCTGGCTGTATCCCACCCCTGCACAGCAAGAACCAACAGCAAGCTACCACTGTCACGTAAAACCTAATCAGGCCAGGCGCAGTGGCTCATGCCTGTAATCCCAGCACTTTGGGAGGCCAAGGTGGGTGGGTCACCTGAGATCAGGAGTTCGAGACCAGCCTGGCCAACATAGTGAAACCCCGTCTCTACTAAAAATACAAAAATTAGCTGGGTGTGGTGGTGCAGGCCTGTAGTCCCAGCTACTTGGGAGGCTGGGGCATGAGAATCGCTTGAACCTGGGAGGCAGAGGTTGCAGTGAGCTGAGATCGCACCATTGTATTCCAGCCTGGGCGACAGAGTGACACCCTGTTTCCAAAAAAAAAAAAAAAAAGAAAAAAAAAAAAAAAGAAGAAAAAGGCTGGGCTTGGTGGCTCATGCTTGTAATCCCAGCACTTTGGGAGGCTGAAGCGGGCGGATCACGAGGTTAGGAGATCGAGACCATCCTGGCTAACATGGTGAAACCCTGTCTCTACTAAAAAAAAAAAAAATACAAAAATTAGCTGGGGGTGGTGGTGTGTGCCTATAATCCCAGCTACTCAGGAGGCTGAGGCAGGACAATCACTTGAACCAGGGAGTCGGAGGTTGCAGTGAGCTGAGATCATGCCATTGCACTCCAGTTTGGCGACAGAGCGAGACTCTGTCTCAAAGAAAAAAAAAAAAACCCACAAAAAACCTAATCAAAATTTTTCTTTACCCCAAACTTGCTCCAGTGCTAGAATGTCTACCCTCACACCATGTGACCCGCACCCCAAGTCTAGCTGTAGACACTTACTTAGTTCCCTGGGGCCACAACAGGTTCATGGATAGGGCATGACCCTCAAACCCAGTAAGTACTGGAGAACAGCACAACCCAAACTTTATTAAACCCCTAAAACATTTTCTTCTATTTCGTAAAACCCATTAAGTGTCCAGAAACACAGGGCAAAGTCACCCAAGAGCAAGACCTTAGATCAAGAGTCTCTCCAGCTGTACAGACAGCCTCCTTTATCCTAGGGGACAATATTCACTTTTGGATCCAGAGCCAAAAGTCATAGCAAAATCACAAGTTTACTTCTTTTCAATAAAATTAGCTTTGAATAACAATTAAAATAGTAAAACAAAACAAAACAAAAAAAACCCACCAATAGCAGCAGGGATAGGTATAGCTAACTTTTACTGAGGCTCTCTGTGGGCTTTTCCAACTTACTTAGAGCACCTGGAATGTCAATCATATTCCCACTGGAGAGATGTGGGCTCAGGCAGAATTTACACACAGCAGTCACCAGGCAGGGTATTAATAAGGTTAACTGAGTAATAGCAGAGCGACGCTTAAAGAACTCTGGTCACTCTAGTAACAGTGCCTCTTACCCTAGCTTAACCTTGCCAAAGAGAGCTGGGCGCTTCTGGGCTCAACAATAAAATGAAAGGAATTTCCAGCCACTGATGCCTGGGATCACAAGGTCAGGGTCAAGGTCAGCTCTCTGGTCCTGAGCCACAAAGGCTGCAGGACTCCTTCCAGCCTAGGCCCTGGAGACAGGGCGATCATGATCATCGGGCCTCCACTCTCTGACCTTCTTTTGTGCTTGGAATACAACTCCAGGTGATTTTCAATTGGCTGAGGATAACTGCACAGACGGAAATTCAGCTCATGCTGGAGGCAGTCAGAAAAAAACTGGTTCATACCGGTACTGCTGAGCTGCTGGGAATCCCCGGGAAGGAAAATGCTGGGAATGCAACTTCTGCAGCCTTTCCCTTATTCATCTTACACCATGCATCCCACTTCACTCTCCAGTTGGCTCAGTTCCCACACCACTGGGGGAGCACCCTGCCCCACCTTCAGACAAAGAGCCCATTCTGTCTCCAGGACTGGGTGAGCCCCCACACCCAACAACAGCAAGCCCTCTTTGCGCCAAGACCTGGAGGTATACTAAAAGGTTTTTGAATTGAGTGATAGAATGTTTTGTATCGAGTGTAGTGACTGCACACATTTGGCAAAACCTACTGCACTAAACACTTAAAACAAGTGAATTTTAATATATGTAAGTTAAACCTCAAAAAAGTTTATTTATTCAAAAAGGCTTTGAAAATGAAGGTCATTATTTGGCCTGCAGGCTTCACCTCCCAACAGATGTGGCAGCAGGAAGCCAGACCTGCCCAAGTACCAGAGCTCCCAGGCACCCACTGGCCCCACCCCTCCCTGTATGAGTCACCAATGGGGCCACTTCCTTCCTGGTGGGGCCCAGATGCCACAGTCCATCCCCCACTCTCTTTCCACCTCCCTGTTGTCCTGCAACCCTGTATCTCTCTAACATCTTCCACTCCCCAAGGAGATACCTCTTCTCCAGCTCCTTAAACTACCCACCCCTGCCTCATCCTCTGAACACCTGAATCTGGATCTGCCTTCCATAACCCCTGGCTTTAGGTTCCAGGGGACCTGCAGAGCCCTCCCTGTCCACTTGCTCCCATGCCCCAGCATCATGCTCCTTCCTTCCCGCAGGCCTGGCAGCTACCCTTCTTTCCATGGGATGTTTGTCCTCTCCCTTCACATGGTCGCTTAGCTTTGTCACTATCTGGGAGAGCGTTTCCCCTTCTGATACTCCCAGCCCTTACTGTACACTCATCTCAACCTGAGATCTCTCCCCTGCTGTCTGTCCCCATCCTGGGGGATAAATCAAGACTAGGCTGAGTCATTGACCACCCAGCGCAAACAGAAGCCCCTTCAAAAAGAAGAGAAAGCTTCTGGAAGAGAGAGTCAAAGCATGTCCCATCTAATTCCCATGGAGCATGAAGAGACACCTGGAAGGGATAGAAGCCCACTCACTGAAAGGTGGCACCTGGTGGCTGATGGCTCACTGAGAACCTGAGCTGAGTCAGGCGACCTCAGCTCTCTTACTGAGTGAGAAAAATAAGCCTGTTGGTTTAGGCTGCCTAAGCTGCATTTTCCCTTTCTTCCAGCCAAATTTATTCCTAATTATCCCTTGCTGTTGCCTGGATGTCCCGGAATTGCAGTCTGATGTAGGCAGGGGCAGTGACTTCTACTTCTAGAAACATTCCAAGTGACAAAGCAGAAGTGAAAAGGAGAAAGCACAGTAATGGGGAAAATCAGACTTGAGAATACACAATCTAATAGCATGCTACCATCAAACACACTGAAGACCTAAGTTTCCTATAATAGAAACAGTTTTTCACTCATGAGAAATGGAGGCAGTCAGACTTTGGTTTCTTTATGAAGTAAGTGTGGTATTTGGGCCTTACTTTAGTACTTGGCTCAGGGCGGTGACAGGGACTTCTGAGTCACAATGACGTACGTGGGTGTGCCCAGCTCCACACCCAAGTTGCAACCCATCACTAGTGTTATTCATCTCTCCAATCTCTTAATTGGCTTCTGTTGCACAACTAATAACGTAAGGAAAATATCTGTCCCCTTGCCTTGCCTCAAATATACAGTTACACACAGTTAATTCTCTGACCACCAATGACAATGTCACTGATAAGGGGGAAAAGGTTAAAATGTTAAGGTAAGTGGGCAAGGTTGTAAATGACATTCAAGGGGCAGGAAGCTGCCAGAAGGAGTGAGGGGTCCTGGGCCAGGGGAGGGGTGCGGGAAAGCACTCACTCCCAAAAGGCCAACTTCTGAGCCCTGCAAGGGGCTATGGGATTCTGATGAAGTTCTTACCACACATAAACATTTTCCTAAGAGTGTCAGATGTGTGCAGGATGTACCATGTCAAAAAATGAATACCATTTTTTTTTTTTTTTGAGACAGAGTCTGGCTCTATCGCCCGGGCTGGAGTGCAGTGGCGTGATCTTGGCTCACTGCAACCACCCCCCAACCCCCATCCCGGTTTCAAGTGATTCTCCTGCCTCAGCCTCCCCAGTAGCTGGGATTACAGGCACCGCCATCGTGTCTGGTTAATTTTTGTATTTTTAATAGAGACGGGATTTCACCATGGTGGCCAGGCTGGTCTCAAACTCCTGAACTCAGGTGATCCACCCACCTCAGCCTCCCAAAAGGGCTGGGATTACAGGTGTGAGGCACGATGCTGAGCCAATGAATACCATTATTTCTAAAAATCCAGTAATTCTCATTCAATTCAACAAATATCTATTAACTATATGTGGCATACTGTAAGGTTTGTGAACAGGAAGATGACTAAAATGAGCTTCTTACTCTTAACAAGAATAAGAAAAACCAGTAAACGTGTAAATTCACAGAATGGATCCAAGTGCTGAGAAACGAAGAGTAAGACAAGTGGGATGGGAGAGGAAAGCAAGGATGCTCTGAGGAGGGGCCCACGGTCTGAGCCCTAAAGGCAAGGTAAGGCCTGCAGAGCCTGAGGAGGAGAGAGAAGACATTTGGCCAAAGAGAATAGACAACAGGAGCACCTGGCCAGTGCCTGCCCACCATGTGCTGAGACTCATGATACTGCCACATGCAGGGTGTACAGATGGTTAAGAAACCAGGCTGGGCAGGTGAGCTGGGACCAGGCTGCAGGTGAGTGAAAAAGAATATGGGAGATTAAGGAGAAAACCACTAACCACCCCCAAGAGGAACAAGCACCTGACCAGGGTAATGGCTGACTTTTGCCACCAAATGGCATCAGAGGGAGGGGTGGTTCGCAGGCAGGGAGCTTGTGTGCCCCCCCACCCCACTCACAGCCAACTTCCCATGAGTGGGTTTAAGATCATCAACTTGTTGCTGAGATGACTTAAACATGATAGATTTCAGCGGTAAATAATTTTTACATTCTGGATGAAATGAAACCAGACCTCCTATTTAATTTTAGGTAACTAAAAGCACTTAGCTGTAATAAATGAAGCTCTGTTTTCCAAGTCAAAAGTCACTGCTCCCCAAGCTCCCACAAACTCAGAATTCTATGCAACCATAATGCACTTTCCTCACAGTGACCAGTGCTCTTTCTTCAAAGGAAGCTCTTGAAAGGCTAGAAACAGTATCCTCAGTGCTCTCTGCATGTGGCAGCTGCTCACCTAACCTTTACTGAATTAAATTCAGATGATATTCAGCCTCCTTTCTGAGGGAGCAGCCTGACAGGTATGGGGTTCCACCCTGGGAGAGTCTGAGTCCAGGGCTGCCCCTCACTGCAGCAGAGGCGCTGACCTTAGCAGGTGCCACTCCTAACCAAGGAGCACTTGTCTGTTCCCACATATCGGCAGCTACAGGCAGCAGACTCTGCCCTTCCTGAGTCAGCAGTTGGGAGTCTTGAGGGCCAAGCTCCCTGCCAGTCCTTGGTTGTGAGGTTTCCAATAGGTAGGGCTTCCTATTTCTGAGGGTGGCAAATATACCATCTGACATCCCTTCCCCCAGCAGTAGCTGACACCCATTGTCATGCAGGATGGTGCTCTACAGCCCCCCAGTGCCCACTCACAGACCAGTAGGACTGACTGTGGCCACCTCCTGGGTCCCCAGGTCCTAGGTCTGCCTCCCATGAACTGCATGAGGATTCGGGAAGTTGCTTCAGCTCTCTGGCCTGTTTTCTTGTCTGTAAAAGTCCTAAACACAGGCTATTTAAGATGATGGTCCTGCATTTGCAGCTTTTTAAAATTTATAAAGTCCGGCCAGGTGTAGTGGCTCACGCCTGCAATCCCAGCATTCTGGGAGGCTGAGGCGGGCGGATCATGAGGTCAGGAGATTGAGACCATCCTGGCCAACATGGTGAAACCCCATCTCTACTAAAAATACAAAAATTAGCTGGGCGTGGTGGTGCGTGCCCGTAATCCCCATTACTCAGGAGGCTGAGGCAGGAGAATAGCTTGAATCAGGGAGTCGGAGGTTGCAGTGGGCCGAGATCGTGCCACTGCACTCCAGCCTGGAGACAGAGCGAGACTCCATCTCGAAAAAAAAAAAAAAATTATAAAGTCCTTGCACATATACTTGCATTTGTTCAAGAAGTTGATGAGGAACATGAGGAGAGTGTTACAACTTAGCCCAAGCTCTATGACTACGGGTGGCTCTGGACTGATGAGACCACTTCCTCTCATCTATCCATAGCCCCTACAGACGCCACTCCAGCTGCCCTCCCTACTCCACCTCAGCCACAGAACAAGCCCAGCCCACCCACGTAGCTACCCTTGGTCACCACATTACTGCCACCTTGTCTAAATAATCCGCGGCGCGGGTGGGGCAGGCTCCGGTCTCCTTGCTGCATGGAGCCACACCCATGCTCAAAGGCCCTCGCACAGCTGATAAGTTGATGAGGCCCAGCACTATCCACACAACCTCACTTACTAAGTTCTGACACTGACAATGCTTTTTAATTGCTATAAATATCAACTACAGGGCACCATGTAACCAAGGAACACCGGCGTATGGCTCTTCTTTCAGCTCATTCTAATCCAGCCAAGCTGATAAAAAGTCAGCTGCTGGGCACCATGTGACCAGCCAGCCTGGAGTTCAGCCGGCGCTGCTGTAAGGGGCAGGCCTCCCATCCCGGCCTCAGTGTAGACCAACAACTCATTCTTTTCCTGCACACAAGACAGGGCAGGCCTGCATGACCTCTACCACTCCTTCCAATGCTGCCCAGGAAATGGTCCTAAACGTGTGGGCCAGAGCTTTTCCTGAAAATATCCTAAGAACAAGATTTAAAACCCATATGTGTGACTACCCTGTATGTCCAAACAGGGTACTCCCTATTGGGGAGACTTGTGGATGGAATGCCCACCTCCAGAGCCTTCAGCAAATGATTCATGCTGTTGGGCTAAGCACAAGTCTCCAAAGAAAATGTGCAGATGGTAGAGCTGGACTCTGGACCCTCCATCAATGCAGGCCTTGCTCAGACCTTGCCCAGGCCAGAGTACCACTTACCACCATTCTGCCTATGAAGCAAAAACAAGGTAGGGCACTGTGATCCAGGCCTGGTGACCTGCCACTACAAGCTGTTTATACTGAGGCCAGTTAAGAATGGGCTTCTATTTAGGTATTCTTCAATTAAGGAAACCACATGCTCCATTATAGCAATGCTTAGTCATTATAGGTGACAGAATATTTCTAAACAATCTCTATTATCTTCTGTCTGTACAGGTGTGTAAATAAAACATCAATAAACTTCCAAGATTAGCAAAGAACAGCTGCTTCAGCTCTGCCCTATGGAATCTACTGATATCAGAATGATATTTGCTGGGATTCTGCACTAGACTAAAGGTGGCTGCTCTATCAGGTCATTATGAAAAGAGCTGTGGAGGGCTGTCCAGTGGCCATGCCTTTTCCTCTCCCCAAACGGATGTCCCTAAGGGTTGTCTGTGACTTGCTCTAACCAAGGTAATGGCGTGGGGAGTAGCAGTGTACGGTCTGGACCTAGGCCTCAAAGGCCCCACAGCCTTTCTTTTCCCTGTCTGGAGCTACTCTGGGACTTTGTGCAGGAATCGCTCCGGCCTACTGGAGGATGGCAGGGCCCAGTGAACAGCCAGCACAAACTGCCAGACACATCAGAGGCCTTCATGGCTTCTAGCCTGGTGTGAGCCTCAGCTCCAAGGGAGCTGGCAGTGGGAGGAGTGGGGAAACCTAGCCAACCCACAGAGTCATGAGACATGCTACACTGGTGCCAAGTTTTGAGGTGGTTTGTTATACAAACATTCATGGAAACCAGACTTTTTACTGCATGAAAAGATGACATCCAAGATACTGTGACCCCTTTCTCACGCAGTCTTTCTGACACACCTCAGGAAATGAGAACGCTTCAAACTACCCAGATCTGCACACAATGGCACATTTTATCAGCTCTCAGAATTGCAACTCTCAAGGAGGTGAGGAAGACCCACAGTCTGGGGTCACCTGTGGTCGTCTGGTTGAGGCCTCATCTGTCCTCAATAATTATGCAACCCTATTTGGGGGAACCCCAGCCCAGCTACACAAAGCATCTGCTCCAGGGTTTCAGAGGGAATACCACGTGACTGACCACTCAAAGAGAGGGTTCTAAAGGCTATCTCCTCACCTCACGATCCAATCATGGACGCGAAGAGATATGAGAATCCCAAAGTCCTCAAACCTCCCTCCAAGGGAGTCTTGGATGGGGAGGGGAGCCAGAGAACAGTAACCTAGAGACTAAACAGACTATTTTTTAATAACATGATGACTTCATCTAAAAAACCGGCACTAACCTTTTAGTAATTTCTCACCGCCACCCAGCTTCAGACTGTGCGGGGAAGCTGAGCCTGCCTCTGACTTACAAAGCATGGCTCTTTCATTTCCTCAAAGGCAAGCACCTGTGGCCACCTGTGCTACAGAATGGAACTCACTGGAACAATTTGCTCCTTTTCACTCTTGGAGTCTACTTTCCCATTGAGGGTTTTTTTTTTTTTTTTTTTTTTGACACAGAGTCTCGCTCTGTTGCCCAGGCTAGAGTGCAGTGGCTCAATCTTGGCTCACTAAAAGCTCCGCCTCCCAGGTTCACGCCATTCTCCTGCCTCAGCTTCCCAAGTAGCTGGGACTACAGGGGTGCGCCACCATGCCCGGCTAATTTTTTGTATTTTTAGTACAGACAGGGTTTCACCATGTTAGCCAGGATGGTCTCGATCTCCTGACCTCGTGATCTGCCCACCTCAGCCTCCCAAAGTGCTGGGATTACAGGCGTGAGCCACTGTGCCTGGCCCCATTAAGGTATTTTTGATCTCTCTCCCCTTTCAATTTCTGACATTAAACAAAATTTTTTTTTTCTTAAAGTACAGTACAAAAGGATAATCATTAAAAACATCCACCAGGCGGATCATGAGGTCAGGAGATTGAGACCATCCTGGCTAACATGGCGAAACCCCGTCTCTACTAAAAATACAAAAAATTAGCCAGGCGTGGTGGCACGCGCCTATGGTCCCAGCTACTTGGGAGCCTGAGGCAGGTGAATCACTTGAACCCGGGGAGGCGGAGGTTGCAGTGAGCCGAGATCGTGCCATTGCACTCTAGCCTGTGTGACAGAGCGAAAGTCCATCTCAAAACAACAATAACAACAACAACAAAAAACATCCACCAGGCTCAGTGGCTCACGCCTGTAATCCCACCACTTTAGGAGGCAAGGCAGGAGGATGGCTTGAAGCCAGGAGTTTGAGACCAGCCTGGGCAAAAAAACAAGACCCTGTCTCTATAAAAAATATAAAATATTAGTCAGGCATGGTGGTGTGCACCTGTACTCCCAGCTACTCAGGAAGCTGAGGCGTGGGGGAGTGGCGGGGGAGTGGATTACTTGAGCCCAGAAGTTTGAGGCTACTATCATGGTGCCACTGCACTCCAGTATGGGTAATGGAGACCCTGTCTCAAAAAGAAGAGCTCCAAAAGATGCAGTGATCCTCATTTAGAGTAAGCCTCTCTCCTCCCACCAGCCTCAGTGACCTCGTATGCCTGCTGTCCTGGCCTCAGTCCCTCCTGCTCTTGGGGATCCCAACTCCTCCTGCACCACATCCTCAAACTTGCTCTCCTTCTACCTGCTGAGGGGTCCATGCTCCCACAGCACATAACAAAATCAACAAACACCTCTTGGTTTGATCTTGGAACCTCTCCATTTACTTCATAATCCAAATTTTTGGTTTTTTCTTGCTGCGTCTGGCTCCTGGCCCTGAAGCCTGCATCCATCATCCTGCTGAGTGACCGTGAGCCCCTGTTGGGCTCCTTCACAGCACAGCATAATGCACTTCCTTTCAGAAGCTCAGTGGGTTCTATTAGAATTCCAAATGTTTTTATTTATTTATTTTTCTTTTTAAGGGCCGGGAGAGAGAGGAGAGAGAAAGGAAAGAGGGAAGGGGGTGGAGAGGGGGAGAGAGAGAGAGAAAAGAGAGCTAGAATTTTAACTGTTGTTTAAACTTATTTAATCATCCTGCTAGGATAACAGGGCAAGACTGCTTTTCCTCTTGCAGCCGCCACTCAGCACAAGCTTCGAACACAGCTGTCATGAGCTGCAAACTACCACACAAGTGAGGGTGTTGCTTCATGTTTCCTGTTGTTTCAAAGAGGTTATAATTTTATCACCCTAAATAAACCATAAATGCAAACTGCTTAAGAGTGAAATACTGTGCTAAAGTTGGAGAAGGCGCACTCAGTCAGTTTAGCTGATTTAACACAAAAAGCCACAAGTGCTGAGATTGCTCTTAACATGTGAAGTTAAAGATTATCAAGTGGCGGTGGGGGAGGGTGGTAGGAGAGTGAGGGTTGAAAAATTGCCTATTGGGTACAATGTTCATTATCTGGGTGATGGGTACACTAGAAACCCAATTCCCACCATTACTTAACGTACCCATGTTACAAACCCACACATGTACCTCCTGAATCTTCAAAAACAAAAAATCATCAAGGGGTAACTTCAAAGCTCATCGCTGAAACCCCATTTACGTAGACCATGCAGTTTATGTATACAGTCAGCCCTCCGTATCTGTGGGTTCTGCATCCATGGATTCAACCAAACGTGGATTGAAAATAGTTGGTAAAAAACTGCCTGTACTGAACATGTACACTTTTTTTTCCTGTTATTATTCTCTAAACCAGGGATCCCCAACCCCCGGGCCACAGACCAGTACTGGTCAGTGGCCTGTTTGGAACTGGGTTGCATAGCAGGAAGTGAGCGGCAAGCGAGCATTACCACCTGAGCTCCACCTCCTGTCACATCAGCGGGGGCATTAGATTCTCATGGGAGAGCCAACTGGATTGTGAGCTGTGCATGCAAGGGATCTAAGTTCACTCCTTATGAGAATCTAACTAATGCCTGATGTGAGGTGGAACAGTTTCACTGCAAAGCCATCCTCCCCTGATCCCTCAGTCCATGGAAAAATTGTCTTCCACGAAACTGGTCCCTGGTGCCAAAGGAGTTGGGGACTGCTGCCACAAACAATGAAGTATAACAACTATCTGCATAGCATTTACCTTGTATTAGGTATTACAAGTAATCTAGAGATGATTTAAAGTATATGGGAGAACGTGCATAGTTTATATTTCATTTTATACAAGGGACATGAGCTTCCTTGGATTTTAGTATCCTCAGTGTGCCCTGGAACCAATCCCCCACAGATACCAAGGAATGACTACATATATTTCTGATAAGTCATTCATAAATCAAACATAAAAGATTAAAATACTCAAAATGCATTCCAACCACCCAACTGGCATTGCCTAAAGTGCCTTGTGAATTATTCCCAGAAATAAATAACTTGAGTGGCACCAAAGTGTTCTGCAGATTTTTCAACACAGCTGTTCCTTGTCACGTGAACATATCAGATCTCCTTATGAGCACATCAGACTTCCATCAGACTTCCACATACCCACTGTGGGAAGCCCCTTCACCGCACATGCAGCGGCTAGGAGGGTAACTTGGAGCAGGGCTCCTGCCATGGGAGGAACCCCAGGCCAGGACACAACCATGGGTACCATAGTCCTATTTTTCAAAGTGAGGCCAAGGCAGTTTCAACACTGCAGAGTGAAAAGGCCCATAACACTGCATAATGGGACAGTTTGTGTATCTGTGCTTTTCCTCCACTTAGTTTCACCCATAGAAAACACCAGTACTGTGTTTCATAAGCACGAAAGGAGGAAGCAGAACGGTGTCGACAGATGAGCAGCGATGCCAGACTCAGCAGCAGGCCAACAGCCTGCACCTGTAATCTGAACGCATAGAGACCCTCCCTCCTGCAGCGACCACATGTACACACTTTAGGAGCTGACACGTGAAAAGTGCAAGAAGAAAAAACCATCAAGAAACAGGCATCAGGCCGGGCATGATGGCTCACGCCCATAATCCCAGAACTTTGGGAGGCCGAGGCGGTCGGATCACCTGAGGTCGGGAGTTCAAGACCAGCCTGGCCAACATGGTGAAACCCCGTCTTTATTAAAAATACAAAAATTAGCCAGGCGTGATGGGGCACGTCTGTAATCCCAGCTAGCTGGGAGACTGAGGTACGAGAATTGCTTGAACCCAGGAAGCGGAAGTTGCAGAGAGCCGAGACTGCGCCACTGCACTCCAGACTTGGTGACAGAGCGAGACTCGTCTCAAAAAAAAAAAAAAAAAAGAAAAGAAAAAGAAAAAGGAAAGAAAAGAAATGGGCATCAGTTAACAAGAACAGGGAGGCAGGCTTTAGGCAGGTGGGCAGGGCAGAGGAAAGCACAGAGCAGAGGAAGAGCCCTGAGGTACAAAGCAAGCTGTGAGAAAGCCAAATGGCCAGGAGGGCCTAGAAGAAAAGCAGGGCCAATGATGGCACCCTCAAGGCAGCTGCTGAAGGCACTGTTGGGAGAAGAACAACAGGCCCCAGCTCCTTCCACTCCCTCAGGACCTAATCCTGGCTCTTCCTCAGCAGGGCCAGAACCTGGCAGATGCATCACAAGGAACTCAACACCATGCTACAGCTGTAGGTGGGCACCTGTCCCTACAAAACAAAATGAGATCAACACCCAGACTCATGGGGGCTTAGCAGTTCTCAATTACCTGTTTGTCTTAAACATTAACAAGGATAACTTAGCTCTGACTGTGTCTTAAAGACATAAATAAAGATGTCATCATTTGATGTGACCTCAAATATGCTGAGACCCTAATGAGGAGGGTTTCATAGGCTGACAGCCCAGGCCACCGCTGAAGGCTCTTAAGAGGGGTCAGTGAGGAGCACAAATGCCAGACTAGAACAGAGACGAAAGTCTAGGACAGGACCAAAGGTAGGAACAAAAGGGAGATGGCAGATGGGCCCACCACAGAGACAGACCCAGGTCAGCTAGTTAACCGGATTCTGTTCTGGGGAGTGGACTTAGGGTAAAAAAGGTACTTGCAGCTCTGATTTGCTAAAATATTTTACCACAAATATAATTTTCACATCAGTTAAGCATTTTAAGAATAGAAGTTTTTTTTAAGAGGCTGGGTGTGGTGGCTCACATCTGTAATCCCAGCACTTTGGGAGGCCAAGCTGGGAGGATTGCTTGAGCCCAGGAGTTCAAGACCAGTCTGGACAACATAAAGAGACTCCATCTCTATTTACATTTTTTTATTTTTTTAAAAAGCTTTCTATTTTATTTTTAATAGAGACAAGGCCTTGCCTTGTCCAGGCTGGTCCCAAACTCCTGGACTCAAGCAATCCTCCTGCCTCAGCCTCCCAAAGTATCAGGATTACAGGCATGGCTCCTACTTACATTAAAAAAAAGTTTTTAATTAAAAAATAAATAAAATTAAAAATAAGGAATACAACGACCAATTATAAAGTGTAAAACCAAATGTAAAAAAAAGTAAAATAAAAATTAAAAAACAAAACAAAACAAAATGTAAAAGGGCAGCTTTAAGAGAAGAGTAAATATTTAAACATGGACTGAGAAAAAATTCTATTAGAGAATTAGCCTGTTAATTTTATTGGGTGTGGTTATGAAAACAATTACTTAACAGTTAGTTACACTGATGCATTTATGCCAGAAATGACACAGGTCTGGAATTTGCCTTAAAATACTCCAGTGTCTACTCTCCTCAAACCCCAAATAAACCAACAAATAAAAAAGTCACTGGGGTAGGGAATAGATTTTTAAGACAGCTGTTGAAGCTGCGTGACCAGTCTCCTCATTAGGCTTATCATCTACTCTTCTCTCTACTGTTATGTATGCTTGGAAACACTATAAAACACAGATTTAAAAATAACAATGGGGCTGGGTGCAGTGGCTCACGCCTGTAATCCCAGCACTTTGGGAGGCTGAGGTGGGCAGACTGATTGAGGTCAGGAGTTTGAGACCAGCCTGGCCAACATGGTGAAACCCCGTCTCTACTAAAAATACAAAAATTAGCCAGGCGTGGTGGCGCGTATCTGTAATCCTGGCTACTCGGGAGGCTGAGGCACGAGAATCACTTGAACCAGGAGGTGGAGGTTGCAGTGAGCTGAGATCACCTCACTGCACTGCAGCCTGGGTGACAGAGTGAGACTCCATCTCAAAAAAATAAATAAAATAAATAAAAATAAAAACAACAATGGGAAAGTAGTGCCAAAGGGCAGGAGAGGAAGATGCTGAGTTTGTTCCTTTTCTGCTATATGAGTTTAGTCCTTGCAGCCCCCCATAAGCTCTCTGAAAATAAGTACGGAATCCGACCTCAGGACATTTCTGATGTTTAAACAGAAGATGAGATAGATGATCTATCTAAATCCTACAGCACTTCTAATTTTATTATCTCTATTTAAACTATTATTATGTCTATTTAAACTATGTGATCTAAAATAAGAGCACAAATAAAGTGAAATGCCTCTAAGGCTATGGATCCTAAACTTTCATGGGTGACAGATGCTTTGAAATTTGGACAGAAGTTATGGATTATCTCCCTTGAAAAACATGCACATGGCCAGGCGCCGTGGCTCACGCCTGTAATCCCAGCACTCTGGGAGGCCAAGGCAGGCGGATCACGAGGCCAGGAGTTCAAGACCAGCCCGACTAACATGGTGAAACCCCGTCTCTACTAAAAATACAAAAATTAGCCGGGCGTGGTGGCACAGGCCTGTAATCCCAGCTACTCAGGAGGCTGAGGCAGGAGAATCGCTTGAGCCTCGGAGGTGGAGGTTGCAGTGAGCTGAGATTGCACCACTGCACTCCAGTCTGAGCGACAGAGTGAGACTCCATCTCAAAAACAAAACAAAACAAAAAAACAAACAAACAAAAAACATGCACACACCACATACTGGGCCCAATTCAACTTAAAGAGGACCCACCTTGCCGTCTGGGATGGCAGAGGAGTGATGAAGTCCGTGCTGGATGACAACCGGGATTGCTGGAGGGCACGCCCACTTTTAACCATCCTGTCCCCTCCCCTCTACAAGCAGGGAGGGGCAGAGCATGCATGTGATTCCCACACTGTGCCCCCTGGAGACTCCCAGCAACAGAAACAGGCATAAAGACATAAAGCCACCATGCCCCCACAAAAACCATCTTCAAAAGCTTCCAGCAGGAGCAGCTATGATGGCAACAGGCCCAGTGTCCACAGCACTGTGGCCACACTGCTCACAGAGTGCACCTTTTACCCATGAATCACTGAGGACCAAACCTTCACAAGGACATGCAGTCTCAGCCAGGTGCTCTTTACCTTTCAGACACTAGGCACTGTCATTTAGGAGCTACTGACTCCAAATCCTAACATCACTGAAAACAACTTGGTTGGTTCCAAGAAAAGGTTATGTTTGAGAAAAGGAAGGCAAAAGAATAGGCCTGGGCACATAATAGTCCTTGATTCTGAAACCTCAGGGCTCAGTTTTATTCTAGATATAATCTGCAGGTGTAGGGGTGTGTGTGTGTGTGTGTGTGTGTAGGGGTGTGTGTGTGTGTGTGTGTGTGTGTAGGGGTGTGTGTGTGTGAAATCTGCCACAATCTGCAACCACAGTCTTCAGTAACATCCATGATATCACATCAAAAGCAGGGGCCAGTTTCACAGAGCACTTCTTCTGGGCAATTTGTTTACAGACTAGGGAAATAAACTACAGATTTCTTACAGAAAACCAGGTCTCACCTTGCCCAGTAAGCAAGGCTGCTCCCAGGTTGCCATGGAAACAGGGAAGGACTGGGCTAGATCTGGGCAATAAGGCTGAGACAAAGTGGCATTCCTGAAAAAATGGGACCTGGTGGCCCAGCAGTCATGGGAATATACCCGCCCCCCACCTTCTTTTAAATTTTAGAGACAGGGTCTCCCTCTGTTGCCCAGGATGGAGTGCAGTGGCACCATCACAGCGCACTGTAACCTCGAATTCCTGGGCTTCAGCAATCCTCCCACCTCAGCCTGTGGAGTAGCTAGAACTGCAGGCATGTGCCACCACACCTAGCTAAATTAAAAAAAAAAATTCGTAAGTGTCACTAATACTTAAAGGGAAAGCTTGTTTACAGGAGCCCAGTGGAAGCAGACTTCCTTTTGGTGATAAGCCCCCAAGATTCAAGAGTAGGAAAAAAGCCAAATTCACAGTGAAGATAAGCAATGTTGGCTAGGCACTGCCTCCGAGCTGAGTGCCCTGCTCATGCTACCTCCTTTCATTCTCTCAACCACCTACAGATGAGGCACAGGAGCTTAGAAACGCTGGGACCTACCCTCTTATTACTATACTACACTGTCTTCCCAATTCCTTCAGGAGGCTGGCTGCTTTCCCTGAAAATCAAGGAATGGTTATCAAAACCTATAAATATTTATTGGCTCAAAACAGAATAAAGGAATTCTGTCACAAGGCATGACATGGCCAGGCGTGGTTGATCATACCTGTAATCCCAGCACTTTGGGAGGCCAAGGTGGGTGGATCACTTGAGGCCAGGGGTTCAAGACCAGCCTGGCCAACAAAGTAAAATCCCATCTCTACTAAAAATACAAAAACTAGTCAGGCGTGGTGACGTGCACCTGTAGTCCCAGTTACTCGGGAGGCTGAGGCATAAGAATCACTTGAACCCAGGAGTCGGAGGTTGCAGCAAGCCGAGATCCCGCCACTGCACTCCAGCCTGGACAACAGTGGGACTCTGTCTGAAACAAAACAAAACAAACAAAAACAAAAACAAACCAAAAAAAACAAGACATGACTTACATCAGTAATCATGTGGTGAAAAGTTTAGAAAATGCCCTTATATGTAATACAGAGAAGTTAGAAACAAACAGGAAAAAAATACGAACATAATGAGCTAAAAGGCCATTCATACAGAAATTACATGAGGTGACTACGGCATGTTACAAATGAAAGTATCCTCTCCAGACAGTTAGAATGGAGGAGCTTCCTGAGGTCCTGCTCTTTTCCACACACTTTCTTTCTTTCTTCTTTCTTCAGCGGCTTCATCCTGAAGCAGCCCTTGCGGAGATGCTGGAGGGTCACACACATGCTTCTTCACATCCTCGCAGAGTTAAGCACAGTGTCTACTGCTGGACGCCAATCCAGGGACCATGGCTTCTGCTGGGGCTATGCTGGGTCCGATACAGATACGGTGGTTGGTATGGCGCTCCAGCTGCCTGTCTGCCCGCTGACTCCTCAGGACGCACACACTTACCTGGTGACCAGTCAGGAACAGGCCAACACACCAACATGAGGCAGACCCACAGCCCTGCGAGCCTTACCTTATGTACACTTTTGGGGTTTTCCAGCCAAGCACAGTACATCTCCTCCACATAGTTCGAACTAGTCCCACTGAGAAAGGGCTCAGCAGCAACAGGTGCAGAATAGCACCGAATCTGTTGAAATGTCCTAGCTGCTGCTGGTCTGTTTTGTGAAAATGTCTTAACAGTCTGGGAAGCCGTCAATGGCCTCAACTTAGCAGCACAAGTCCTTAAATGAAACATTTTTGTCCTGAAGTTTTTCACAACTGCCTGTACAAAAAAAAAAAAAAAAAAACAAGAAAGAAAGGTTTTAAAAATGAGTATTTAGGAGACAAGGCTACTAGATCCTGATGCTCTAGAGAAAGGATAATTTTTTTTTAAAAGCTACTAGAAAAACAAAAACAAAAACAAAACATGTTCAACTCTAATTGTTGAGGAGAAAGACCCTGGCCTATAAATGTATTCACAAGAGTGCTACCTGCTCAGTGCCACCAGTTCATGTGCCTGAGAGCACAACAGAGCTGTGACTGTGTGAAACTGAAACACACTCTTGCACCTACTAACACAGGATGCCTGTGCGAGCCCAAGGAAGGTGAGTGCACAGTTGCAGATATTACCATCTTCACTTAAAAATTTAAATCTAGGCCAGACTCGGTGGCTCACACCTGTAATCCCAGCACTTTGGGAGGCCAAGGCGGGTGGATCACGAGGTCAGGAGATCAAGACCATCCTGGCCAACATGGTGAAACCACATCTCTACTAAAAATACAAAAATTAGCTGGGTGTGGTGGTGCATGCCTGTAGACCCAGATACTTGGGAGGCTGAGGCAGGAGAATTGCTTGAACCTGGTAGGTGGAGGCTGCAGTGAGCCGAGATTGCACCACTGCACTCCAGCCTAGCAACAGAGTGAGACTCTGTCTCAAAACAAAACAAAACAAAAAACCATTAAATCTAGTTTAAGGGCTAAGATGATAAACATACGATGTTCTTTAAATTTACATATTACATATATATAAAACAATTAGAAGAAAGGCAACAAGGATTAATTAATTTAGAATTAGGATTAGGATTAATTGGAGAATAAGTAAAACATTTTCTAATCTGTCCAGAAACTACTGAGTACCTGCTGTACTTACAATATTATGGAAAATACAAAGAAATTAGAAAAATACTTTCCTTACTCTCAATTTACCCTTGAGCAGAGGAAAAACAACATAGAAAAGATTGCAGAGGAAATATGAGTACTTGAGAGGTGCAGAATATGCCAGCAGACCCTGTGAGAGGATGGGCTCCTTCCAAGTGGGTGTGCCTGAAGACAAAAGGACATGGATGGGAAGGAGGGAAGACGAGGCACTGCATGTGGAAGGACCCATAGGCAGAAACACAGAGACGGGAAGAGCCAGAATCTCATGGTACTACGAAGGGTAAGGAAAAGCCACAGAGGGTTGTCCAGTGTCCTGCCTGCCACCTTCTGCACTCAGCCCCCTTTCATAAGCCATGGGGAGCCAGGTCTGAGCAAGGGAGACGTGGGTGGGGTCTGCAAAGATTGAAAAGAGCACATGGAGCAGTTGTTCAATAATGCCTGCCTACCCTGGGCCCTCCATGGTGAGCAACTCTACGCATCTGACTCATACATAAACCCAGAGGCTCCCAATAAGGCAGGCACCAGCTCTTTCACTTTACAGATAGCTTCAGTTTCTATTCCCTTACATTTCATCCAAGGTCATAGGCTACTAACAGCAGAGTCAGGATCCAAGCGGAAAGTTCACAAGGACGCTGCCTGTGGAAAAAAAGGTGCTTGCTGGCCTACATGGTTGCTCATGAATTTGTCTCAAAGCAGGTGCTCTGGTTGTAAAGTTAGAACTACACTCCATGTCCACACCTACCCGAAGAAAATCCAAGCTCTGAAACATAGTGTGAATTACCCAGAAATAACTGTTACATAAAAATATCTTCTATATTATTTATCAGAAACTTCCTCTTGGCCCAAATATGCTCAGAATACACTTAAGGGACACCAAGAGAGAGGGCTTAGAGTGTCCTGCATTCACCTCTGGCCTGCTCCACTGAGAAGAGATAGGTCAGCAAAAGTAAACAGCAGAA
The DNA here is from genome assembly GCF_000001405.40 of Homo sapiens. Classification (NCBI taxonomy): domain Eukaryota; kingdom Metazoa; phylum Chordata; class Mammalia; order Primates; family Hominidae; genus Homo; species Homo sapiens. Next base: position 44,622,482 of record NC_000007.14, on the reverse strand, counting down.
CATATTCTTTAAAAACAAACTGAACAACAAACAAAAACTTGCTCCTTACAAATTAAAGGTAAACAAGCAATATATTCTGGATATAATTAGGGAATGCAATCTTTACCCCTGGGTTTTCACTTTAGAAATCAAAAGTTTTAAGTTAATTCGGTAGTTCTTCCTACCTCCAACTACACTCCAAGTTTTTCCACTGATATATTTAAGGAAGACAAACAGCCCTAACATTGACAGCAAAAATACTACTGTTGCTTCATTTTATGCTATTTTTTTTTTAATTTCTCAGGCTCAAAGGAAAATGTTCATTTTTTTCCTTTAATGTCATTATTAAGGCAATATTAAATACCCAATTGCCTCTGAGTTGGGTTTTCTCCCAGAAAACAATAGCATCACCTCATTAACTATCAGTATTCAGTTGCTGCAATAGCCCAATTAACAGGCACTGAACTGACAATCGTAAAACACCAATTTCATCTGTTCTTCCCAAAGTGGCCCCTTCCACATGATCCTGTTTAAGTAAATCATGACATTTTGCTATCCGCAGTCACTGAATCTGACACATAGTTAAGTGCTGCCCAGCAGAGCTGCCACAACAGCTGGAGATTTTTTTTTTTTGATACGGAGTCTTGCTCTGTAGTCCAGGCTGGAGTGCAGTGGTGTGATCTCGGCTCAGTGCAACCTCCCATCCCAGGTTCAAGCAATTCCCCTGCCTCAGCCTCCCGAGTAGCTAGGACTACAGGTGCATGCCATCACACCTGGTTAATTTTTGTATTTTTAGTAGAGACAGGGTTTCATTATGTTGGCCAGGCTGGTCTCAAACTCCTGACCTCATGATCTGCCCACCTCAGCCTCCCAAAGTGCTGGTATTACAGGCGTGAGCCACCACACCCAGCTGAGATTTTTAAACTTCCCTTAAGATGACTCACGGGAAGAGCTGCCCTTCAGCAGATGGCTCAACATCCCCAACTCCACCCAGGAACGGCCAGGACAGCTATTTGCTGTCCACACTTTGACAGAACGACAGAGCCAACACTAACGCACATTTCTAATTCTGGTAAATACCCATTCTTCACCTTTCTCTCTTACATAAAACGGCATAAGAAGATATTAAAAGCCAAGCACGGTGGCTCATGCCTATAATCCTAGCACTTTGGGGTGCCAAGGCTTAAGGATTGTTTGAGGCCAGGAGTTTGAGACCAGCCCGGGCAACATAGTGAAACCACATCTCCACAAAAAATTTAAAAGCTATCAGGGTGTGGTGGCACATGTCTGTAGTACCAGCTACCCCGGAGGCTGAGGTGGAAGGATAGCCTGAGCCCAGGAGGTCAAGGCTTCAGTAAGCTATGATCGTGCCACTCCACTCCAGCCTGGGTGACAGAGCGAGACCCTATCTCTAAAAACAAACAAACAAACAAAATATATTAAATACAAAAAGAAGGAAAACTGCCAGCCAGTCAACATTAGGTCTTGAAATTCAACTTAGAATTCTGTAACTGACACTAAGTCAACTTTAAGAATAGTACGTTATTTGGTAGAGACATTCAATTGTTTAAACAATTTTTGTGAAAGCTCCTCTGAGCTGTCCAAAATATCCAAGTGTTTTGATTTTTGGTTTAAAACAGGGATGTCCAATATTTTGGCTTCCCTGGGCCACATTGGAAGAATTGTCTAGGGCCACACATAAAATACACTAACACTAACGACAGCTGATGAGCTTTAAAAAAAAAAAAATCGCAAAAACATCTCATAATGTTTTAACAAAGTTTACAAACTTGTGTTGGGCCACATTCAAAGCTGTCCTGGGCCACATGTGGCCCACGGGCTGGGAGTTGGACAAGCTTGCTTTAAAAGAATATTTCTATTTAAATGGGTGCCAACTCCATTCAGCAGGGAAAAGAACAGTCTTTTCAACTGAAGGTGCTGGGACAACTAGAGTTCCACGTCTAAAGAGGAATGAAGTTGCATAGACATATACAAACAAAATTCAAAATGGATCAAAGACCTGAATGTAAGAGACAAAACTATAAGATACTTAGAAGTTTTATAACTTCCATGAAGTAAATCTTTGTAACCTTGATTCAAGCAATGTATTCTTAGTTATGACACCACAAGTATAAACAACAAAATAAAAACCACAAATTGGATTTCATCAAAATAAAAAATCTGGCCAGGAGCGGTAGCTCACGCCTGTAATCTCAGTGCTTTAGGAGGCTGAGGCAGGCGGATCACTTGAGGTCAGGGGTTCGAGACCAGCCTAGCTAACATGGCGAAACGCCGTTTCTACTAAAAATACAAAAATTAGCTGGGCATGGTCATGCATGCCTGTAGTCCCAGCTGCTTGGGAGGCTGAGACAGGAGAATCCCTTGAACCCAGGAGACAGAGGTTGCAGTGAGCTGAGATCGCACCACCGCACTCCAGCCTGAGTGACAGAGCGAGACTCTGTCTCAAAACAAAACAAAACAAAAAATTTTTGTGCTTCAAAGAACTTATTAAGAAAGAAATGATATAGATGGGAGAAAATATTTGCAATTATCTGATAAGGAACTTATATACAGAATATATAAAGAACTCTCATAATGCAACAGTAAAAAGACAACCCAATCAAAAAATAGGTAAAGGATTTGAATAGATATTTGTCCAAAGAAGATATACTAACAGCCAATAAACACATAAAGTCACCATATAACACAGCAATTACACTCCTAGATATATAATCAAGAGAAATGAAAATGTATGTCCACAAAAAAAACTTGTACACAAATGCTCATAGCAGCATTATTGTTGCTATGAGCAACAACAGTTGAAACAGTAGAAACAACAGTAGAAACAACTCAAATGTCCATCACTGACGAATGGATAAGCAAAACGTGTTATATCTATAGAATATAACAGCATTCTGCAATGAAACTAAGGAAGTGCTGGTGCATGCTCCAACCTGGAGGAACCTTGAAAACATTATGCTCAGTAAAAAGCAGCAGACGCAAAAGACATATTATGAGTCTATTCCTCTGCTCTCACACAACAACCAACACAGAAGATTTCTGTGACTAAATGTGTGGGGAATTCTCCCTACCAATAAGCAATTCAATTCTGCTGCTACCTACCTGGAGACAGCATCAGATACCACAGGTCAAGGGCTCAATCCCACAAGGCTGCCTCCTACTTCCGATGTCAATCGCAAGCCCCCAGTTGTCTTACTTGTACTTCTGGCCAACCAGCTAGAAACTGGAGATCCCATGACCCCCTCCTTTGGTTCAATAAATTTCAGGAAACACTTACTTACATCTACTGTTTTTTTCAAAGAATATAACATAGGATGTGGATTAAGAGTTGCACAGGTCAAGGTGTAGGATGGGGTAAGGAGGCTTCCATACCCTCCCCAGGCATGCCACCCTCCAGGAATCTCCACATGTTCAGCTATCCAGAAGCTCTCCGTACCCCATCCTCTTGGGCCTTTTATGGAGACTTCATTGGATATGCATGACTGAAGCATAGATAACCATGTAGATAGGTGATCAGGCAAAAAGGGTATGATCTAATACCAACAGACCGAGTGGGGAAACCCAGCCAGGCCTGTTTGTTCAGATTCTTCTTGGCCTCTCTGTGCAGGATTCCTTCCTGTGGGTGTGAGGCAGGACTCCTGAAGTGGGTGTCTTGTGACCTACAATCAGACAAGGTAGGTCAGAGAATTTCTTTATTGCCGGCTCCAAGACAGAACAGTGGAGGAATATTAGAGTATATTTTTAGTTTCTATGGCCTCCCTTGGGGAGAAAAAGCAGCAGGTGAAAGGAGTGCCACAGGCCTGTTTCTGGGGCCTAAAGCACCCCAACATTGTAACAAAAGACTTCCACCTTTATCACTCTGAAGCTGTTTGGAAGCTACTTCAGGAACCAAGGAGAAATACTTTAACAAAATACATGCTTATTTTAGTTACTTAGGAAATAACAAGAACTATGGAACCAGGAATCATGGACAAAAACCCATATACGATAATAATATCACATTCCAGAATAGGCAAATCTATACAGAGAGAAAGTAGATTAGTGGTTGCCTGGGGCTGGGGCAGAGAAATGAGGGAAGGATGAGGAGTAACTCAATGGACATAGGGCTTTCTTTTTGGGAGGAGAGGATGAAAATGCTCTAAAACTAGATTGTGCTGATGGTGTCACAACCCTCTAATATACTGAAAAACATTCACCTTACAATTTAAATGAGTGAATTGTATGGTATGTGAATTATGTCTCAATAAAGTTATTTTTTTAATGTGTAAGAAAAAATGTAACTGAACTTATCACTGTACACAAAAATGATACAAGTTGTAATCCATTAATTTCAAGATGCAAAAATAAACACATACATTTGGGAAAAATAAGTTGTACAAAGAAAAAAAGTAAAAACCAAAGGAAAATTAGTTTTTAGGTGTTAAACGCCCTGCCCTTAGGAAACGATATACTTAAATAGGGTTCTGTCTGAAATATGAAGCCTTCGAGGTCTATGCCTCGAATTTCCCCAGTTGGGTAGGAGGTACCCTATCCCAGGGCACAAAGAATGAGGGAAATAAACCAACTACTGACGCCTATCAATATGACATTGGCTAGGTAGGGGGGTGATTAAAAAGGCAAGACCTAGCAAAAACAGTCTGCTGTTTCTCAGTAAATAAGTCTTTGAGGGAAAAAAACCCACACATCATTACATGATCCTTAAACCCTATGAGTGTTAGCTGGCAACCATTTTAAAGGACAACTCATCCACTTTCTTTTTTTCAGTTTCAGACTCAATTCTTCTGATGAATCATGAACACATTTGCTACAGACCTATGGCTGTTGTCTCATGCCTGCAATTATTTTTGTTTTAGTAGTAATACAAAGAACTCATGTACAGAGTACAGATATCAATTCTCCCTTATTGGCTGAGAATCTCAAAGAATTTATTATCTTTCACTAGTGACACCTCATTACATATAAGCTGAGGGAAGTAGTGAGGATTACTTTTAAACTGTAAAGTTTTTTTTCATTGCTAGATGGAAACAATTGTTGAGCCTGCAGGTACAGAGACCGTGTGACACCAAGTCACTGTGTGAGCTTTCCTGGGCCAACAGAGACCACGTGACACCAAGTCACTGTGTGAGCTTTCCTGGGCCATAAAGTGGAGACAGTAATTACTCCTAACCCCCTCATAATGTCTTTTTGTAATTGTAACACAAATATGAAAGCACTTTGAAAACTTGAAGGTATATCTATGACTAAAGAAATGGTTGGGTATGGTGGTTCATGCCTGTAATCCCAGCACTTTGGGAGGTCGAGGTGGGTGGATCACCTGAGATCAGGAGTTTGAGACCAGCCTGGCCAACATGCTGAAACCCCGCCTCTACTAAAACTACAAAAAAATTAGCTGTGCATTGTGGCGGGTGCCTGTAGTCCAGCTACTTGGGAGGCTGAGGCAGGAGAATTGCTTGAACCCGGGAGGTGGTTACTGTGAGCCGAGATCGCGCCACTGCACTCCAGCCTGGACGACAGAGTGAGACTCCAGAGCTCCGAAAGGAGTCTCGCTCTGTCGTCCAGGATGGAGTGCAGTGGCGCGATCTCGGCTCACATATATACATATATATATACGTATATATATATGTGTATATATATACACGTATATGTGTATATATACACATATATACGTATATATGCATATATATACACATATATATATGCATATACACATATACGTGTATATATATACACATATACACTTATATACGTATATATGTGTATATATACATAAACATGTGTGTATATATATACATATACATATGTGTATATATACGTATATACGTATATATATGTGTATATATACATAAACATGTGTATATATATATACATATATATATGTAGCCTAGGAAAAAAGGCAAACTAGTGATATAAAAAGTTCAAGTTTCCAAGATATTTAAACCTAAACATTAGCTAATTTGGAGTGGCGGTCAACTGGTAACTTCCAAAACATTAGTAGGCTGTCTCCATCATTTAGCACAGAAGCCTATTTAGCTCACCAATCATGGGTGGTCACCACTGGTAGGGACTGACACCTCCCTGATCAGATCCCTGAGTACGCTTCAGTATATAGGTCTGAAGACTGTTCTGCCCTTTCCCTGAGACGTGGCCCCACAGCATCTGAGATGCCCATGACTGATGTGGTATAAACAGGTTGACTGGGGAGGGTGTAGATAAATAGGCACTTTTAAAAGGTATTGATAGAGTGTAAATTATTAAATCTTTATGGAAAGCAGGACAATTTTTCAACATCTCATTAAAGCATATATAAAACGTGTTTCCTGCTAAATATAGCTAAAAACATGAGGCGTTACATTTAAGACAAAACAAGACTGTGAAAGGTGGAGAGAAGGAAGCAGACTGGCTAGGAACCAGAGGACCCAAAGAAAGAGCATTGAGGTTTTTTTTTTTTTTCTTTCTGTCAGGGTCTTGCTCTGTTGCCCAGGCTGGAGTGCAGTGGTGTGATCTCGGCTCACTGCAGCCTGGACCTCCCAGGCTCAAGTGATTCTCCCACCTCAGTCCCCCAAGTAGCTGAGACTACTACAGGCGCACATCACCATGCCTGGCTAATTTTTGTATTTTTTATAGAGACAGTTTTGCCATGTTGGCCAGGGTGGCCTCGAACTCCTGACCTCAAGTGTCAGACTCCCAAAGTGCTAGGATTACAGGTATGAGCCACCACACCCAGCCGAGCACTGAGTTCTTGATTTTCTTTATGCTTCATGTGTTTCAGACCTGGGTACTCGAGAAGCCTACAACCCAGAAATGCCAACAGGTGTAGACAAAGAAAACTACAAACAGAAACCTGTTCTCTCTAGCCAAAGGACCAGGAAAAGAGCAGCAAGATGGAAAACTTTTAAAGTTTTAAACAACAATTGCTCTACTGCGGCCAAATTCCACAGGAAATATCCTCACTCCACTCAGCTGGTGTCAGAATAGGGACCAGGGACTTTCATCCCCACCTGGTGAATAATGAGCCCTTCCAACTCACTCCCTGATAAGATAGTGGAGACCAGGTAGGGAGTCTGGATTTCAATCCCATCCAGCAGTAATGAAGCAGCACCCCTCCCTTCCCAGGCAGGGTGATGTCACCAAGGCCTAATGGGGAACTCTTACAGTCATACAGCAATAACAAGGAATCCCTCCCCCCAGACACCGCACCAGCAACAGTGAGGAAGCAGCCCCTCCCTGCCCCAGCAGAGGAAGCCTGCATTGCTTAGAGATTTAAACAAGATCAAGAGTCCATAACATAACACCCAGAATGTCCAGGTTGCAAGTCAAAGATCACTCTTTACACCAAGGGCCAGGATAATCTTGTCCGGGCATGGTGGCTCATACCTGTAATCCCAGCACTTTGGGAGGCTGAGGTAGGTGTTATCACTTGAGGTCAGGAATTCAAGACCAGCCTGGCCAACATGGTGAAGCCCTATCTTTACAAAAATACAAAAATTAGCCTGGCATGGTGGCACATGCCTGTAATCCCAGCTACTTGGGAGGCTGAGGCAGGAGAATCGCTTGAACCCAGGAGGTTGCAGTGAGCTGAGATCGCGCCACTGCACTCCAGCCTGGGCGACAGAGCGAGACTTCATCTCAAAAAAAAAAAAAAAAAAAAGAACCAAAAGAACCGGGATAATTTCAAACAAAAAAAGACAATCTATAGACACCAATACCAAGATGACGTAGACTTACAATTATCTGACAAAGATTCTAAAAGAGGCATCCTCAAAATGCTTCCACGAGCAACTATGAACATGCTTGAAACAAATGAAAAATAAAGTTTCAGCAAAGAGAAGATGTAGAGAACAAAACAGACATTTCAGAACTGAAAAATGCACTAAGCAAAAGAAAAAAGCTTTAGCATGGGTTAAAGGGCAGAATAAAGACAGAGGAAATCAGTGAACTTGAAGACAGAACAAGGCCTCAGGGAAATAACAAAAGATCTAATATTAATGTCATTGGAGTCCCTGATGAAGGCAGAAGGAGGGGCTGGAAAAGCATTCAAAGAAATAATGGCTACAAATCTCCCAAATCTGGCAAAAGGCATAAAGAACCCCGTGAAGAATAAACCCAAATAAATGCACACCAAGACACATCATAAACAAATTCAGAAAACTCAATACAAAAAACAAACAAACAAAAAAAACAAAAAAAACCAAAACCTTGAAGGCAGCCAGAGAGAAATGGTGCATTATACACAAGAAAAAAAAAAAAAAAGGCCTGTAATCCCAGCACTTTGGGAGGCTGAGGTGAAAGGATAGCTTGCCTAGGGGTTTGAGACCAGCCTTGGCAACAGAGCAAGACCCTATATCTACAAAAAATAAAAATTTTAAAAAGACAGCTAGGCCAGGTGCCGTGGCTCATGCCTGTAATCCCAGCACTTTGGGAGGCCGAGGCGAGCGGATGGCCCGAGTTTGGGAGTTTCAGACCAGCCTGACCAACATGGAGAAACCCCGTCTCAACTAAAAATACAAAATTAGCTGGGAGTGGCAGCACATACCTGTAATCCCAGCTACTCGGGAGGCTGAGGCAGGAGAATCACTTGAACCTGAGAGGTGGAGGTTGCAGTGAGCTGAGATCACGCCATGGCACTCCAGCCTGTGCAACAACAGCAAAATGCCATCTTCAAAAAAAAAAAAAAAAAAAAGCCAGGTGGCTGGGCCCAGTGGCTCACACCTGTTATCCCAGCACTTTGGGAGGCCGATGTGGGCAGATGACTTGAGGTCAGGAGTTTGAGAACGGCCTGGCCAACATGGTGAAACCCCATCTCGACTAAAAATATAAAAATTATAGCCGGGCGTGGTGGCTCACGCCTGTAATCCCAGCACTTTGGGAGGCCGAGACGGGTGGATCACGAGGCCAGGAGATTGAGACCATCCTGGCTAACACGGTGAAACCCCATCTCTACTAAAAATACAAAAAATTAGCCAGGCATGGTGGTGGGCGCCTATAGTCCCAGCTACTCGGGAGACTGAGCAGAAGAATGGCGTGAACCTGGGTGGCAGAGCTTGCGGTGAGCCAAGATCGCATCACTGCACTCCAGCCTGGGTGACAGAGTGAGACTCCGTCTCAAAACAAACAAACAAACAAATAAACAAACAAACAAAACAGCCAGGTGTGGTGGCGGGTGCCTATAGTCCCAGTTACTCAGGAGGCCGAGGTGAGAGAATAACATGAATCTGGGAGGCAGAGGTTGCAGTGAGCCGAGATCACAACACTGCATTCCAGCCTGGGCGACAAAGTGAGACTGTCTCAAAAAACAAAAACAAAAACAAGCCAGGCGCAGTGGCTCATGCCTGTAATCCCAGCACTTTGGGAGGCAGAGGCAAGTGGATCACGAGGTCAGGAGATCGAGACCATCCTGGCTAACATGGTGAAACCCTGTCTCTACTAAAAATACAAAAAAATTACGTTGGTGGCACGTGCCTGTAGTCCCAGCTACTCAGGAGGCTGAGGCAGGAGAATTGCTTGAACCCAGGAGGCGGAGGTTGCAGTGAGCCGAGATCGCGCCACTGCACTCCAGCCTGGGCGACAGAGTGACACTCCGTCTCAAAAAAAAGAAAAGAAAAGAAAAGAAAAGAAAAAAAACAGCCAGGCGTGGTGGTACGTGCCTGCAGTCCCAGCTACTCAGGAGGCTGAAGTAGCAAGATTGCTTGAGCCTGGAAGTAGAGGCTGCAGTGAGCTGTGATAATGCCACTCTACTCCAGCCTGGGTGACAGAGTAAGACCCTGCCTCAAAAATAATAAATAAGTATAATGAAGAAAGGTGGCCAGGCGTGGTGGCTCACGCCTGTAATCCTAGCACTTTGGGAGGCCGAGGCGAGTGGATCATGAGATCAGGAGTTCAAGACCAGCCTGGCCAACATGGTGAAACCCCATCTCTACTAAAAATAAAAAAAATTAGCAGGGTGTGGTGGTGCATGCCTGTAGTCCCACCTACTCGGGGGTCTGAGGCAGGAGAATCGCTTGAACCCAGGATGCAGAGGTTGCAGTGAGCCGAGATCATGCCCATTGCACTCCAGCCTGGGCAACAGAGTAAGACTCCGTCACAAGAAAAAAAAAAGAAAGGCAAAAGAACTAGATTAGCTGAAACAATTTTGAAAAAGAAGTGAGAGAAATCAATCTATCCGATTTTGAGACTTCTTATGAGCTACAATAATAAAAACTCTCGGTATTGGTGATGGGATAGACACAAAGATCAATGGAATGCAACAGAGAATCAGAAACAGAGTCACACAAGTACAGCCAAGTGATTTCTGACGAAAGTGCAAAAGCAATTCAATGGAAGAAAAACAGTCTTCTCAAACAAACGGTGCTGGTTAGATATTCATAAGCAAAAACCCCCCACAAAAACCAAAAAACACTCAAACTTTAAACCACATACAGAAATTAACTCCAAATGGATATACCTAATGTAAATGACGAGTTAATGGGTGCAGCACACCAACATGGCACATGTATACATATGTAACAAACCTGCATGTTGTGCACATGTACCCCAGAACTTAAAGCATAATAATAAAAAAAAACATTAAAACTTTTAGAATATCTATTTGATCTTGAGTCTTTAGGACTCAAAAAAAGCTGGCCACAAGACTAAATTTATATCAATTACATTAAAATTAAAAACTGTTCATCAAAAAGTACCATAAAGTGAAAACATAAAAAAAAAAAGAAAAAAGAAATTAAGTCTAAATGAATCATAGATTTAAATGTAAAATTTAAAAATTTTATAAAAGTGGCCAGGCGCAGTGGCTCACGCCTGTAATCCTGGCACTTCAGGAAGCCAAGGTGGGAGGATTGCTTGACCCCAGGAGTTTGAGACCAGTCTGGGCAACATGGCAAAACCCGTCCCTACAAAAAATACAAAAATTAGGCCAGGCACGGTGGCTCACGCCTGTAATCCCAGCACTTTGGGAGGCCGAGGCGGGGGGGATCACGAGGTCAGGAGATCGAGACCATCCTGGGTAACACAGTGAAACCCCGTCTCTACTAAAAAATACAAAAAAAAAAAATTAGCCGGGCATGGTGGCGGGCACCTGTAGTCCCAGCTACTCAGGAGGCTGAGGTGGGAGAATGGCATGAACCCGGAAGGCGGAGGTTGCAGTGAGCTGAGATCGTGCCACTGCACTCCAGCACTCCAGCCTGGGCGACAGAGCGAGACTCCGTCTCAAAAAACCAAAAAACAAAAAATACAAAAATTAGCCAGGCATGGTGCAGACTCCGGTACTCTTAGCTACTCAGGAGGCTGAGGTGTGAGGATCACCGGATCACCTGAGCCCAGGAGGTTGAGGCTGCGGTGAGCTGTGATCATGCCACTGCACTCCAGCCTGGGGTGACAGAGTAAGACCGTGTCTCCAAAAAAAAAAAAAAAAAAATTTAGAAAAATACATATGATAAAATCTTCAGGAATTTGGGCTAGGCAAAGAGTTCTTCAACTCAACACCAAAAGCAATCTAACAAAAGATAAAATTGGTAAACCAGACCTCATCAAAATTATAAACTTTTGCTTTGCAAAAGACCCCGTTAAGAAGATGAAAAGGGGCTGAGCGCGGTGGCTCACGCCTGTAATCCCAGCACTTTGGGAGGCCAAGGGGGTGTCGATCACGAGGTCAGGAGATCCAGACCATCCTGGCTAACACAGTAAAAGCCCGTCTCTACTAAAAATACAAAAGAATTAGCCGGGCGTGGTGGCACGCGGCTGTAGTCCCAGCTACTTGGGAGGCTGAGAAAGGCTTGAACCGGGGAGGTGGAGGTTGCAGTGAGCCAAGATTGCACCACTGCACTCCAGCCTGGGCAACAGAGCAAGACTCCGTCTCAAACAAACAAACAAACAAAAAGATGAAAAGGGCTAGGAGCAGTGGCTCACGCCTGTAATCCCAGCACTCTGGGAGGCTGAGGTGGACAGATCGCGAGGTCAGGAGTTCGAGACCAGCCTGACCAACACGGTGAAACCCCGTCTCTACTAAAAATACAAAAATTAGCCAGGTGTGGTGGCAAGCGCCTGTAATCCCAGCTACTCAGGAGGCTGAGGCGGAAGAATCGCTTGAACCTGGGAGGCAGAGGTTGTAGAGATTACGCCACTGCACTCCAGCCTGGGGGACAGAACGAGACTCCATCTCAAAAACAAAACAAACAAACAAACAAAAAAAAAACCAAGATGAAAAGACATGCTGCTGACTAGGAGAAAATATCTGCAAACTACATATCCAACAAAGCAGTGGTATCTAGAATACATTAGGAATTCTCAAAGCTCAACAGTTAACAAAAACCGAACAATCTAATTACGAAATGAACAAAAGATATGAACAGACATTTCACCCGAGAGTATACAGGGGCCAGGCATGGTGGCTCATGCCTGAAATCCTAGCCTTTGGGAGGCTAAGACAGGAGGATCACTTGATCCCAGGAGTTCAAGACCAGCCTGGGCAACATAGCAAGATCCCATCTCTTCCAAAAAAAGAGAGAATAGACAGATGGCAAATAAGCACATGAAAAGATGTTCAACATCATTAGCCATCAGAAAAATGCAAATTACAACCACAAAGAGACATTACTACACATTTATTGGAATGGCTATAATAAAAAAAGTAACATCACCAAATGCTGGCAAGTATGTGGAGAAACAAGACCATACAGTGCCGGTGGGAATGTAAAATAGTACAATCACTCTGGAAAACAGTTTGGCTATTTGTTTAATAACTAAGCACGCACTACGACTTAGTGATTGTATTCCTGGGCATTTATCTTGGAGAAATGTCAATTTATGTTCAAATAAAAATCTGTACATGAAGGTTTGTAGCAGCTTTATTTGTAATAGCCAAAGAATGGAAACAGTAAAGATGTCTTTTAATGGATGAATAAACCAAATGTGGTACATCCATAGCCCAATAGCCCGGCTTCAATAAAAAGGAATGAAGTACCTTTTTTTTTTTTTTTTTGAGACAGGGTCTCACTCTGTCACTCATGCTGGAGTGCAGTGGCGCGATCTCGGCTCACCGCAGCCACCACAGCCTAGGCTCAAGCGATCCTCCCACCTCAGCTTCCTGAGTAGCTGGGATTACAGGAACACACCACTGCGCCTGGCTAATTTTTTTTTTTTTTTTTTTTTGTAGAGACGAGGTCTCACTATGTTCCTCAGACTCGAACTCCTGGGGCTCAAGCGATCTGCCTGCCTCAGCCTCCCAAAGTTGCTAGGATTACAGGCGTAAGCCACTGCGCCTGGCCAAGGAATGAACTACCCATAACACGCAACAACCTGGATGATTCTCCAGGGAATTAAGCTGACTGGAAAAAACCAATCCCAAAAGGCTCTATGAATCCTTTTATTTGGCATTCTTGACATGCCAAAATTAGGGAAATGAAGAACAGATTAGTGGTTACCAGGAGTTGAAGGACTGGGAATGGGAGGAATGTGGGTGTGGCTATAAAAAAGCAATGGAAGGGATCCTTGTGATGACGGGAATATTCTGTATCTTGAATTTTATTAATGTCAATATCTGGCTGTGATATTTACTATAGTTTTGCACAATGTTAGAGAAGTGGGAAAGGAACACAGGATCTCTCTGTACTATTTATTATGACTGCATAGAATAAATTTTTATGTACAATTTCTTAAAATTTTACTGTTTTCAAAATGAATTTCTCAATAATTTGTACAATGATCTCAAAAATTACCTAAAAATCTAAAAAGTAGATGATACTGTAGTTTTTTCTTTCCTTTTTTTTTTGAGATGGAGTCTTGCTCTGTCGCTCAGGCTGTAGTGCCGTGGCGCCATCTCGACTCGCTGCAACCTCTGCCTCCTGCGTTCAAGCGATTCTCCTGCCTCAGCCTCCTGCTGAGGCTGGAGGAGCTCAGCCTGTAGCTGAGACTACAGGCCCACGCCACCATGCCCTGCTAACTTTTGTATTTTTAGTAGAGACAGGGTTTCACCATGTTGGCCAGGCTGGTCTCAAACTCCCAACCTCAGGGGATCCACCCACCTCGGCCTCCCAAAGTGCTAGGATTACAGGCGTGAGCCACTGCGCCCGGCCTTTTTTTTTGAGACAGGATCTCACTGTGTCACCCAGGCTAGAGTGCAGTGGGGCAATAATGGCTCACTGCAGCTTGGACCTCCCTGGCTCATGCCATCCTCCCGCCTCAGCCTCCTGAGTAGTTGCGACTACAAGTATATGTGGTATATGCCACCATATCCGGATAATTTTATTTTTTGTAGACGCCGGGTATCACTTTGGTTGCTCAGGCTGGTCTCCTTGAACTGAGCTCAAGGGATCTTCCTTTCACACTCCCAAAGTGTGGGGATTACAAACGTGAGCCACCACGACTGGCCGAAATTGTGCACGTCAAATGGGTGAATCGTATGGTATGTGAATTTTATCTCAATAAAGATGTTATTTAAAGGGAAAAAGTAACTGAAATGTGAAAAGTGCGCTTAAAAAAAATAATGAGGGGCCGGGCGCAGTGGCTCACGCCTGTAATCCCAGCACTTTGGGGGCCGAGGCGGGCGGATCACCTGAGGTCAGGAGTTCGAGAATAGCCTGGCCAAGGTGGTGAAAACCCGTCTCTACTAAAAATACAAAAATTAGCCGGGCGTGATGGCGCGTGCCTGTAATATCAGCTACTTGGGAGGCTGAGGCAGGAGAATCACTTGAACCCAGGAAGGCAGAGGTTGCAGTGAGCCGAGATCGCGCCACAGCACTCCAGCCTGGGCGACAGAGACTCCATCTCAAACAAGACAACAACAACAAAAAATGAGCATACAGTGATCTTTATTCAACTTCCCAAGATCCAGTCCTCAGCTAATTTACAAAACTACAATAGTGTTACATACTCTCCTAGGTCTACACGGCAAAGTACAGTTTGACTGTTGCAACTAGTGCTGCCTTACAAAAAAAGGCTTTATCCCATGCCACCCATCCTAAACCCAGCTGTTCAGAGCAGTGTACCTGGAAATCAGCCTCAAAGTACGGACTGCAAGACAAGGCACAAGGAAACCCTAACACGAAGTCCTATGTTCTGGGCAAAGGGATGGGGATGGCAGGTGGGACGCACCCAGGTCAGGGCGAGGGCGCGGCAAGTTTTCTATTAAATCTCAGTAGATTACAACTCATATCCAATGTCTGATATATTTTCGAGGGAAAATGGTGCTTGAAAGATGTTTCTACGAGAAATAAGCTTCATCTCGGTCAATCTGTTCGACCCAACTTCTGGCAGCAGGTGTGGGGGCGGCGCCAAGGTCTGCGCGGTAATCCAAACAGGCAGTCCCACCCAGGGCCACCCCAAAGCCAGATGCTCCGACGCAACTCGAGCAGGCCACACTGTCTTTCGGACAAAGCGACGCGGTCCTCACAGGCGGGAAGGAGAGTGCGTCCCGGTCGGGAAGGACGCCGTCGGAGAGCGGCCTAACCACGTGACGCCCGCGGCGACCTTGGGGGTCACCCCTGCGGACGCACCGCCCTCTCCCTCACATCCGCCGCCGCGCCCGCCCCCCGCTCGCCCACCGCCAATGGCGCGTCGCTCCGCGCCCCGCGCGACCTCGGAGCCCGCCCGTACCCGCCAATCTCCGCCCGCCGGGCAGGCCCCGCGGCTCCATTGGCTGCCACGGCCATCCATCAGGTCCCGTCCCTCCTACCACCCTCCGTGAGCCCCACTCCATCCAGCTCCACTCCCCTGTCACCGCGGCGCCCGCAGCACCAAGGGCGCGGCGGCCTCCCCCTTTACCGCGATCTCCAACCCCGGGCCGCCAAGCGCCGCGACACCCGGCACTGGGACGGGCGCGGCGACAGCGCACGGTTACCTGTCTCCGGCTCAGCTCCACCCGAATGAGGCGCCGACACCCCACTCCGGGGCTCCAAACTCTCGGCCCCGCCCCGGCGTATGGCGTCAACACGTAGCCCTCCCCTGGAGAAGAATGCCCTCCCCTCTTACAGAGGACCGATTCGTGACGTCACAGAGCCGCGCCGGGCGTCACAGCGCCGACTGCGCAGTTGCAGAAGCCAGGGCCAGCTGGAGCCCAGCTGTTTGCTCCGCTAGAGAGATGAGGTTGTCTATGGACTTCCAGCGGCTTCTGCTATCATAAATAATTTCTGAAAGTAAGATATCTCTAGCGCCTGGTAGGAACCTATCAAGAGATAGTTGGGTTGATGTGAAACTTAGCGCACAAAAATAAACAATTTGAATAACAGAATCTCCGTTTTTGAGATTGTCCTGGGTCAGGCTTTGTGACAAGCGCTTCACCGGCGCTATTGTGTAACAATCTGTGAGACAGGTGTTCCTATCCCCGGTCTACAAATGACAGTTGGCAGTGCTGGGATCTTGCCCGGGATCTTGCCTGGGTTTTCTTGACTTTAGAGCTACCTATCAAAGATAAAACGTGGCTAATTAACCTGTCACAACCTGTTGATTGTAAGATGTTCCCTATTTTAAAGTATTAAAATTTGGGGAAAGGCCGGGCGCGGTGGCTCACGCCTGTAATCCCAGTACTTTGGGAGGCCGAAGCGGGCGGATCACTTGAGGTCAGGAGTTCGAGACCAGCTTGACCAACATGGGGAAACCCCGTCTCTACTAAAAATACAAAAATTAGCTGGGCGTGGTGGCGATCCCAGCTACTCGGGAGGCTGAGGCAGGAGAGTCGCTAGAACCCGGGAGACGGAGGTTGCGGTGTGCCGAGATCGTGCCATTGCACTCCAGCCTGGGCAACAAGAGCGAAAATCCGTCTCAAAAAACAAACAAAAAAAGGGGGCGTATAAGTGCTTATTATAGAACAAAGTTAGGGTAATGTATGTGACAAGGATCTAGAGACTGGAAGAGGTGAAGAGACCAAGGAACAAACTTCTGTATTCTTTTTTCCTTTTTTTTTTTTAAATAAATTACGGTAAAAATGTATGTACTAAACATTTGCAGCTGGGTGCAGTGGCTCACGCTTGTAATCCCAGCACTTCGGGAGGTGGAGGCGGGAGGATCGCTTGAGCTCAGGAGTTCCAGATCAGCCTGGGGAACAGAGCAAGATCTCATTTCTACTAAAAAATCAAGAAAATTAGCCAGGTGTAGTGGCACTCACCTGTAGTCTCAGCTAATTGGGAGGCTGAGGCAGGAGGATCTCTTGAGCCTGAGAGATTGAGGCTGCAGTGAGCTATGATTGTACCACTGCACTCCAGCCTGGGCCAGAGAGCAAGATACTGTCTTTTTTTTTTTAATGCCATTTTAACCATTTTTAGGTGTATAACTCAGTGGCATTAATTACATTCACAATATTATGCAACCGTCACCACTCAATTTCCAAAACTTTTTCATCACCTGAAACAGCAACTCTGTAACCATTAAGCAATAACTTCCTATTTCCCCTTCTCCTCCTGTCCTTCTCTCCTTTGGTAACCTCTATTATACGGTCTCTATACATTTGATTACTCAATTACTTTATGTGGGTGAAATCATAATGTATATGTCCTTTTGTGTCCACCTTATTTCATTGAGCATGAGGTTGTCAAGGTTTATCTGTGTTGTAGCATGGGTCAGAACTTCATTTCTTTTTTTTTTTTTTGAGACAGGATCTCCCTCGGTTTCAGGCTGGAGGGCAGTGGTGCCATCTCAGCTCACTGCAATCTCTGCCACCCAGGTTCAAGTGATTCTGATGCCTCAGCCTCCCAAGTAGCTGGGACTACTGGCACGCTCCACCATGCCTGGCTAATATTTTTTTCTTTTTCTTTCTTTCTTTTTTTATTTTTGAGATGGTGTTTCGTTCTTGTTGCCCAGGCTGGAGTGCAGTGGTGTCATCTCGGCTCACTGCAACCTCTGCCTTGTAGATTCAAGCAATTCTCCTGCCTCAGCCTCTCAAGTAGCTGGGATTATAAGCGCCCGCCACTACGCCCAGCTTATTTTGTATTTTTAGTAGCGATGGGGTTTCACCATGTTGGCCAGGCTGGTCTTGAACTCTTGACCTCAAGTGATCCACCCACCTCGACCTCCCAAAGTGCTGGGATTACAGGCATGAGCCCCCATGCCTGGCCAGAACTTCATTTCTTTTTATGGCTGAATAATATTCCATTGTATGTATATACCACATTTTGTTTATTTATTCATCTATTGATGGACACTTGGTTATTTCTGCTTTTTTGCTGTTTTGAATAATGTTGCAATGAACATTGGCTTATAAATGTTTGAGCCCATTGTGGTACCAAGCAGTGGGCTCACTGCTAGATGCACATAGAAGCCAATACTATGTCATCACCTTTTGAGAAAAGGCTTTATCGTAAGGTCGACCAGCAGGGAAACCAGAGGCAATACTCAAATTTGTCTCCCCAAGATGGAATCTGGGGGCAGGTTTTATAGGCAGAAGGCAACTATGAGGGAGATGGGAAAATACAACAAGGTGTGATCTGTTTGGGTCATGCAAAGGGGCAATGCTGGATCTTTGGCTTTTAAGTTCATATTGCAGCAAAACAAGGCGCCCCATGCTTCCTAATTTGGTGTCCATTCCTCCATTTGAGTGGTTAAGTCCTGCCTGTGGTTGACTTTTGTGTTCCCACCGACACCAGGGTCAGCTATCAGGCACACTTTGTTCATCTGGGCATACTTAGGTTACGTGACTTGCAGCCTGGGGATCTATTGTAACTGAAAAACAACTCATCATTTTGTTACTGATAAAAGTTGAACCAGGCTGGGCACAATGGCTCACACCTGTAATCCCAGCACTGTGGGAGACTGAGGTGGGTGGATCACCCGAGGTCAGGAGTTCAAGACCAGCCTGGCCAGCAGGGCGAAACCCCCATCTCTACTAAAAATACAAAAAAATTAGCCAGGCTGGTGGTGGGTGCCTGTAATCCCAGCTACTTGGGAGGCTGAGGCAGGAGAATCGTTTGAACTCGGGAGCCGGAGGTTGCAGTGAGCCAAAACCGCTCCTTTGCACTCCAACCTGGGCAAGAAGAACAAAACTCCATCTCAAAAAAAAAAAAAAAAAAAAAAACTGAATCAGATTCAACTGGTCCTGTGGTTACACCTGTTTATAATTCTTTTGCCTGTATACCTGGGAGTGTAATTTCTGAGTTATATGGGAATTCTGTCTAGCTTTTTCAGGAAGTGATAAATTCCCACAGTGACCGCACCTTTTTTGTTTGTTTGTTTTTGAGACAAGGTGTCAGGTTGGAGTGCAGTAGTGTGATCACAGCTCACTGCAGCCTCAACCTCCGGGGCTCAAGTGATCCTCTCAGCTCACGCTCCTGAGTAGCTGGGACAATGGGCATGCACAACCAGGCTAGGCTAATTTTTTCTGTTTTTTGTAGAGACAGGATCTTGCTGTGTTGCCCAGGCTGGTCTCGAAGTCCTGGCCTCAAGCGATCCTGCTGCCTCAGCCTCCCATAGTGTTGAGATTACAGGTCTGTCTCTATTTTTTTTTTTTACTGTCTCTATTTTTAAAAAAATTACTATCGGTCAGTCATGATGCCTCACTCCTGTAATCCCAGCACTTTCAGAGGCCAAAGTAGGAGGATTATCAGCCTGAGCAACATAGTGAGACTTTGTCTCTCCAAAAAAAAAAAATTAGGAGTGGTGACACATGCCTGTAGTCCTACCTATTTGGAACGCTGGGACAGTAGGATTGCTTGAGCCCAGGAGCTTGAGGTTGCAGTGAGCTATGATCATGCCACAGAACTCTAGCCTGGGCACAGAGCAAGACCCTGTTCCCCCACCTCCCCACTCCCCAACCAAAAAAATTTGGTGAGGTGTAGTGGCTTATGCCTGTAATCCCACCACTTTGGGAGGCTGAGTCAGGAGGATTGCTTGAGGCTAGGAGTTCAAGATCAGCTGGGCAACATAGCAAGACCCCATCTCTAAAAAAAATTTATTACAGCCAACTATAATAAATAGGTATGAGGTGGTATCTCATTGTGGTTTAGAAAGTATTATTATTTTTTAGAGGTAGAGTCTCACTCTGCCACCTAGTCTGGAGTGCATGAGCACAATCAGAGATCACTGCAGCCTTGAACTCCTGGGCTGGGACTGCAAGTGTGGGCCACCACGGCTCATTGTGGTTTTGATTTGCATTTCCCTAGTGGCTAATGATGTTGAGCATATTTTCATGTGGTGCTTGTCCATTTGTATATTTTCTTCAGAGAGCTGTCCATTTGAGTCATTTGCCCATTTTTAAATTGGGTTTTCTTGTTGTTATAGGAGTTCTTTATATATTCTGGATATTAAATCTAATCAGATATATGATTTGCAGATATTTTCTCCCATTTTGTAGGTTTTCATTTCTTTTTTTTTGTTTGTTTGCTTGTTTTGAGACAGGGTCTTACTCTGTTCCCTAGGCTGGAGTGCAGTGGTGTGTGATCATGGCTCACCGCAGGCTTGATCTCCTAGGCTCAAGTGATCCTCTTGCCTCAGCCTCCTGAGTAGCTGGAACCATACCACAGGTGCACACCACCACGCCCAGCTAATATTGTTATTTTATATATTTATGTTTTTTTGAGACAGAGTCTCGTTCTGTCACCAGGCTGGAGTGCAGTGGTGCGATCTTGGCTCACTGCAACCTCTGCCTCCTGGGTTAAAGCGATTCTCCTGCCTCAGCCTCCTGAGTAGCTGGGACTACAGGCATGTGCCACCACACCCAGCTAATTTTTGTATTTTTAGTAGAGACGGTGTTTCACCATGTTGGCCAGGATGGTCTCGATCTCTTCACCTCGTGATCCGCCCTCCTCGGCCTCCCAAAGTGTTGGGATTACAGGCGTGAGCCACCGCACCTGGCCAATATTGTTATTTTTTGTAGAGACAGGGTCTTGCTTTGTTGCCCTGGCTGGTCTTGCACTCCTGGCCTCAAGAGATCCTCCCACCTCAGCCTCTCAAATGTGCCAGGCCTCTCTTTATCTCTTGACAATGTCCTTTGATGAACAAAAGTTTTTAATTTTGTTGTTGTTGTTCCTAAGGAGTTTATCTGGGCTGTCTTGGGGGTGGAGAGGACTCTGTACCTAGAGAAGGTATTGGGTTTCTTGTTAACAAAGTGTGGCTCATGCTGGCATGGCAGGACTGGTGGGGCAGAAAGAACTTGATAGTGAAGTGGTGGAATTGATTGCTGACTGGCAGCACTTTCTGACGCAGTCTCCTTCATCTTCCTCATCTGGATGGAATGCGCCTGGCACTCTGTCACCAGGTGGTGATGTCCACCAGGTCAGGGCCCATGTTCCCAGTGCAGGTTTTGGGTGCCACTTGGAGGATAGTGCAGCCAGATGCCCAAACTCTTCACCTGAAGAGGGCGGGTTCTCCAACACCTGCCCACTGGAGACAGTTTCCACTGAAGGCTTCTTCAGCTGAGATACAAAGTGCCAGAGGCTCAAAGATTCGCATGGGGTAGAGGGTTGGTGTGCAGCTTTTGGGGGTGGTCAGGCAACACCCCCACCACCTTGTGTTCTTGATGTGTGCCCCAGGCCTTCCTGGCTTCTCTTAGTGCTAGCCACCACTCACAAAAGGTTGAAAGTTTTTAATTTTGATGTTGCTTATGTCATATCTAAGAATCCATTGCCAAATCTAAGGTTATGAAGATTTACCCTTATGTTTCTTCTATGAGGTAATGATTTTAGCTCATATTTAGATTGTTTACCCATTTTGAGTTAATTTTTATAAGTGACTGTGCAGTAGGGATCTAACTTCATTTTTTTTTTTTCTAAGACAGGGTCTCTCCCTGTCACCCAGGCTGGAGTACAGTGGCATGATCATAACTCACTGCAGCCTTGAACTGGGCTCAGGTGATCCTCCTACCTCAGCCTCCCAAGTAGCTAGTAATACAGATGCATGCCACCACACCTGGCTATTTTATTTTATTCTATATTTTATTATTTTATTTTAAGTTTATTTTGAGACAAGAGTCTCATTATGTTGCCCAGGCTGGTCTCAAACTTCTGGGCTCAAGCAGTCCTCCCGCCTTAGCCTCCCAAAGCACTGGAATTACAGGTGTGAACCACTGCACCCAGACCAACTTCATTCTTTTACACGTAGAACTCCAATTGTTCCAGCACCATTTGTTTAAAAGACTATTCTTTTTCCATTGAATGGACTTGCACCCTTTTTGAAAATCAGTTGACCATAGATGTTGGGTTTACTTCTGTATCATTCCACTTTTAGTATATGTGCTGCTGAAGCAAGCACTGGGTTTATTTCTGGACTCTCACTTCGATTCCATTGGTCTGTATGTCTGTCCTTATGCCAGTACCACACTGTTTGTTTTTAGGAAAACCTGTTCATTTTAAGTACCACACTGTTTTGATTACTGTACCTTTGTAGTAAGTTTTGAAATTGGGAAATGTCAGTTCTTCAGCTTGGTTCTTTTCCAAGATTGTTTCGTCTACTCAAGGCCCCTTACAGTTTCATATGATTTTAATAATTTGCTTTTCCATTTCTGCAAAAAAGGCTGTTGGGTTTTTTGTTTGTTTTTAGAGACTAGGTTTCTCTCTGTCACCCAGGCTGGAGTACAGTAGCATGATCATAGGATCATAGCTCATTGCAGCCTTGAACTCCTGGGCTCAAGTGATCCTCCTGCCTCAGCCTCCTGAGTAGCTGGGACTACAGATATGTACCACCACACCCAGCTACTTTTAAATTTTTATATAGAGACAGGGTTTCAGTATGTTGCTTAGGCTGGTTTCAACCTCCTGTTAAGCAATACTGTTGCCTCAGCATTCTAGTGATGGGATTACAGGCGCGAGCTACCATGCCTGGCCAGCTGTTGAGACCTTGATAGGTAGGCATTGTATTGAATCTGTAGATCACTGGGTAGTACTGACATCTTAACAATACTAAATCTTCCAGTCCATGAATACAGGATCTTTCCATTTATTTAGATTGTCTTTAATTTCTTTCAGCAATGTTTTATAGTTATCAATGTATATGTCTTTCACCTCCTTGGTTAAATTGATTCCTAGATACTTTATATTTTCCAATGCATATGTAAGTGGAATTGTTGTCTTAATTTCCTTTTCTTTTTTTTTTTGAGACAGTGTCTTGTTCTGAGGCCCAGGCTGGAGTGCAATGGCCTGATGCAATCTCAGCTCACTGCAACCTCTGCATTCCGGGGTCAGGTGATCCTCCCACCTCAACCTCCTGAGTAGCTGGGATTATAGGTGCACACCACCACGACCAGCTATATTTTCTATTTTTAGTAGAGATGGGGTTTCTCCATGTTGCCCAAACTGTTCTTGAACTTCTGGGTTCAACCAATCCGTCTGCCTTGGCCTCCCAAAGTGCTGGGATTACAGGTGTGAGCCACCATGCCTGGCCTTAATTTCCTTTTCTGATTGTTCATTACTGATGTATAGATTTTTGGGTGTTGATATTGTGTCCTGTGACTTTGCTGATATTGTTAATTAGCTCTCGTAACCTTCTTGTGGATTCTTTGAGATTTTCTATATGTAAGATTTAGTCATCTGTCAATAGAAATAGTTTTCCTTCTTCCTTTCCTGTTAGGATGCCTTTGGTTTCTGTTTCTCATCTAATTGCCCTGGCCAGAGCAGCCAGTACAATTTGAATAGCAGTGGTGAAAGTGGGAGTCCTTGTCTTGTTCCTAATTGGTGGAACAATCAGGGGAAAGCTTTCAGTCTTTTACTGTTGAGTGTGATGTTTGCTCTGGGATTTTCATAGATGCCCTTTAACATGTTAAGGAAGTTTCCTCCTATTCCTAGTTTTCTGAATGTTTTCTTTTTGTCATGAAAGGGCATTGGATTTTGTCAAATGCTTTTTCTTTATCACTTGAGATAATCGTGTTTTTTCTCCCTTCTATTACTATGATATATCACATTAATTGATTTTCTTTACAAAAATTTTTAAACATTTTATGTTTCTTTTTTTGAGATGGAGTCTCGCTCTGTCACCCAGGCTGGAATGCAGTGGCACAATCTCAGCTCACTGCAACCTCCACTTCCCAGGTTCAAGCAATTCTCCTGCCTCAGCTTCCTGAGTAGCTGGGATTACAGGCACCTGCCACCACAGCTGGTTAATTTTTTTTGTACTTGTAGTAGAGACAGGGTTTCACCATGTTGGCCAGGCTGGTCTGGAACTCCTGACCTCAGGTGATCCACCTGTCTCGGGTTCCCAAAGTGCTGAGATTACAGGCGTGAGTCACCACGCCCAGCCTTAATTTATTTTAAGTTCCAGGATACATGTGCGGGACATGCAGGTTAGTTATATAGGTAAATGTGTGCCATGGTGGTTTGCTGCACCTATCAACCCATCACCTAGTTATTAAGCCCCATATGCATTGGCTATTTATCCTAATGCTGTGCCCTTCCTGGATTTTTTTTTTTTTTTTGAGATGGAGTTTTGTTCTTGTCTCCCAGGCTGGAGTGCAATGGCATGGTCTTGGCTCACTGCAACCTCCGCGTCCCGGGTTCAAGCGATTCTTCTGCCTCAGCCTCCTGAGTTGCTGGGATTACAGGTGCCCACCACTACACCTGGCTAATTTTTGCATTTTTAGGAGAGGGGTTTCACCATGTTGGCCAGGCTGGTCTGGGACTCCTGACCTCAGGTGATCCACTCACCTCAGCCTCCCAAAGTGCTGGGATTACAGGCATAAGCCACCGTGCCCGGCCTCTTTTTTTTTAATTAAAAAAAAAATTTTAGGCTGGGCACGGTGGCTGATGCCTATAATTCTAACACTCTGGGTGACTGAGGTAGGTGGATCTCTTGAGCTCAGGAGTTTGAGATCAGCTTAGGCAACATGGTGAAACCCCATCTTTCCAAAAAAATACAAAAATTAGCCAGGCCTGGTAGCACGACCTGTAGTCCCAGCTGTTTGGGGTGCTGAAATGGGAGGATCACCAGAGCCTGGGGGTCGAGGCTGCAGTGAGCCGTGATCATGCCACTACACTCCATCCTGGAGGATGACACAGTGAGACACTGTCTCAAATTTTTTTTTTTTTTTTTTTTTTAGTAAACACAATATCTTGCTGTGTTGTCCAGGCTGGTTTTGAACTCCTGACTTGAAGTGATCCCCCCACTCCCTGCCTTGGCCTCCCAAAGTGCTGGAATCACAGGCATGCACCACCGCACCTGGCCAGCATGAATTGATTTTTTTTTTCTTTCTGAGACGGAGTCTTGCTCTGTTGCCCAGGCTGGAGTGCAATGGCATGATCTCGGCTCACTGCAACCTCTTCCTCCTAGGTTCAAGCGTTTTTCCTGCCTCAACCTCCGTAGCTGGGATTACAGGCGCGTGCCACCACGTCCAGCTAATTTTTGTATTTCTATTAGAGACAGGGTTTCACCATGTTGGTCAGGTTGGCCTCAAACTCCTGACCTCAGGTGATCCCCCTGCCTCCCCCTCCCCTCTCCCCCCTCCTCCCTTCCCTCACTCTCCTCTCCTTTTCCCTCCCACTCCCCCCTCCCCCTTTCCTCCCTTCCCTCCCTCTCCTCCCCTCCCTTCCCCTCCCCCCTCCTTTCCCCTCCTGTCTTCTCTCCCCTCCCGTCTGCTCCCCTTCCCCCTTCCCTTCCCCTTCCCTCCCTCCCCTCCCTTTCCCTCCCTCCCCTCCCTTTCCCTCCCTCCCCTCTTTTCTTTCTCTCTCTCTCTTTCTCACCTCCCTCCCTCCCTTCTCTCTCTCTCTCTCTTTATTTTTGGACAGGGGTCTCACTGTGTCCTCCAGACTGGAGTGAAGTGGCATGATCATGGCTCACTGCAGCCTCCACCTCCCAGGCTCAGGTGATTC
This sequence comes from Homo sapiens, assembly GCF_000001405.40. Taxonomy (NCBI): domain Eukaryota; kingdom Metazoa; phylum Chordata; class Mammalia; order Primates; family Hominidae; genus Homo; species Homo sapiens. The sequence goes on along the minus strand of NC_000007.14, from coordinate 44,596,773 downwards.
TCCCATCTCAGTCTCCTGAGTAGCTGAGACTACAGGCACACCCCACCACACCCGGCTAATTTTTAAAATATTTTTTGTAGAGATGGGGTCTCGCCATGTTGCCCAGGCTGGCCTCAAACTCCTGAGCTCAAGTGATCTGCCCGCCTTGGCCTCCCAAAATGTTGGGGTTACAGGCGTGAGCCACCATGCCTGGCCATGAATTGATTTTCTTACATTGAACCTGCAGGACAGTTCTCTGGGTGGCCTTGAACTGATCCAGTTCTCCCCCACTTTCTCACTTATAGTTTTCAAGAATAACTGTAGAATGGGCTGGTATTGCAACATCCTGAGATGGGGGGAATTGGCTGGAACAGCCTGGGCTCTATTCCAGTTTCTCCTTGAAACAGGATGTCTTTCAGTGCTTTAGCCCAGTGTTTCATGTGGTCCCTGGGATAGAAAACCCTTGGCCGACTACTTTCTGGGGTCTCTCAACTGTGGTGCAAGTGGGGCAGGTACAGATGAGACTTCACTGCCTCAAGCAGCCTTCCTGAGCCTTGGGGTACTGGCTCAATCTGAATCCTAGGCTGCTGTTGTCCCTTGCTGCCTATCTATAAATAGTAAACCTGTTTCATGTGACTTATTGTGTATGTGAGGCAGTGTTCTGCCTCGCTGGATTCAGGAAAGTAGTAAAAGTGCAGCCCAAGAGGCAGTAGGCTGAAGTGGTAACCAGTGCACAGAGGACCTGCTTCACAGAGCCACTTGTGCATTCATGGCTAAAATCCACTGGGTCATGGTGTATAATCCTCTTGTTTTTTTTCTTGAGACAGGGCCTCGCTTTTGTCACCCAGGCTGGAGTGCAGTGGCACAATCTCGGCTGACTGCAACCTCTGCTTCCCAGCTCAAGCGATCCTCCAGTCTCAGCTTCCCAAGTAGCTGAGACCACAGGCACAAGCCAGCATGCCTGGCTCATTTTTGTATTTTCTGTAGAGATGTGGTTTCGCCATGTTGCCCAGGCCGGTTTTGAACTCCTGAGCTCAAAGAGATCTGCCTATTTTGGCATCCCAAAGTTCTAGGAATGCAGGCATGAGCCACCATGCCCCCAGCTATATATAATCCTCTTAATATGCTGTTGGATTTGGTTTGCTACTATTTTGTTAAGGACTTTTACATCTAGAATCATAACAGATATTGGTTTGTTTTCTTGTGATGTCTTTAAATGGCTTTAGTATTAGGTTAATGCTGGCTTCATAGAATGAGTTAGGAAATGTTCCCGCTCTTCAATTTGTTGGAGGAGTTTAAGAAGGATTGGTGTTGGCTGGGCAAGGTGATTCATGCCTGTAATCCCAGCACTTTGGGAGGCCAAGGAGGGTGGATCACCTGAGATCACGAGTTGGAGACCAGCCTGTAAATATGGTGAAACCCCATCGCTACCAAAAATACAAAAATAGCCAGGTGTGGTGGCGGGCACCTGTAATCCCAGCTACTCGGGAGGCTGAGACAGGAGAATTGTTTGAACCTGGGAGGTGGAGGTTGCAGTGAGCTGAGATCGTGCCACTGCACTCCAGCCTGGGTGACAGAGCGAGACTTCGTCTCAAAAAAAAAAAAAAAAAAAAGGATTGGGGATTGGTGTTAATTATTCTTTAGGTGTTTGATAGAATTTACCAGGGAAACTATTCCTGGACTTTATTTTGTCACTTTAGGTAATTTGTGTGTTTCTAGAAATTTGTCCAGTTCATGTAAATTAATCAAACTTGTTGGTATGTAATTTTTTTTTTTTTGAGATGGAGTCTTTCTCTGTTGCCCAGGCTGCAGTGCAGTGGCATGACCTTGGCTCACTGCAACCTCTGCTTGCCGGGTTCAAGAGATTCTCCTGGCTCAGCCTCCCAAGTAGCTGGGATTACGGGTGCCTGCCACCACACCCAGCTAATTTTTTTATTTTTATTTATTTATTTATTTTGAGATGGAGTCTCACTCTGGCACCCAGGCTGGAGTGCAATGGCGCAATCTTGGCTCACTGCCACCTCTACTTCCCAGGTTCAAGCTATCTTCCTGCCTCACCCTCCCAAGTAGCTGGGATTACAGGTACGTTCCACCACACTCAGCTAATTTTTGTATTTTTATTTATTTATTTATTTTTATTTTTACTTTGGAGACAGAGTCTCGCTCTGTCACCCAGGCTGGAGTACAGTGGCACGATCTCCTCTCACTGCAACATCTGCCTCCCAGGTTCAAGCGATTCTCCTGCCTCAGCCTCCCAAGTACCTGGGATTACAGGCGCCCGCCACCACGCCTGACTAGTTTTTGTATTTTTAGTAGAGATGTGATTTCACCATGTTGGCCAGGCTGGTCTCCGACACCTGACCTCTGGTGATCTGCCCACCTTGGCCTCCCAAAGTGCTGGGATTATAGGCGTGAGCCACCACACCCCACGGTATGTAATTTTGTATAATATTCTCTTATCTTTTTTATTTCTATATGGTCGGTAATGCCTCCACTTTCATTTCTGATTTTAATTATTTGTGTCTTCTTTTTTCTGTGTTAGTGTAGGGAAAGGTTTGTTCATTTTGTTGATCTTTTCAAAGAACCAACTTTTGCTATCATTGACTCTATTGTTTTTCTATCCTCTATTTTATTTATCCCTACTTTAATCTTTATTGTGTCCTTCCTTTTGCTAGTTTGGGGTTTAGTTGGCTCTTTTTCAAGTTCATCAAGGTATAAATTTGGTTATTGATTTGATATCTTTCTTCATTTCCACTATCACAAATTTTACACATGATCTTCTTTAAATGTAGACATTTACAACTATATATTTCCCTTTGAACACTGCCTTTAACTACATCCCATAACTTTTGCTCAGTATGATTTTTCATTAAAGTATACATTCCATATTCATTCAACAAATATTTGTTTGTTTATTTGTTTGCTTTTAGAGACAGAGTTTCACTCTGTTGCCCAGGCTGGAGTGAAGTGGCACGATCTTGGCTCACTGCAACCTCCACCTCCTAGGTTCAAGCGATTCTTGCACCTCAGCCTCCCAAGTAGCTGGGATTACAGGCGCCCGCCACCATGCCCAGCTAATTTTTTGTATTTTTAGTAGAGATGGGGTTTCGCCACGTTGCCCAGGCTGGTCTCAAACTCCTGAGCTCAGGCAATCCACCGCTCCAGCCTCCCAAACTGCTAGGATTACAGGCATGAGCCACCACAACCAGCCTCATTCAACAAATATTTATACTGGTTTGCTTCTAGGTGCTGGGGATACAGAGGTGAACACAACAGACAGGCGGGATCTATGTTATTACAGAGGTGACATTTTCAGGATGTACAAACAAGGTAGTAATTGATGGTTTGAAATCCATAGATAAAATGGTACTGTGATAGAGAGTGGCAGTAGCACTTCTTTCCTTCTTTCTTTCTCTCTCTTTCTTCTCTCTCTCTCTTTCTTTCTTTCTTTTTTTGTTTTTTGACCAAGTTTCACTCAGAGTGGCAATAGCACTTCTTTCCTTCTTTCTTTCTCTCTTTCTTTCTTTTCTCTCTCTTTCTTTTTTTTTTGTTTTTTGTTTTTTGACGGAGTTTCGCTCTTGTCGCCCAGGCTGGAGTGCAGTGGCATGATCTCTGCTCACTGCAACCTGCACCTCCTGGGTTCAAGCAATTCTCCTGCCTCAGTCTCCTGAGTAGCTTGGATTACAGGCTCCTGCCACCACACCTGGCTAATTTTTTGAATTTTTAGTAGAGATGAGGTTTCGCCATGTTGGGCAGGCTGGTCTTGAACTCCTCACCTCAGGTGATCTGCCCACCTGGGCCTCCCAAAGTGCTGGGATTACAGGTGTGAGATACCGCGCCCAGCCTCTTTCTTAATTTTTGAGACAGGGTCTCATTCTGTCACCCAGTCTGGAGTACAGCGGTGTGATCTCGGCTAACTGCAGCCTCTGCCTCCCAGGCTCAAACCATCCTCCCATTTCAGCCTCCTGAGTAGCTGGGACCACAGGCATGTGCTACCATACACAGGTAAGTTTTGTATTTTTGGTAGAGACAGGGTTTCACCATGTTGCCCAGGCTGGTCTCAAACTCTTGAGCTCAGGTGATCCACCTTCCTCGGCCTCCCAAAGTGCTGGGATCACAGGCATGAGGCACTGCGCCTGGTCTCTAGCATTTAATTTTTAATTTTTATTTTATTAAATAAATAACACATTATTTTCTGTTTTTTACTCTCAAACTCCTTTTGACTTTGATTTTTAATTTTTTATTTATTTATTTTTTTAGAGACAGGGTCTCACTTTGTCATCCAGGTTGGAGTGCAGTGGCATGATCATAGCTCATTACAGCCTCAAACTCCTGGCTTCAAGCATTCTCCTGCCTCAGCCTCCCAAAGTGCTGGGGTTATAGGCATAGGTCACTATACCTCGCCTCAAATTCCTTTTTACCAAGTGACATATTCATATGGCTCAGAAATAAAAAGTATATTTAAAAGTTTTGTTTGTAAAGTCTCCTACCCCATGACCATCCACCTCATTCTTTGTTGGCTTGCCAGACCCCTTCCCTGCTGGGGTTAACTCTTGTTGGATCATGGGGCAGTCATTTATCCTGGGGTGAGAGCAGAGGTGGAGGGAATTCAGGGGTTTGGTAGTGGCCATTTACCGACCAGGACAAGAATATTTCTATATTTTAACCAGTATAACCCTACTGGTGTATATGAGCTAAATCTTAGGTTACCTATAACCACTTACATTAGTTTCTTAAATATTCTTCCAGTGTTTTTTCATGAAGGTACAAATACCAAAGAGAGTTTACTATGTATTCTCTTCCGCATCTGCTTTTCAAATTGATGGCCAGGTGCAGTGGCTCACACTTGTAATCCCAGCACTTTGGGAGGCCAAGGTGGGTGATCACCTGAGGTTGGGAGTTCGAGACCAGCCTGGCCAACATGGTAAAACCCCATGTCTACTAAAAATACAAAAATTAGCCAGGTGTGATGGTGCACACCTGTAATCCCAGCTACTTGGGAGGTTGAGGCATGAGAATCAGTTGAACCCAGGAGGCAGAAGTTGCAGTGAGCTGAGATGGCGCCACTGTACTCGGGCCTGGGCTGCAGAGTGAGACTCTGTCTCAAAAAAAAAAAAAAAAAAAAAAAAAGGCTGGGCGCGGTGGCTCACACCTGTAATCCCAGCACTTTGGGAGGCCGAGGCGGGCGGATCACAAGGTCAGGAGTCGAGACCATCCTGGCTAACACGGTGAAACCCCGTCTCTACTAAAAATACAAAAAACTAGCCGGTCGCGGTGGCAGGTGCCTGTAGTCCCAGCTACTCGGGAGTTTGAGGCAGGAGAATGGTGCAAACCTGGGAGGCGGAGCTTGCAGTGAGCCGAGATTGCGCCACTGCACTCCAGCCTGGGTGACAGAGCAAGACTCCGTCTCAAAAAAAAAAAAAAAAAAAAGAAAGGAAAACAAATTGAACAGTATATCCTGGAAATCTTTCTATTCGTATAAAGCTTTTCAGTTCATAGAGAGCTTCCTGACTTTTTCCAGTTGCATAACTGCATTGTGTGGTTTCAGTAGGGATAGCTCATCAGCGTTCCATTTGGTATTGGCTGGGGCAGCTCCACTGGGACTGCAGGATCCAAGATGGCTTCATTCCAATGACTGGTCCAATTGGGTGGGCTGGACCTCCTGTCAGCTGGGTTCCAAGGGAATGAAAATGGAAGCTGCAAGGTCTCTTATGGCCTAAGCCCCAGAAGTCATATAGCTTCTCTTCCACTGCATTGAATTGGTCAGAACAAACCACAGGGCCAGTTCAAATTCAAGTTGAGGGAAAATAGACTCCACCCCTCAATGGGAGGAACAGTATGTGTTTATAGGGATTGGAGGAATTGTCAGCAGTGGTCTTTGCAGACAGTAACACACCAAAGCCCAATCAAGGTTCACGTCTTTTTTGGTATTATGCATCTTTTTATTTATTTTTTTGAGATAGGGTCTCACTCTGTCACCCTGGCTGGGTGCAATGGCGCGATTTGGGTTCACTGCAACCTCCACCTCTTGGACTCAAGCAATCCTCCCACCTCAGCTTCTTGAGTAGCTGGGACTATAGTCACACAACACCACTCCTGGCTTAACTTTTGTATTTTTTGTAGAGGTGGGATTTAGCCATGTTGCCCAGGTTGGTCTTGAACTTCTGGGCTCAAGCGATCCACCCACCTGGGCCTCCCAAAGTGCTGGAATTATAGGTGTGAGCCACTGCGCCCAGCCTTGGTCTCTTTTAAACTAGTACATTTCCCCCACTTTCTTTATCTTCTCTCTCTTCTTGACTTTAGTTTTTGAAGGGCTGAGGCAAACTTTCCCATACTCTGGATGTGCCTTATTGTTTCCTCTAACTTTGCCCTCTGTCTCCTAAATTTCCTGTAAACTGCAAGATGGGATAAAAGACCTGCTTAGATCAGGTTAAATGCTATTAAGGACAGGTGCTCGCGCCTGTAATCCCAGCACTTTGGGAGGCCAAGGTGGGTGGATCACTTGAGCCCAGGAGTTTGAGACCAGTCTGGGCAACATAGTGAAATTGCATCTTTACAAAAAAAATACAAAAATTAGCTGGGCATGGTGGCACGTGCCTGTAGCCCTAGCTACTGGGGAGGCTAAGGTGGGAGGATTGCTTGAGAGGCCGAGTCTGCAGTGAGTGAAGATCACACTACTGCATTGCAGCCTGGGCAACTGAGTGAGACTCCGCCTCAAAAAAAAAACCCAAACCGGGCTGGTGCGGTGGCTCACACCTGTAATCCCAGCAGTTTGGGAGGGCAAGGCGGACAGATCACTTGAGGTCAGGAGTTTGAGACCAACCTGGCCAACATGTTGAAACACCGTCTCTACTAAAAATACAAAATTTAATGGGGCATGGTGGTGCACGCCTACTCTGGAGGCTGAAGCAGGAGAATTGCTTGAACCTTGGAGGCAGAGGTTTCACTGAACCGAGATCGTGCCACTGCACTTCAGCCTGGGCAACAGAGCGAGACTCTGTCTCAAAAAACAAAACAAAACAAAACAAAACAACAAAAACCAACCAAACAAAAAGATTTAATGCTATTTGCAAAAATTCTCTGTACCCACTGATAATCCTTACGTTAGGATGATTGTCTCTTGCCTGGACAGGATAATTCTGAAACCTACTTCAGATTGTCATTCCTCACTCAAAACCCCCTAAAGAATTCTTGCTCAGGGTAAGAGCCAAAGTCCTTCAGATGTTCTAAAAGGCCAGCCCATCTGTGACTCTTTTCCTCTGACGTTCTCACATGCTGTCCTCCTGCCCCGCTGGCTTCCTTGCCCTCCTAATTCACCAGACATGCATTAGCCTCCAGCCTTCACTCTTTTCCCAGGCATACACACGACTGCCCCTCCTGAGGGGCCTTTCATCTGGCACCTTCTTGGGGAGCCTTACTGCCACTCTGTCTAAAATTGTACCCACCCACACCTCCAACTAAACACTCCTTACATTTTAGTTTCCTGTGGCTGCCATAACAAATTACCAGAAACATGATAGATTAAAACAACAAGGCCAGGTGCGGTGGCTCATGCCTGTAATCCCAGCACTTTGGGAGGCTGAGGTGGGCGGATCATGAGGTTAGGAGTTCGAGACCAGCCTGGCTGATATGGTGAAACGCCGTCTCTACTAAAAATACAAAAATTAGCTGGGCGTTGTGGCAGGTGCCTGTAATCCTAGCTACTTGGGAGGCTGAGGCAGGAGAATTGTTTGAACCCAGGAGGCGGAGGTTACAGTGAGCCGAGATCACGCCATTGTACTCCAGCCTGGGCGACAAGAGTGAAACTCCCATCTCAAAAAAAAAAAAAAAAAAAAAAAAAAAGACATGTATTCTCTCTCTCAGTCACGGACGGCAGAAGTCCGAAGTGAGGAGTGGGCAGGGCTGCACTTCCTAGGCTCTCGGGGAGACTTTTTTTCCTGTCCCTTCCAGTTTCTGGTGGCTCCAGGCATGCCTTGGCTTATGGCAGCATTATTATTCCAGTGTCTGCCTCTGTGATCATAGTGCCTCCTTTTCTTTTTTTTTTTTTTACATTTTTTTTTTGTATTTAGAGAAAAAAACACTTAACATAAAATTTACCATCTTAACCTTTTTTTTGAGACTCTGTTGCCCAGGCTGGAATGCAGTGTTACAATCACAGCTCACTGCAGCCTCAACCTCCTGGGCTCGTGACATCCTCCCATCTGACTCTCCCAAGTAACTGGGGACCACTGGCATGTGCCACCACACTTGGCTAATTTTTACATTTTTTGTAGAGACAGGGTTTCTCTATGTTGCCTAGGCTGGTCTCAAACTCCTCAGCTCAAGCAATCCTCCTGCCTTGGCCTCCCAAAGTGCTGGGATTATAGGCGTGAGCCACCACGCCTGGCCATGTTAACCATTTTTAGGTGTGCAGTTCAGTATGTTAAATATATTCACATTGTTATGAAACAGATGTCCAGAACTTTTTCATTTTGCTAATCTGAAACTCTGTACCCATTAGACAACAGCTCCCCCCGCAGGTAACCATTCTACTTTTTGCTTCTATGATTTTGACTACTTTAGACACTTTATCTAAATGGAATCATATGGCAATTGTCTTTCTGTGATTGACTTATACTACTTAGCATAATGTTAAGTTTCATCCATGTTGTAGCATGAATCAGAATTTCATCCCTTTTTATGGCTTGATAATACTGCATTGTATGTATATACCACATTTTGCGGTAGGTACAATGTATATTTACATTGCTTCCACCTCTTGGCTACTGTGAATAATGCTGCTATGAAAATGGGCGTGTAGGTATCTTTTCCAGATCCTGACTTTACTTCCTTTGGATAAATACTTACAGGTGGGACTGCTGGGGTATATGATTGTTCTACTTTTAATTATTTAACACTCTTCTACAATTTATTTTCTGTTTTTGTTGTTCTAATAGTAGTTATTATTAGGTGAGGTATTTCTTATCTCTTATAAGGACACCTGTCATTGGATTTAGGGTCCACCTGGTTAATCCAGGATTATCAAGTCTCAAAATCCTGAATTACATCTGCAAAGACTCTTTTTCCACATAAGGTCACATTCACAGGTTCCAGTGATTCAAACATGGACATGTCTTCTGGTCCCCCATTATGTCCACTATACTCTCTTTTTTTTTTTTTTTTTTAAGATGGAGTCTCGCTGTGTCGCCCAGGCTGGAGCGCAGTGGCGCGATCTTGGCTTCCTGCAAGCCCACCTCCCAGGTTCACGCCATTCTCCTGCCTCAGCCTCCCGAGTAGCTGGGACTACAGACACCCGCCACCACGCCCAGCTAATTTTTTTGTATTTTTTTAGTAGAGACGGGGTTTCACCATGTTAGCTAGGATGGTCTTGATCTCCTGACCTCGTGATCCCCCTGCCTCAGCCTCCCAAAGTGTCGGGATTACAGGCGTGAGCCACTGCGCCTGGCCTAAGTCCACTATACTTTCTTCTTCCCTGCCTTATTTTTATTCTTGATACTTATCTCCATCTGACATGCTCTATATTTCTTTATTTATCTTGTTTGGCAGACGACAATCAAGATAAAGCCATGGAGACAAGGATTTTTGTTGCTGTTGTTCTTGTTTTTTGAGACAGAGCCTCACTCTCACCCAGGCCTAGAGTGCAGTGGCACAATCTCGGTTCACTGCAACCTCTGCCTCCCAGGCTGAAGTGATCCTCCCACCTCAGCCTCCAGAGAAGCTGGGACTACAGGTGCTTGCCACATGCCTGGCTAATTTTTTGTATTTTTGGTAGAGACGGGGTTTTGCCATGTTGTCCAGGCTAGTCTTGAACTTCTGAGTTCAGATGATCCACCCAAAGTGCTGGGATTACATGCGTGAGCCACTGCGCCTGGCCTAGACAAGGATTTTTGTTTTGGTCACCTGTGTTTTCCCATTAGAACAGTGGCTGGCACAAATGGCTGCACAGCACATACTGGTTGAACAAATGAAGGACGGGGTGGCTGGTCTAGACAAAGAGCCTAGACAAACATCGGCAGAAATTGCTTCATGGCTTCTGAGCAGAAAAATCTCTCATCTGGGGAATTAGACTCCCTAAGTTAAATTTTCTTTCTTTTTTGGAGATGGGGTCTCACTCTGTTGCCCAGGCTGGAGTGCAGCAGCACCATCACAGCTCACTGCAGCCTCAACCTCCTGGGGGTCAAGCAATCCTCCCACCTCAGCCTCCCGAGTAGTTGGGACTACAGGCCCATGCCACCATGCCCAGCTAATTTTTTTTTTGGTAGAGACAGGGTGTCACCATGTAGCCCAGACTGGTCTTGAACTTCTGGACTCAAGCGATCTTCCTGCCTCGGCCTCCCAAATGCTGGGATTACAGGCATGAGCCACAGTGCCTCACCTCCTAAGTTAAATTTTCTGCAGTGGAGAATACAATCTCTTTAATATTATCTCTCAGTTAAGACAAATTTCAGGATCCTCCTTAAAAAAAAAAAAAAAAAGAAAGAAAATAAGTTTGCCAATACAAATACCATTTCTCACTAAAGTGAATTAGGGTTCCTTGGAGAAATGGTTGGTTTTGTTTCTGGGCAGTAAATGTATAAAACGGAAAGCAAGGAAGTCCAGGGTGTCCAATCTTTTGGCTTTCCTGGGCCACACTGGAAGAAGAAGAATTGTCTTGGGCCACACATAAAATACACTAACAATAGCTGATGAGCTAAAAAAAAAAAAATCTCATAATGTTTTTAGAAAGTTTATGAATTTGTGTTGGGCTGCATGGGCCACAGGTTGGACAAGCTTGACCTAAAGACTACTAGGATTGTGGATTACTAGGATTGTGCCAGAAGGACACAGCAGCAACTAAATATTTGATGAGACAATCTGAACATTTAAAAAAGGACAATGACTGTAATGGATTAAAGCACATCAAATATCTAAACATCCATCAATTCATGATAGCACTGCCCCTTCTCCCCAAAGAACCCAAAGTGGTCACAGTTAGAGGTTGCTGGGGCATCCATCCATCCATCTTTATTATTATTACTATTATTTGAGACAAGGTCTCACTCAGTCACCCATGCTAGAGTGCTGTCGTCCCATCACGGCTCACTGTATCCTCAACCTCCTGGGCTCCAGCCATTTCCCTGCCTCAGCCTCCTAAGTAGCGGGAATTACAGGCATGCATCACCATGCCTGTCTAATTTTTACATATTTTGTAAAGATCTTGCCATTTCCTGGGCTCAAGCAGTCCTCCTGTCTTGGCCCCCCAAAGTGCTGGGATTATAGGCAGAGCCACTGTGCGTGGGAAAGCATCAAGCATACATCCTGGCTATCCCGAATGGATTGTATTTCAAAGTAACCAGAGAGATGAGGGAATGCTCACCTTTGTAGAAGAATCTCATCTTATAAATGCAGGAGAAATGAGAGCATTTGAAATTACCACTTTGCACACCTAAGGAACATCATAAAACTACACTAGGGTTTCTCAACCTGGGTACTACTGACATTTTGAGCTGGATAATTCTTCGCTGTGGGGGGGAGGTGTGCTCTGTGAATTATACAATGTTTAGCAGTATTCCTTGCATTCATTTTCTAGATAACAGCAGTACCACCCGCCACCCCCCACCCAGTTGCAACAATCCAAAATATCTCCAGACATTGCCAAATTTCCCCTTGGTAGGACAGGGCAGAATCAACCCTCGTTGAGAACCAATGGTCTAATGATCATCAACGTTTGCTAGACTATTAGAAGAAAGGCTGATGGTAAACTTCATGGATAATCAGGATGACAACCCCCAAATTGAGAGATGAATTACAATATTACTAAGAGACAAACCCGCCTTGTGCCTCAGTAGAAGTACATAGTGCCAGCCACGAAGCGTTATTGCAAACAAAACAAAACAAAAAAACCCAAACCTCAACATTACACCTAAACCTAATGAAGCTTCTAGCCAGGGGCAAATCCAAGCTTTGTGGGGCCTTAAACTATACAAATTTCACAGTCCTCTTTAAGAAAAAGACACAAAATTATAAATGCGAAATTAGGTACGGGGGTCTATGCAAGGGAGGGCCTGAAGATTAAGCTTCATTAGTTTCACTGTAAACCTCCCCTGACTCTAGAATTAACTGTGATTACAGGACATACCAGGGACAAAAAACGTTAAATGACACCTGAAGATACAATCAGCAAAACCCAGAAAGTGGAAAATTCTGTTGGTCAAATGACCCAGTTTCTTCAATAAGTAAATGCCATGAATAACAAACAACAAAAAGAGAGGGGAAATTTATATATATAATATATATATAATATGTATAATATATATATATGTTGTTATATGGTTTGTTTTTTTTTTTTTGGACACGAGTCTCTCTCTCACCCAGGCTGGAGTGCAGTGGCATGATCTCGGCTCACTGCAACCTCTGCCTCCTGGGTTCAAGCGATTCTTCTGCCTCAGTCTCCCAAGTAGCTGGGACTACAGGTGAGCACCACCACACCCAGCTAATTTTTGTATTTTTGGTAGAGGTAGGGTTTCACCATATTGGCCAGGCTGGTCTCGAACTCCTGACCTCGTGATCTGCCCACCTTGGCCTCCCAAAGTGCTGGGATTACAGGTGTGAGCCACTGCGCCCGGCCCTGTTTTTGTTTGTTTTGAGATAGAATCTCACTCTGTTGCCTAGGCTGGAGTACAGTGGCATCATCTCAGCCCACTGCAACCTCCACCTCCCTGATTCTAGCAATTCTCCTGCCTCAGCCTCCCAAGTAGCTGAGATTACAGGTGTGCACCACCACACCTGGCTAATTTTTGTATTTTTAGTAGAAACAGGGTTTCACCATGTTGGCCAGGCTGGTCTCAAACTCCTGACCTCAAGTGATCCTTCCACCTCAGCCTCCCAAAGTGCTGGGATTACAGGCATGAGCCACTGTGCCCAGCCAAAATTGTTATATATTAAGAGACATATATTTGTATGAAATGCAGTAAGTAAACCTTGTTTGGACCCTAAATATCTAATGTACAAAATTTTTTAAGGCAATGGGGAAAATTAAACACATACTAGGTATTAAGTGATGTTAAATAATTTTTAAAATTTTGGTGGGTGTGATAATAGTATAAAGTCCTTATCTGTTAGAGACACACACTGACGTATTTATAGGTGAAATGACATGATGTCCAGGATTTGCTTTAATATACAGCACTTCAAAAAAAAATGCAGAAAGGGATACATGAAATGAGAAAGGCAGCAAACTGTTGTTGAAGTTGGATGATGAGTACAGCCCTCCGTTATTATCCAAGGGGGATAATTCCTGGACCCCTACGGATACCAAAATCCAGGTATGCTCAAGTTCTTTATGAAAGTTCATTGTAATTATTCTATTATATAAAAGTTTCGAAATTCTGTTGATAAAATGTATTTTTAGTAGAGACGGGGGTTTCACCTTGTTGGCCCAACTGGTCTCGAATTTCTAACCTCAGATGATCCACCAGCCTTGGCCGCCCAAAGTGTTAGCATTACAGGCGTGAGCCACCGCGCCCGCCTGGCCTTGATAAAAACAGTTTTAACCTTCCGTTGCTTCGATTCCATGCCCACTAAGTAACATTCCAGTTTGTTTTTCACTTTCAAAAGGATGTGCTGTAACTAGGGGATGTAAACAAGCTCCATGACCCTACTTATTCCAAGTTTTCGTTCCACTCTCCCACCTTTTTTTTAAGACAAGGTATCACCCTCGGTCGCCCAGGCTGGAGCGCGATCACTGCTTAATGCATCCTCGACCTCCTGGGTTCAAGCGATTCTCCTGCCTCAGCCTCCCAAGTAGCTGGGACTACATGCGCACACCACCACACCGGTTAATTTTTTGTAGAGACGGGGGTTTCACCATGTTGCCCAGGCTGGTCCCGAACTCCTGGGCTCAAGGGATCCGCCCGCCTCAGCCTCCCAGAGTGCTGGGATTACAGGTGCCAGCCACCGCGCCCGGCCCCAGCTTCTTAAAAGAATGATCCGAAACTATGGCAGCACTGGGCTTTTGGTCCCCACCCAAGAAATGCCCGCTCGCAGAGGCTCGCCGCGGCAGGCTCTCCCGACGTGACAGAGTGTGGGTCTGGATTCAGCCTCGGTTCTTACGAGTCAGATAGGTGGACACGCAAAGCAAAACATCACAGGGCTTTTTGTATTTAGCACAGAAAACACTTGTGAGCCCGAGCTGAGAACCCAAAAGGCACGCTTCAGGCCATCGTAGCCACCAAGCCTGGTCAGATTCCGTCCACCGTCTCCTTGGTGCTCCGAGACCCAAATCGCTGACTGGGGCCGAGGGCGGGCGTGACTGCGCAGGCGTGCCTCCCCTGCGAGATGCCGGAGGTAAGCTGCGGGGTAAGGGGCGAGAAATTAAGGGCGAACGTCATTGCGCATGCGCCCTCTACTCTCGTTGCGGGGGTAGGCGGGCGCCGGGCTGTGTGAGGGGGCGGGGCGCGGCAGTGTTCGGTACGGATGGAGTTGCAGGAGACGGCGAGTACATATCACTGCGCAGGCGTCCTCTTCCCCTAACTCTCAGGGTCGCTAGGGTGGCGCGCAGGCGCAGAGCGATGCGCAAATGTGCGCAGGCGCTTAGGGGCTGAGGCGCGATGGCAGGTGTCGGGGCTGGGCCTCTGCGGGCGATGGGGCGGCAGGCCCTGCTGCTTCTCGCGCTGTGCGCCACAGGCGCCCAGGGGCTCTACTTCCACATCGGCGAGACCGAGAAGCGCTGTTTCATCGAGGAAATCCCCGACGAGACCATGGTCATCGGTCAGGCGGGCTGAGGGTGGGGAGGCCCTTTGTACCCAGCTCAGCCCTCGGCGGCGCTCCCTCCTCCCGAGCCCAGCCGGGTCGCTGGCTCCCCCAGTACCTAGCCTGAGGGTGCCCCGAGGACGCCAGGCCCCCTGCCTAGAGCTCCGGGCCGCACGTCGGAGGGGGCCGGGCGGAGAGGCGGCCCACTAGGGCCGGTCGTGACTATGTGTCTGCCCCGCAGGCAACTATCGTACCCAGATGTGGGATAAGCAGAAGGAGGTCTTCCTGCCCTCGACCCCTGGCCTGGGCATGCACGTGGAAGTGAAGGACCCCGACGGCAAGGTAAGGCTGGCGTTGGCCCACGCAGCCGTTCTTCAGTGGAGCTCCCGTGGGGTGTAAAGCACTGCCTGGAGGAGGCCTCAAGGGACAGGAACTTGCACTTGGAGAGCCTGCGGTATAAAGGTGGGGCCTTCACTCACATATGTTGCAGGTGGTGCTGTCCCGGCAGTACGGCTCGGAGGGCCGCTTCACGTTCACCTCCCACACGCCCGGTGACCATCAAATCTGTCTGCACTCCAATTCTACCAGGATGGCTCTCTTCGCTGGTGGCAAACTGGTAAGAGGATTTTCTCTTTGGCTTCAGCTTAGAATCTCTCACTTGTTTCCAAATTTTGATTTATCAAGATTGTGAAACTTTGTAGCACAGTCAGAATTGGGGAGACAGATGTTGCCTTCTGCTCCACAGCCAGGGACAATAGTGGGTTCCATACCCTGGAACAGACAACTGGAGGCCCCACCACTCATACATTCCATGTTTCCTTGTAGCGGGTGCATCTCGACATCCAGGTTGGGGAGCATGCCAACAACTACCCTGAGATTGCTGCAAAAGATAAGCTGACGGAGCTACAGCTCCGCGCCCGCCAGTTGCTTGATCAGGTGGAACAGATTCAGAAGGAGCAGGATTACCAAAGGGCAAGTGCATATCTCCTTGTAATTTGAGAGGGCAGTTGACCTTTATACCCACTATACCTACTCAAGTTTCTGCTTGGGAGATCAGCTCTGCAGAGAATGGAATGAGAAGTATTGGTTTAGATAGGTTGTTTGTTTGTTGTTTTTGAGACGGAGTTTCACTCTTGTTGCCCATGCTGGAGTGCAATGCCATGATCTTGGCTCACTGCAACCTCCGCCTCCCCAGGTTCAAGCGATTCTCCTGCCTCAGCCTCCTGAGTAGCTGGGATTACAGGCATGCGCCACCATGCCTGGCTAATTTTGTACTTTTAGTAGAGACGGGGGTTTCTCCACGTTGGTCAGGCTGGTCTCGAACTCCCGACATCAAGTGATCCGCCCGCCTCAGCCTCCCAAAGTGCTGGGATTACAGGTGTGAGCTACCGCGCCCTGCCTGTTTTGCTTTTTTATCAAAACATTTTATTGTGGTAAAATATAACACCAAATGTGTCATTTTAACTGTCTATATAGTTCAGTGGTATTAAGTGCCTTCATAATGTTGTGCTACCAACACCATCATCCAGCTCCAGAACTTTTTCATCTTCTCAAACTAAAAATCTGTACTTATTTTGTTTTGTTTTTGAGATGGAGTCTCGCTCTGTTGCCCAGGCTGGAGCGCAGTGGCGCCATCTCGGCTCACTGCACCCTCCGCCTCCCAGGTTCAAGCGATTCTCCTGCCTCAGCCTCCCAAGTAGCTGGGATTACAGGCAAGTGCCACCATGCGTGGCTCATTTTTGTGTTTTTAGTAGAGACTGGGTTTCACCATGTTGGCCAGGCTGGTCTTGAACTCCTGGCCTCAGGCAATCCACTGCCGCAGCCTCCCAAAGTGTTGGGATTACAGGCGTGAGCCACTGCACCCAGCAAATCTGTACTTATTATAAACAATAACTTCCCGTTTCCTTTTGTCCTGACACCCACCATTCTACTTTCTGTCTCTATGATCCTGACTACCCTATCTCATATAAGTGGAATCATTCAGTATTTGTCCTTTTGTGACTGGCTTATTTCACTGAGTATAATGTTCTCACAGTTCATCCATGTTATAGCATGTGTCAGAATTTCTTAAGGCTAATATTCCATTGTATGCATGTGCCACATTTCGCTTTCAGTAGTCATTTTTAAGCTCTATAAAATAAAATGAAGAAAGGACAGTTCACAATCTAGTAATAGCCATTGCCTACCTGTTTTTCTTGGACTCTTGTTGGAAATGGTAGGATCATGATTTCAGTCCTAACAGAGATGCTTGTGGAGGGACAGCCTGTCCCTTTCTTGGGGCAGCCTCAGTGGGGAGACCATAGCACTCCTAATGGAGTCACAGATAGTATTCCAAAAGGAGTTTGGTCCTGGAGTTGAGTAATTACACGCAGGGAGGGACCTCACAACAGCCAGACTGTTTCTCCTGCTCACTTAACCCTGTGTTGCCCCACACAGTATCGTGAAGAGCGCTTCCGACTGACGAGCGAGAGCACCAACCAGAGGGTCCTATGGTGGTCCATTGCTCAGACTGTCATCCTCATCCTCACTGGCATCTGGCAGATGCGTCACCTCAAGAGCTTCTTTGAGGCCAAGAAGCTGGTGTAGTGCCCTCTTTGTATGACCCTTCCTTTTTACCTCATTTATTTGGTACTTTCCCCACACAGTCCTTTATCCACCTGGATTTTTAGGGAAAAAAATGAAAAAGAATAAGTCACATTGGTTCCATGGCCACAAACCATTCAGATCAGCCACTTGCTGACCCTGGTTCTTAAGGACACATGACATTAGTCCAATCTTTCAAAATCTTGTCTTAGGGCTTGTGAGGAATCAGAACTAACCCAGGACTCAGTCCTGCTTCTTTTGCCTCGAGTGATTTTCCTCTGTTTTTCACTAAATAAGCAAATGAAAACTCTCTCCATTACCTTCTGCTTTCTCTTTGTCCACTTACGCAGTAGGTGACTGGCATGTGCCACAGAGCAGGCCCTGCCTCACTGTCTGCTGGTCAGTTCTGGGTTCACTTAATGGCTTTGTGAATGTAAATAAGGGGCAGGTCTTGGCCCTAGAGGATTGAGATGTTTTTCTAAATCTTAGAACTATTTTTGGATAAATTATATATTTTCCTTCCTAGTAGAAGTGTTACTGCCTGTAACTAGCTCAAAATACCAATGCAGTTTCTGCATTCTGGGTTTTGTTTTTCCTTTTTTTTTTTTTTTTTTTTTTTTGAGTTTTGCTCTTGTCGCCCAGGCTGGAGTGCAATGGCGTGATCTCAGCTCACTGGCAACATCTGCCTCCCGGGTTCAAATGATTCTCCTGCCTCAGTCTCCTGAGTAGCTGGGATTACAGGTGCCCGCCACCACGCTCAGCTAATTTTTGTATTTTTAGTAGAGATGGGGTTTTACCATGTTGGCCAGGCTGGTCTTAGACTCCTGACCTCAGTTGATCCACCTGCCTCAGCCTCTGCATTCAGTTTATTCACATATTTTTGGTAACTCCCATGGCAGCTCCTAGGATTTCAGCGGTCTGTGGGCCAGAAAGCAGGCACCAGGGCTGACCTCAAGGCCGTATCAGAGGGCCAAGCAGAGTTCTTTTGGATACCTGCTTTTCATCCCACAGGGCCTTAGAGTCAGAGGTAAGGTAGCAACAGAGCTAGAATGGGGCAATGCACTCTTACCCTCCTTCTCAACTTTTATTTAAGCTGTGCTAAATGTTTTCTTCAAGGGAACCAGATTTAGTTCTTTACAGAATTTTCCAGTGAAATAAAACATGTTGTAATAGCTGTGTTTGAGATGAAATAAGAGGTTGTGGGTAGAGGGGAGGCACCTAAAGGAAAAGAGGAAAGGTGCCTGGGCTACCTATGCAGATAACCTGGAGTGGACTTCACTGTGGACTCGTGGTACTAAGGCTTGGCCTGGACAGGCAGTCTAGGGGGTATGGGAATACACGGTGTGGTTGTTCAACTATTTGCAAAGGTCAACCAAATAGACCACATGTTCGCAAAGTATCATCTGAGGAAATTAAGTACCTTCTTAGCCCTCTCAGTCATAAATTTGAACAAATTTTAATACACTTCCCTCATGCCCTTCTATATAAAACTTAATACCATTAGTTCCCCATTCTTGACATTTTATTTCAGTTTTTATTATATATTTATTTGAAATATTTATTAAATTATCTGACCTACAGAACTAAATTCTTCTCCTTTTGTTATTTCTTATGTCCTATACCATATATGTACCTATTTATATATATATTTATGTATTTTTAAAATTTTTATTTATTTTATTTTTTGAGACAGTCTTGCTCTGTCGCCCAGGCTGGAGTGCAGTGGCATGATCTTGGCTCACTGCAACCTCTGCCTCCCGGGTTCAAGCAGTTCTGCCTCAACTTCTGAGTAGCTGGGATTACAGACACCCACCACTACACCCGGCTAATTTTTGTATTTTTATTTTATCTTATTCATTTATTTATTTTTGAGATGGAGTCTCACTCTGTCGCCCAGGCTGGAGTGCAGTGGTGCAATCTTGGCTCACTGCAACCTCCACCTCCTGAGTTCAAGAGATTCTCCTGCCTCAGACTCCCGAGTAGCTGGGATTATAGGCGCCCGCCACCATGCCCAGCTAATTTTTGTATTTTTAGTAGAGACAGGGTTTCACCATGTTGACCAGGCTGGTCTTGAATTCCTGACCGCAGGTGACCCGTCTCGCCTCCCAAAGTGCTGGGATTACAGGTGTGAGCTGGCCGGGCACAGGTGATGGGGTCTTGCTCTGTCCCCAAGGCTGGAGTGCAGTGGTGCCATCACAGCTCAAAGCAACCTTGAGCTCCCAGGTTCAAGTGATCCTCCTACCTTACCCTCCCAAGTAGCTGGTACTACAGGTATACTCCACTGTGCCTGGCTATTTTTACTCTTAAAAATACATGTGGGCTGGGCACGGTGGCTCACGCCTGTAATCCTAGCACTTTGGGAAGCCAAGGTGGGTGGATCCCTATAGCCCAGGAGTTCGAGACCAGCCTGGGCAACATGGCGAAATCTTGTCTCTGCAAAAAATACAAAAAATTTAGCTGGTGGCACATGCCTATAGTCCCAGCTACTTGAGAGGCTGAGGTGGAAAGATCACTTGAGCCCGGGAGGTCAAGGCTGCGGTGAGCCATGATCGTGCCACTGCACTCCAGTCTGGGCAACAGTGATCCCATCTGAAAAAAAAAAACAAAAAAAAAAATGCAATTTAGGGCCAGGTGGGGTGGCTCACGCCTATAATCCCAGCACTTTGGGAGGCCAAGGCAGGGGGATCGCCTGAGGTCAGCAGTTTGAGACCAGGCTGGCCAACATGGTGAAAACCCCTCTCTACTAAAAGTATAAAAATTAGCCAGGCATGGTAGTGTGTGCCTGTAATCCCAGCTATTCAGGAAGCTAAGGCAGGAGAATCGCTTGAACCCGGGAGGAGGTTGCAGTGAGCAGAAATCGAGCCACTGCACTCCAGCCTGGGGGGCAGAGGGAGACTCTGTCTCAGAAAAAAAAAAAAAAATGCAATTTAGTTCTCTAGGCTTTTCCATTTAATAGTTTTATATCCTCCTGTTTCTAAATCTGGATGACAGTGTAACACTCCAGTAAGGTGAATTGTGAATTGCTGAAATTCTTCAGATGTTTAAAAGAGTTTTCAGTATTCCTCATGTTAGAATTAATGCAGAGAAAAATTTTATCCTTTGAACTAGTTACATGTTGTGGACTTCTGGCCTGAGGCTCTTGGGGATTATGTGACATATTGGGAAGGGACACATTTCTGCTCTGTGGCTGTTACTAGAAATCTAGCCAGCAAATCAGACTACGTTTGTGAGAAGACAGGAAGGCACAGATTAGGGTTGAGCCAGCCTTCAACAGGTTTGGCTGGCAGTAGACACAGTGGAGCACATCTTAACTATTTTGGTAGGTCCTGGGTTTCTCTTGGTAGTTTTTGATAGAAAGGGGAATGGTGTGAGGAAAAAGTGGGCATACATTTCACCTTTCCACTGATAAGGCAGGTGGAATTGGGATAGTCAGTGGATGGGCCAATAGCTGGTGGCTGTGAGAAGAATAAGGATTTCCATACTGGTGTGTCATATTTACAGATAGGTTGTGACCTAAAAAGTTTTTTAAAAAACAGCAGTTAGGGCCTGGGCGCGGTGGCTCACGCCTGTAATCCCAGCACTTTGGGAGGCCGAGGCGGGCGGATCACAAGGTCAGGAGATCGAGACCATCCTGGCTAACAACGGTGAAACCCTGTCTCTACTAAAAATACAAAAAATTAGCCGGGCGTGGTGGCAGGTGCCTGTAGTCCCAGCTACTCGGGAGGCTGAGGCAAGAGAATGGCGTGAACTCGGGAGGTGGAGCTTGCAGTGAGCTGAGATCATGCCACTGCACTCCAGCCTGGGCGACAGAGTGAGACTCCTTCTAAAAAACAAAAACAAAACCAAAACAGTAGTTAGGGTACACACACACAAATTCTAGTGATTTTCCCCCCAATACTACCCTTGACTTTTGAAATTCTTGCTTTCTCAGAGTTTACAACATCCTTACCAAACAGCCTTCTCCCTCCTTACCACAAAAAAAGAAAAAAAAGTTCTGGGGTTGAGGGGACACTCCATTCTTAACATCCTCTATTATCCCAGCCCAATTCCCCAGCTCTCACTGGGACTAGTTGTACCTATCTTCATCATTTGGTCCCAGCATGACTACCTGTTGGTGCATGAGCTGATCTCTCCTAACCTAACAGCCAGATGCTAGTCTCTGGTACTCAGATGCTGGGCTGCATCAGATAGGATGCACAGGATCATCCTGGAAGCTTGTTGACATAGATTCCTGTGCAACACTCAGATATAGTCTTAATGTAGATTTGTGTTGGGTGGTATGGTAGGTAGAATAATGGCCTACCACTCTGAAACATATGAATATGTTACCTAACATGACAGAAGAGAATTAAGTTGCTAATCAGATGACTGTAAAATAAATTATCCTGGATCATCTGGATGGGCCTAATGTAATCACAAAGGTTGTTTCCTTGCCTTTTCCAGCTTGGCTCTGGCTCCCTTCCTCCAGCAAGGGTGGGTTGAGCTCTCACATGGCACCACTTTGACCTCTTCTGCTTCCCTCTTCTACACTGAAAGACTTATGGGCCAGGAGCAGTGGCTCGCACCTGCAATCCCAGCACTTTGGGAGGCCGAGGAAGGCAGATCGCTTGGCCCCAGGAGTTCAAAACCGTCCTGGGCAACGTGGCGAAACCCCATCTAGAAAGAAAAGAAGAGAAGGGGAGGGGGGAGGGGAGGAGGAGTTACATATATACACATACACACACACACACACGTACGTACATACATACATACACGCTAACTGGACGTGGTGGTGCGTGCCTGTAGTCTTAGCTTTCCAGGAGACTGAGGTGGGAGGACCACTTGAGCCTGAGATCGCGCCAGCCTGGGTGACAGTCAGACCATGTCTCAAAAAAAAAAAAAGATTTGTGATTAGGATTCTTAGTCCTCACCTGTATTATTTTCCTATTGCTACTGTAACAAATTACCACAAATTTACTGGCTTAAAACGACGCAAGTCTGTAGGTCAGAAGTCTGACACGGGTCTTAACTGGTGACCCGAGTCAGATTTGGGACACAAAGAACAGAAACCAAGCTGTGCAGGTTTCTGACAGGCAGTCCGGTTAGGGAGCCCTACAGCAACCCGCCGGTCCTCTCTCTCAGGCAGTTGCTGCCATGGCTCATTATTCCAACCGGTTCTCCTCAGCCCAGTCTATCTCAGTGGCTCCATTCATAGGGTGATGTGCCCGGCGGGACACTAACCCTAACCAAGCAGAGAGACGGTCATGCCCGTCACGACCTCGGCCCTCGCCCCGGCCGAGGCTTCTCCTGCAGGTCGCGAGAATCAGGTGCGTCAGCGGCGTCCGGGAACGCCGGAAGAGCCAGTGGAGCGGCTCTGTAGTCCAAAGTACCCCGTCGACCCCAGCACGGCCGCTCCACCGCCTCCTACTAGACCCAGTCCTAGGGACTGCGCAGTCGCAGAGCTCCGTCCGAGTACCGGAAGCCTAGGCCGCCAGCACTTCCGGGAAGTGACTTCGTCTCCGAAGCCGATTGGTTGTTGCTTTGCTCCCGCTCGCGTCGGTGGCGTTTTTCCTGCAGCGCGTGCGTGCTGCGCTACTGAGCAGCGCCATGGAGGACTCTGAAGCACTGGGCTTCGAACACATGGGCCTCGATCCCCGGCTCCTTCAGGTACACGCGAGGGCTGGGGAGCCGGCTTACGGGCTCTGCGGGGCGCGCCATCGCTCTTCACGCCGCTTAAACCGCACTCCTGGTCTCCTAGGCTGTCACCGATCTGGGCTGGTCGCGACCTACGCTGATCCAGGAGAAGGCCATCCCACTGGCCCTAGAAGGGAAGGACCTCCTGGCTCGGGCCCGCACGGGCTCCGGGAAGACGGCCGCTTATGCTATTCCGATGCTGCAGCTGTTGCTCCATAGGAAGGCGGTGGGTAACGAGAGAGCTGAGGGGAGGAAGGAGGCAAGCTCCAAAAGCCTGGGAAGGGCGGTTCCCGTTTGTCTGAGGTTTTCTCTTGGCCCTGTACCCGTGCAGGCCGGCCTGAGAACCTGGTGCTGTTGTGGCAAACACTCTGGGCTGGAGTTCAGGTTACCTGGATCCTTGTCCGGCCCTGCTACCACCAACCTTTGCGTAATCTTCGACAAAGCACTTTCTTTTCTTTCTTACATAAAAAGGGAGCACATCTATCTTTTCTACTTACAGAATTATTGTGAGAATTTAGCTTCATAACTAGTATATTTAAAGTAGCTTCATAAACATCAGAGTACGTTATTCTTTTTGAGGGTCAGTGCCTGGGGAAAGAACTCTCCACTCTGCATTCTGAGGCGGGCAGAGTGATAGATGATCAAAGTACTGCTAAGTAGTGTTGCAGCAGATGGGTCAGGTAGGCTGGAAGGGGTAGAGACACGTGGACACAGTGATGTGCACTGCTGGCTAAAGTCTTTAATTCATATTCTTACAGACAGGTCCGGTGGTAGAACAGGCAGTGAGAGGCCTTGTTCTTGTTCCTACCAAGGAGCTGGCACGGCAAGCACAGTCCATGATTCAGCAGCTGGCTACCTACTGTGCTCGGGATGTCCGAGTGGCCAATGTCTCAGCTGCTGAAGACTCAGTCTCTCAGAGGTGGGTAAAAGCAGCAAAGCTGTACCTGAATGAAGCTACACAGTGTTGTGGGGTTGGGTTTGTGTGTGGCAAAAAAGAGAGCAAATCCAGGGTGAGATCCCAGCTGCTACATTCTGCCTGATACTGATGTCTTGTCCACCTCCAGAGCTGTGCTGATGGAGAAGCCAGATGTGGTAGTAGGGACCCCATCTCGCATATTAAGCCACTTGCAGCAAGACAGCCTGAAACTTCGTGACTCCCTGGAGCTTTTGGTGGTGGACGAAGCTGACCTTCTTTTTTCCTTTGGCTTTGAAGAAGAGCTCAAGAGTCTCCTCTGGTAAGGCAGAGGTGGGTGTGATTCCTAGTGGAAACATCTGTGAGTAGGAGTTGGGACGAGAGCGGGGTGGCTGGAAGCCAGTTACTACAATTAGCGGCCCTTGGAGCTGGAATCTGATTGGATTCTTTCATTTCAGTCACTTGCCCCGGATTTACCAGGCTTTTCTCATGTCAGCTACTTTTAACGAGGACGTACAAGCACTCAAGGAGCTGATATTACATAACCCGGTAAGAGGCACCATGGAAGTGTCTGGAGCTGCAGACATGGGGGCACTCAAAGATCTTGATGCTCCTTCTTAGGGGATTCTTTGGTGTTTTGGGTGGGACAGTTGTCACTTAGTGTCTCATCCCTGGTCCTGAGGCACTAAAAGCCAGTGGTCTAAAATCACTATATATTTCCAAGTGTCCACAAGGGATGTCTCCCATTTCAGGCCATGCTTTGCCTAAAATCCTGAGCAAGGACCTCCCCTAAGGGGCAGCTTTGAGCAGCAGAGCCAAAATTCTAAGGCCAAGGTTCTCATCTTAAGTAAACTTTACCTTTCAGAAGGCCTGTTGCTGTAGGCCTTCCCTTCTCAATGTAGTCCTTTATTGATGTGTTTCTCTTTGTTCTGTGCTTGGAAGTATTTTATATATGGTTTATATGGTATACTCTATATACCACAACAATAAGGGCATTTTGGGGTTTTAGGTTACAAAACTGGAGGAGAGTTAGGGTGCCAGGAATCCTTAAATGCATCTCTGCCCTGCACTAAAATGTTGATGCTTTGGTTGGTGAGTAAGTGGCCATACATCTCTGTGTTCTTTTCCTTTCTGACCACAGGCCTGTTTTCTCCCCCAGGTTACCCTTAAGTTACAGGAGTCCCAGCTGCCTGGGCCAGACCAGTTACAGCAGTTTCAGGTGGTCTGTGAGACTGAGGAAGACAAATTCCTCCTGCTGTATGCCCTGCTCAAGCTGTCATTGATTCGGGGCAAGTCTCTGCTCTTTGTCAACACTCTAGAACGGAGTTACCGGCTACGCCTGTTCTTGGAACAGTTCAGCATCCCCACCTGTGTGCTCAATGGAGAGCTTCCACTGCGCTCCAGGTCTGCCACAGCCAACATCTTGGTTGAAATAAGTTGAAGATAGAGATGGAAAGGGGACCCAGTTAATGTTCTGTTTCTTAAGCACTTAGTAGGGGCCAGGTTCTAGATGTGACTGATACTGACTTCTCCCAACTCCAAAATACCTATCATGGCCGGGCACCATGGCTTATGCCTGCTGTAATCTCAGCACTTTGGGAGGCCGAGGTGGGCGGATCGCCTGAGGTCGGGAGTTCAAGACCAGCCTGGCCAGCATGGTGAAACCCCGTCTCTACTAAAAATACAAAAATTAGCTGGACATGGTGGCAGGCACCTGTAATCCCAGCTACTCAGGAAGCTGAGATAGGAGAATTGCTTGAGCCCGGGAGGTGGAGGTTGCAGTGAGCCAAGATCGTGCCATTGCACTCCAGCCTGGGCAACAGGAGTGAAACTCTGTCTCAAAAAAACAAAACCCTATAATTATTTCCAGCTGAGGAAACTGAGGCACAATGATTAAGTAGGGAAAGAGATTAAGAAGAGGAAAAAGGAAAGGGTGATGGTTACTGTGATACTAGGGATGGCAGAGGGGCCTTGAGCTTGCTCTGCTGAGCTGATTCTCTGTCCGCTCTTGGCTGCAGGTGCCACATCATCTCACAGTTCAACCAAGGCTTCTACGACTGTGTCATAGCAACTGATGCTGAAGTCCTGGGGGCCCCAGTCAAGGGCAAGCGTCGGGGCCGAGGGCCCAAAGGGGACAAGTGAGTCCATGCCTCTTTTTCCATCCCTCCCCAGAAATGCCTGTGTTTTTAGCTTTTTGGAAGACTAAAACCAGAGTGCACAGAGCAGGGAGCCAAACCTTCCAGGCCTGGCTGGTAGTGTAGCCCAGAGAGCCCCACAGGTTCTTGCTCAGCTGCCTGGATATAGAGAAGGGAGTGGATGGTGCACACTGCACATGCACCACGAAGGGCAAAACTGCCGGGGTTGTTGGCATGCAGAGCCCTGCAGGGGAGATGGCCCATCCTGCATTGGTGGTATGGCTGTGACTTGCAGGGAGCATATTTCTGAAGGGAAAAGGAACCCCCCAACTCTCCAGTCTCTGTCCAGCTGAAGGCTTGACTAGCTCAGAGTTGGTTTTCAGATCACCATGTAGGGCAATGAGTTCTGCTGTTGTCCCAGAACAGAGGTCAGGCCGAGATTTGGGTACATGTCAAAGCTCCAGGCTGCCCCAGGAAACCCTGACTCCTGGAACGGTTCCATTGTTGGAGAGTCCTCTGTATGTCAGGGTCTTATGATCTACAGGCATTTAGAGGAAGTTTTGCTGATTCAGCGTGTGAATACGTGCCCAGAGGAGAGGAAGGGTCCGGCTGACATTGAGTTATCTCTGCAGGGCCTCTGATCCGGAAGCAGGTGTGGCCCGGGGCATAGACTTCCACCATGTGTCTGCTGTGCTCAACTTTGATCTTCCCCCAACCCCTGAGGCCTACATCCATCGAGCTGGCAGGTAGTAGTGTGACGGCCCAGGCATCTGCATGGTAGGCACACTGAGGGACTTGGGGTGTGCTGGACAGAGCCTGCGGGTTGGAGATGCAAGCTGCACTGTCTTCCCTTGCAGGACAGCACGCGCTAACAACCCAGGCATAGTCTTAACCTTTGTGCTTCCCACGGAGCAGTTCCACTTAGGCAAGATTGAGGAGCTTCTCAGTGGAGGTAAGAGCCTGGCTCTTGTGGTCCTGGGCCAGGGTCAGGCTTCTTCCACAATGCTTTAAAACTCCATGATAATGATGACAGAGGTCACAACATAGTGTGACAGGCCACTTCCACCATCCATCCTTGTTCTGCCCTGAGTGGCAGGCACTGTCCCCCTTGAGAGATAAACAAATTGAGGTAATTTGTCCAAAGTTGTGTTTACTGTCTGCCTCATGAGCGTTGAGTGACCTGACAGGCTGCTGTGACAGCTCAGGACAGCACCTGACCCCAGGGTGCTGGGTGGTCCTGGACTGCTCTCTGTGGCCGTCGTCATGGGGGTACCTTGACTCCCAAGGAATACCATGGGGTACTCCTTGGGAGAGGAGAAGAGAGTGGGTGACGGGTTCTTGGGCTTGGGGCCACACAGGCCACCCCCATCCACACACGGGGACAGATGGGTCATCACTGTAAGAGGCCCAGGTGCAGCTAACCTGCATGTTCGGCATCCCAGGAAGGCGGTGGGTCCCCTGCTGCTTTCCCCCAAGGGGGAGGTGCAGGAGGCCTCCAATGAAGACCCTATCCTAAGGCCTCAGCCTGTGGGACCCTCGCTGCTTTCTTCTCCACAGAGAACAGGGGCCCCATTCTGCTCCCCTACCAGTTCCGGATGGAGGAGATCGAGGGCTTCCGCTATCGCTGCAGGGTGAGCTGCTGTGGTGGGGAGGGGAATGAGAGGGGAGGGGCTGTGGCCCAGGGATTGCACCGTCTTGCTGAGCATCCAGGTGTGAAGGGAGGATTTGGGGCAGCCTCACTGTCTTGACCTTCAGTGTCCACCCCCAGGATGCCATGCGCTCAGTGACTAAGCAGGCCATTCGGGAGGCAAGATTGAAGGAGATCAAGGAAGAGCTTCTGCATTCTGAGAAGCTTAAGGTGAGTGGATGGGAGGTGAGAAGGGGATAGATCTTAGACGGCTGCCCTTTTTGGAGACTGGCTGAGCTCCGAGTGGTGAGAAGCAGAGAACTGGGCAGTTTTCTGGCCTTTGGCACGGAAGGGGAGGAAATGGACCCAGAATCATGGAAGGAAGCCAGTCTGTTCTGCTTGGTGGTAAATTGGCACAACCTTATGGTGGACACTGTCCAGCAGAATTACGAGCTCATGTGTCCTTTCATCCGAAATTCCACTTCTGGAACTTAATCCTGGTCACGCTTGTGAATGTGCACAGTCAAGCATGTGCCTGCATTCATCCATCCATGGCATTATCATGGAACCAAAAGATGGAAACAGCCTGGGGCCACCATAGGGGGCTTGCTAGGTAAACTCAGGTGCATTCAGAGCCGAAGGTTACATGGGAAGGAATGAGGTTGGTTGCGTGTCCATATGGAACAGTCTGTAAGATGATGCCCAGCAAAAAGGGGTACAGGGTACTGCCATGTGTGTCATGGAGAAGGGAAAATGGAAACATCCACTCCCGGGAGGTTCTGAGAAATGCACAGAAGCAGCTGCCTCATGCCTTTTGAAACACATGAGTGTGTTATCCTTTGAAAAGCTAGGTCTGTGAAGTCACAGAAGAAAGATGCTCACTCTGTGGCTCTCCCTCTTCCCCCGGCAGACATACTTTGAAGACAACCCTAGGGACCTCCAGCTGCTGCGGCATGACCTACCTTTGCACCCCGCAGTGGTGAAGCCCCACCTGGGCCATGTTCCTGACTACCTGGGTGAGTGTGGCCTGACAGGGCAGGAGGCAGCAGGCTGGGGAAGTGGCATTAATTTCTCCACTGCTGGGTCAGCCCCTGTGCTTGGTGCTGGGGATGCTCAGGCAGAATAGAACCTGGAGACCCTGGCAGCACGCGGGCATGTAAACAGGCACACCCCTGTGTTTCTAAACTTGTTTGCTTGGTCCCACGGGTTAGCTGTTGCTGTCTCCATTTTAGAGATGAGGAAATTGAGGTAGTGCAGGGTGGGTGGCAGACCCAGCATTTCAGGCCAGGTCGTCTCCAGAGCTGGGCCAAATGGCCATCCATGGGTCGAAGGGAGTGAACAGGTTTGGGAGAGAGTCACGGGCAGGAGGCAGAGAGAGCCACCTGTGCTGCAAAAGACTCAAGATTAGCAGCTGCTGAAGAGGCATCTGTGGAGTCTCTGGGTAAGAACAGTCAGCAGGGAGACAGACTCTGTAAGGCCTAAACCGACAAGGTAGCAAGAGAAGAGCCAGTGGTGGTGCGAGGGATGCAGGGGTTGGCAGGCATGAGGTCAGGACCCTGGGATTGGTTTCTGTAGTGCAGCCCAGGCTAGAGCTTTATGTGGCCATTAATACTGGGCACCTCTCCTCATCTTTGGCAGGCTCTGGGTAATGACTTCTTTCAGTGTCTCATAGGAGGTGTTTTTGGTAATGAGTATGTGTGACTTTTATGCCTAAAATGGATTGAAGGAGGAGAGTGGTGGAGAGGAGGCTGTGGGCAGCAAGTGCAGGACCCTTCCCAATGCCACAGGGTCTGCTCAGCCTGGACCTGCAGCCACCCAGCGGGTGTGGTGTTGCTGCTATGGAGGTGACAAAGGGTGGAGATGGAATGTTCCAGGGCAGGAAAAGCCTGGGCACTGGGAAAGGAAGGATCCAGAAGAGATGGGAACATGAAAATGCCAGAGAGAGCGGTGGGGGCCGGGTTCCCATGGGACAGTGAGCTGGAGGAGACCCCAGTCCAGGTCCTGGCCTGAGATGTGAGGAGGGGAGTTGGGAGGGTGGGTAGGGAGGGAGAAGGTAAGGCTAGAACTTTGGCCTCAGGAACCCAGTCTGCTCGTATAGCGGAGTCATTTGCCAAGGTGTGGCCAGGAGGTTTAGAAGGGCCAGGAGAAGGTGGAAAGGTGTCAGGATGTGGGATGTTTGACATTTGAAGGGGAGGGCCCAGGTGTGGTTGGCCTGGGGGAGTCCATGGGGTGGGCGAGGTGAAGATAGAGCCAAGATCAGGTGCAGCTGGGATGCGGGGCCCCCTGTATCGGTAGTAATGGGCCACAGGTGAAGAAACTACCTGTTGACTTTTATTTCAGCTGCATTTTCTTTCTTTAAGGATGTCTGTCTTTTTCTTTCTTGTTACATGTTTGTTGTAACAAATCTAAACAATATAGGAGAGTGATTTAAATAGTGGAAGTCTAAGGTGCTCACATTCTCCTGGCCCTGTGCAGATGTGGTAGTGAATAGATGTATGTCATAGGCTGCCAGTTGGGTCAGAATTGGAGAATTTGCTGCAGAATCAGCGGGAGGGCAGGGATGGGAGCAGTAGCGGTGAGCCCACTGCTCAGGCAAGCATCTCTTCCAGTTCCTCCTGCTCTCCGTGGCCTGGTGCGCCCTCACAAGAAGCGGAAGAAGCTGTCTTCCTCTTGTAGGAAGGCCAAGGTACGGCTCCTGGGGACTGCGGACAGCCCCAGGACTCCTCCCAACCTGCTCTTTTGTCATCACCAGAATGTGGAGGCGCCTTGCCCTAGGGAGGGGAAGAGAGGGTGCCCTAGGGAGGGGAAGAGGGGGCACCCTAGAACCGGGCCCCAAAAATCTGGTGTGGGATAGGGGTACTTTTGCAGCCGCCTGCAGGCCCTGCTTTTCTTTCCCCAGCTGCCTTTCCCCATTTCCTTATCTGCAGCACCTTCTGGTCGTGTTGGCCAGTTGCCGGCACGGCTCCCTTTGTGTCTTTCTCAGTTGGGTGGGTGGGTGGGTGGATTGTCTGTCGGCCTGATTCCCCCAACTAACCTGTGACTTTGCCTCCTTAGAGAGCAAAGTCCCAGAACCCACTGCGCAGCTTCAAGCACAAAGGAAAGAAATTCAGACCCACAGCCAAGCCCTCCTGAGGTTGTTGGGCCTCTCTGGAGCTGAGCACATTGTGGAGCACAGGCTTACACCCTTCGTGGACAGGCGAGGCTCTGGTGCTTACTGCACAGCCTGAACAGACAGTTCTGGGGCCGGCAGTGCTGGGCCCTTTAGCTCCTTGGCACTTCCAAGCTGGCATCTTGCCCCTTGACAACAGAATAAAAATTTTAGCTGCCCCAGTTTGTGCCTCCAGCATATGAAAAGGACTATTTGAATCCCCAAAACATCAGGAGTCGGGAAACTTCGGAAGACAGCTGTGCCTGGCTCTGTGGCTGCATGCAGTGCTTCACTTGGCCAGCAGAGGTCAGCTGTGCCGAGCTGCCCCAGCCATGAGAAGAGAAGCCTGCCCTTGCTGGCAGGTGGCTATGGCCGGCCCAGAGCCTTCCTGCCCAGCTCCTGCAGCCCTGCTGCCTGGGATCAGGCTGGGAGATGGGCCTTCCTGACCGCCAGCCTTCCTCTCCCCGAGCACACGCACATGTAGATTCGGGGGGAAGCTGCCTGCTCTTCCTTAGAGGAGCCGGGGCAGCTATCTGCTGGTCCCTTTCTGAACAACTGTTGATGTGTGAGCTGTGTCTGTGTGTTATGTGCATAAGCGGTGGTGTGACATACACACATGTGTACTGTCCCTTATGCCCTGGCCTGAGCTCTCCAGCTGCCTTCTCAGCCTGAAGGCTGGGCTTCTCTGCTGGCTTGGGGTCCTAGATTGCATGTCACCTGCTTACCAGGCGTCACAAGGCCATGCTGGGGGCATGAGGAGGTTGGGGCAGCAGGAGAGTGGGGAGAAACTAGGAGAGTGCCTGAGTATTTTAGAAAGAACCAAGTTTTTTCTCGGCAAAAGCTTATACAGAGACGAAGGAGTCTGTGTCTTTGGTCATGGTAGGACTGAAGCTAGCAGGACCCGAGATTTGGGGCCTCCATGATCCCTGCTCCTCTTCTGTTAACACCCAAGGATTTCCACGAAGCCAGTGTGTATGATGGGGGCAGGACAGTGGTACTTTCTGGGCAGGTGTGAACTAGAGCTGCTAAGGAGCTGCAGACGATATTCTTGCAGTTTGGTGGTTAGCAGTATTCAGAAGGACAAAGAGTTAATGGAACTGGAGATAAAGAGCAACCATTTGAGCATCTGCTGGGAGACATCTGTCAACTGCACAGACCCTATCAGTGGGCATCGCTGCCACCTCTTGGAAGACAAGACAGGGCAGAGAGTGCCTGCAGTGCTGAGGCCTGGTCCTTGCCCTAGGTTGGCCTTCCCACCTGGCTTCATGGAGTGCTGAGGCTGGTCCTGGGGACAGTGAGTGCTCTGGATGTTTTAGCCAAGCTGTGTTCTAAAGTGATGCACAGTCTGTCTCCACTATGTTTATCTCTCTGACCCTGTCACTTCCAAGCACACCCTACCAAGAGCTTGTATCCCAGAGCCACCCTGATGGAGAGGAGATTGGTTTCCCCAGTGATTTCCTTCTTTGGGGGGTGGGGTAGAGGAACATGGAGCCAGCCTTATGCTGTATTCGTGCCTGGGGATAGCAGGGTCTGGGCCCGGAGCAGAGGAGCTTGGGTAAAGATATGGAGGCTGTTTGTTCAAAGTGTACATTCCTTCCTCCTAACGGCATCCCTGGGGGAAGCTATTTCTATGTTTTAGGTGGGGAAGATGAGGCTTAGAAGTTGCCTGGTGAATGAGGTTCTTTGCAAGATTTGGGTTCTGGCCTGTCCACCCTGGTGGAGTAGCTGGTACCACGGGGGCTTTTGCTGTGGGGTTAGGCACCATGTGGGCGCTCTGGGGCCAGGGCATTGGAAAGAATGGGAGGATTGCTTGAGCCCAGAAGTTCGAGGCTGTATGATCACGCAACTGCACTCCATCCTGGGCAACATACTGAGACACTCTCTCTCTTTTTTTTTGAGACAGAGTCTCACTTTGTTGCCCAGGCTGGAGTGTGGTGGTGCAATCTCAGCTCACTGCAACCTCTGCCTCCTGGGTTCAAGCAATTCTTCCCGCCTCAACCTCCTGAGTAGCTGGGATTACAGGTGGCCGCCACCACGCCTGGCTAAGTTTTTTATATTTTTAGTAGAGACAGAGTTTCACCATGTTGGTCAGGCTGGTCTTGAACTTCTGACCTCAGGTGATCCACCCACCTCGGCCTCCCAAAGTGCTGGGATTACAGGCGTGAGCCACCATGCCTGGCCGTGAGACTCTATCTTTAAAAAATAAAGAACAGGAAGGTCCATCTTCGTGTCCTGAGACTACAGAGAGAAAGTAAGTATAAATGGCTCGTTCAACACCCCACCTGGGAGGCAGGTACCATGTGCCCATTTACGTGTGAACAAACAGGCACTCAGGGTTGGCCTCTTGGACTTAGTCTGGCCAAAGCCTGTGCCCTTTGCACAAATGTGCAAATCAGGACTGGGGCAGGCCTTGGATGAGGGTATGTGTGCTATGGGCAAATGAACCTAGGGCTGTCCAGGGCCAAACAGCACAGAGGGCATGTGGGCCTGGAAGGGAGGAAGGAGGTGTGGCACATGCTGCGTGGAAGCCTAAGGCTTCACTAAACAGCAGAGAAGCTTGGATGGTTTTCAGGCTGGTGACGCCCTGGGCTGAAGCAGGAAGGTCAGGAGAATGCAGTGGCCTCTCCACTCTGGGCTGGCACAGTTTTGCCCACATGTATACCTGAATGGGTGCCTGGCTGTGTGGACTGTGCTATGGTCTGGAATCAGATGGACAAGGCACAGTCTATGAGGCAAGGAGCAGAGATGGTCAGCCAATGCAGACTGCTCAATAGTCATGTTGGGAGTTCAGGGTACTGGAGGGCTATAAGGGGCCCTCACCCAGTTGGAGAGAATGCTGCCTTCCTTGAGAAAGTGAGGTTTATGCTGAGATGGGAAGGGTGGGAGGGAACAGCAATCCTAGCAGGGGAGACAGCATGTGCAAATTCCCTGGGGTGGGAGGGATCCCTGCACATTTGAGGGTGAAAAGACCAGAGGGTTGTTACCAAAATATGCAATGGGGGCTGAAAATTTGATTTTTTAAAAAAATGTAATAGTCACATATTAAAAATTCAAAGGATACAGAAGATGGAGGGTTTTTGAAAACAAGGGCATTCTTTTTTTTTTTCTTTCTTTTTTTTTTTTTTTTTTTTGAGATGGAGTCTTGTTCTGTCACCCAGGCTAGAGTGCAGTGGCGCCATCTCGGCCCAGTACAACCTCCGCCTCCTGGGTTCAAGCGATTCTCCCGCCTCAGCCTCCTGAGTAGCTGGGATTACAGGCACCCACCATCATGCCTGGCTAATTTTTGTATCTTTGTGGAGATGGGATTTCACCATGTTGGCCAGGATGAACTCCTGACCTCGGGTAATCCACCCGCCTCGGCCTCCCAAAGTTCTGGGATTACAGGCGTGAGCCACCACACCCGGCCAACAGCATTCTGATGATATAGCTGGTGATAGCAGATGGGAGGACAGTGGTGTGCCCAGAAACCTCTGGACCTGGAGCACAAAAGGCTCAGGGTGCATTCCCAGCCCAGCGGATTCTCTGCCTGCATCTGCTAAGGATGAATGACTCAGCTTTGGGGGAATTAGTTGTGAGACTTTGGACTTCAGGGGCGGGGCCCCAAGAGGCAATGGTGATAAAGTTGAATTTGAGCAGGGAAGGTGCCCCGTCAGCTGTCATCCTTTTCCCCAGGAACATCATTATGTAAGACTCCTGCCTTGTGGAACAGGCTGTGAGTTGCTGCTCTTCCATTCCTCACAGCCATGTTTACAAGGGTAAGGAAGGGAAGGAGTGGTTCATCATTGCAGAGAGGAAGGTGCCTTGGCCAAGCAGACCTGCTCTGTGCCAGGCATGACACTGGGCAAATGCACAGTATTTAGTTTATTTATCCTGAAATGCTTTCAGAACTCAATGCATCCAGTGTCTTGTTATCCCTCCAGCCTATCCGCAAACCTGCTGAGATGCAGTAGGTTTGGCGTAGAATGCACTGAGGGTATCTGTGGCAACAGTGGGCTAAAGAACAAGGCACATCAAGGGGGTCTTCCGACGAACACCCCAAGGGTTGCCTCCACCACGCAGCATCCTGCTGTGGCTCGCCTCAATGTCCCAGGTGCTCTGTGGGCACAGTGGCCAGGTCAGACCATGATGGCCACTTTCTGACTGTATGGTCTCATACAGGGAAGGCATGTCACTTTTCTTGGCCTTCTCTAGGTTCTCACCTGTAAGTGGGGGTAAAATGTCCCCTCCAAGGGTTCCTGTAGGGGCCGAAGTGGCTCAGGCACCTGGCACGCCTGTTGCAGCCCAGCTCTGTGCTAGCACCTCCCAATGCCTGTTGAATCCACCATTGCCTTCTGGGACGTGTCTCCATACTTCCACGAGAATACGTCTAGGGCACAGCCTGGGGTTCTGCATTTGAGTTCTCACCTCCGTCCCAGGTGAGCCCAAAGGTGCTGGTCTCTAGTCCACATTTGAGAGGCAAGGCTTTAATATCCACCACACACATTTATTTTGCAGATTGGCAAAAGCTTAGATTAACTAGCCAGCCCAATGTCACTTGGCTAAGTGGTAGAGGGGAGGTGCTGTGTCTGTCAGACTCTAGTCTGGAATTGGAGGTGGGATACCTAGGTTCAAGTCCTGGATATGAAACTTCCCTGTCACATCCCTTCTCTGAGCCCAACACTTAATCCGAAAGTCATGGTGACGTGGGAGGCCAGGTAAAGTAGGAGATGTCTAGCTAGATTGGAATTTCAAATAATGAGGAATTTTACAGCATAACCGTGTCCTGTCCAATATTTGGGACATATGCTAAAACAGATATTCACTGTTTCTCTGAAATTCCAGTATAGCTGGGCATCCTGCTTTTTATTTGCTAAATGTGCAACCCTAGGTTGTGAGACCTCTCTGACCCACGCGTGGCCTCCTCCAGGAAGTCTTCCTGAGCGCCAGCCTGGGCTGGGCATCCTCCTCTGTGTGTCTGATGCTGCTCTGACCTCATGAAGCTCTAATTGCTGGGGCCTGTCCCCACCTTGATGTGGGAGCTCTTCGGAGGCAAGGACCATGCCAAGTTGCATATCTGTGTGTTCCTGAGTCCAGTGGTTCATTAAAAGCTTTTCCCTGAGAGTATCCTTAATGCCCCGGAGGTAATTCTCTTTTCACAACCTTTCTACTGCCTGAGGCTCTTGAGGACTAATTCCAGTTAAAAGCAGAGGGAAGGATGTGGTAGGAATAGCACCGCATGGAGCTGGACTCTGTGCCCCCCGTGCAGCAGGCAGGACCCTCCCTCTGTGTCACCTCCATGACTCAGGGCTCAGACAGGAAGCCCTCATCCTCGTCCTCCACGGGTCTCATGTTTGTCAAGGCCAGGGGTATCAGGCGTAGTAGGCAGGGGCCCATGCCTGCTCCCATCTGGGAGACCCTGCTTCAGGCCCCTCTCATGGCCCCTTTTGTTCCCCACAGCTCACTGTACAACTTGTTGGTTCAAGGTTAGAAAATGCAGTTTTGTGTTGAGGGGGACCATCACAGAAGACAAAGGGTCCAGGATGAAGGCTACCCATCAGCTTGCAGGGCTGGGACGAATGTGAGAAGCAACTGATGCTTGTACAGTAGAGAGTAAGCATGTAGGGCCAGTCCCCAGACCTTGCCTCCCCTCAGCCTTGACATGTGATCTCCATTTCTGGTGGCTACCCCTGCTAGTGGTCTGGCTTCACCATCTTAGCCCTGCCCAGGCTAAGACCCTCTTCCATCAGAACCTGCAGCTGGGATGCTGGGAGCAACAGTCAGGGCAGAGCTGCCCATCCTCCCATTCAGGGAGCCCTCAGGAAGTACTTGGGACCCCCCGACCCTTTATAGATTCAGCCTGCCTCATCCCCTCCATGGACCAACACGCCCTTCTCCTCAGCAGTGGGCTGGGGGACCAGGCTCCTGAACTGCTTGTGGCTGTTCCAGCAGTGGGGAGATGGAGGGTCACACAGTCCTGAGTCTATGGCTTTGACAGCAACGGGTCCTGACTGCAGCTGTATTCGTGAAGCGAAGTACCTAATACAATCACCGAAATGTACAAATTGGACCCCTATAGGTTCAAGGATTCTTGGTGTAGGAGGTATGGCCCCCGCCCCGGGAACCAGGACCTCAGCTTTTAGAAGCAAAATGCATGAATGCAGTGATGGTTAGGCCAAGTGCCAAGGGAGACAGCCAACCCCTGCTATCATGGCCAGAGGAGGGAGAGACCACTCAGGCCTGGGTGGTGGTAGAAATCCTCACTGCCAAGGAGATTGTATGCGCAGGCGTTGGGAAGGCCCGGAGAAGCCTGAGAGACAGGCTTGGCTTGGTTATAGCAGAGCTGGGTGGAGGGAGCAGATTAGTTGGCTTAGCACAGGCTTCCTGCAGGGTGGTGGTTCTTGGCCAGATTTGCCCCAGTGGGGCTTTTGGGAAAGTATAGAAATATTGTTGTTTTTTTTTTTTTGAGACAGAGTCTTGCTCCGTTGCCCAGGCTGGAGTGCAGTGGTGTGTTCTTGGCTCACTACAACCTCCATCCACCTCCCGGGTTCAAGTGATTCTCCTGCCTCAGCCTGCCAAGTAGTTGGGACTACAGGCATGTGCCACCACACCCAGCTAATCTTTGTATTTTTAGGAGATGGGGTTTCACCATGTTGGCCAGGCTGGTCATGAACTCCTAACCTCAAGTGATCTGCCCGCCTCAGCCTCCCAAAGTGCTGGGATTACAGGTGTGAGCCACTGTGCCAGCCAAGAAACATTTTAGGTTATCATATCTGGGCAATGGATGCTACTGGCTTTAGGTGGGAAGAGGCCGGGGATACTGTTAAAATCATGCAATGTACAAGGCAGCCCCCACAAGAGAGTTCTGTGGTTGAAAATGTCCGTAGTGTTGAGGTTGAGGACTCTGCTGTGGGGCAACAGTAGGAGAAGGGGTGCTAATAGTCAGGTGGTGGACAGCAGGGAATTACAGGTACATCAGTTAGGAGTGTATACAGCTGCAAGTAAGAGACCACCAGATGGCAGGAACAGTGGGAACAGAATGGTTTATCTTTTTCATGTGTCAAGATAAGTGGTGCTAAAGTCAGGCATGGTGGCCCTCACTTATAATCCCAGCAATTCAGGAGGCTGAAGAGTGAGGATCACTTGAGGCCAGGAGTTCAAGACCAGCCTGGGCAACACAGTGAAATGCCATCTCTAAAAATAAAAATTAAAAAAATTAGCCAGGGGCTGGGTGCAGTGGCTCACGCCTGTAATCCCAGCACTTTGGGAGGCTAAGGCGGGTGGATCACCTGAGGTCAGGAGTTCGAGACCAGCCTGGCCAACATGGTGAAACCCTGTCTCTACTAAAAATATAAAATTAGCTGGGCATGGTGGCACACCTGTAATTCTACTTACTCGGGAGGCTGAGGCAAGGGAATCACTTAGAACTGGGGAGGCGTAAGTTGCAGTGAGCTGAGTCACGCCATTGCACTCCAGCCTGGGCGACAGATCAAGACCCTGTCAAGGAAAGGAAAGGAGAGGGGAGGGGAGGGGAGGGGGGAGGGGGGAGGGGGGAGGAGAAGGAGGGAGGGGGAAGATTAGCTAGGCATGGTGATGAGCACCTGTAGTCCCTCCTAGCTACTCCGAAGGCTACGGTGGGAGAACTGCTTGAGCCTGGGAGGTCAAGGCTGCAGTTAGTGATGATCGTGTCACTGCACTCCAGCCTGGGTGAAAAAGTGAGACCCTGTCTCAAAAAGAAAAAAGACAGATAGGAAGAAAGAAAGAAGAAAAGAAAGAAAAAGAGAGAGAGAGAGAGAGGGAGGGAGGGAGGGAAAGGAAAGGAAGGAAGGAAATGCATCTGATTTTTGTGTATTGATTTTGTATCCTATAATTTTGCCAAGTTCATTTATTAGTTCTAGTAATTTTTTTTATTAAAAAAAATTTTCAAGATAGGGTCTCACCCTGTTGTCTAGGCTGGAGTGCAGTGGCACGGTTATAGCTCACTGCAGTCTCCATTGCCAGGACTCAAACAGTCCTCCTGCCTCAGCCTCCTGAATAGCTGGGACTACAGGCATGCCAGCATGCCTGGCTAATTATTTTATTTTTTGTAGAGATGGGGTCTCACGTTGTTGCCCAGGCTGGTCTTAAACTCCTGGGCTCAAGTGATTGTCCTGCCTCAGTCTCCCAAAGTGCTGGGATTATAGGCATGCTCCACCACACTCAGACAAGTTATAATACATTTTCAGTGGCGTATTTACTGTTTTAGAATATAAAATCTATCTGCAAATAGAGATAAGTTTAATTTTTTTCTAATTTGGACACTCTTTTCCTTCCTCCCTCCCCTTCCCCTTTCCCTTCCCCTTCCCTTTTCCCTCCCTCCCTCTCTCCCTCTCTTTCTCTCTCTCTCTTTCTCTCTTTTCTCTTTTCTTTTCATTTCATTTTTGCCAAATTGCTCTGGTTAGAACTTTTAACACTATGTTGAATAGAAGTGGTGACAGTATCTCATTCCTAGACACTTTTCGAAAGAAGACATACATGCAACCAACAAACATTTGAAAAAAAACTCAATATCACTGATCATTAAAGAAACAGAAATCAAAACCACAATGAGATACCATCTCACATCAGCCAGAATGGCTATTATTAAAAAGTAAAAAAAAGAAAAAATAACATGCTGGCAAGGTCATAGAGAAAAGGGAACACTTGTACAGTGTTGGTGGGAGTGTAAATTAGGTCAACCATTGTGGAAAGCAGCGTGGCAATTCCTCAGAGACCTAAAGGCAGAACTACCATTCGACCCAGCAATCCCATTACTGGGTATATACCCAAAGGAATGTAAGTTGTTCTGCCATAAGGACACATGCACACGTCTGTTCATTGCAGCACTATTCACAATAGTAAAGACATGGAATCAACCTAAATGCCCATCAATGACAGATTGGATAAAGAAAATGTACATATATGTCATGGAATACTATTCAGACATAAAAAAAGACATGTGATTATGTCCTTTGCAGGAACATGGATGGAGCTGGAGGCCATTATCCTTAGCAAACTAACGCAGGAACAGAAAACAAAATACCACATATTCTCACTTATATTCTCTCACTAAATGATGAGAACTCATAGGCACTAAGAGGGGAACGACAGATGCTGGAACCCAGTGGAGGGTGGGAGGAGGGAGAGGAGCAGGAAAAATAACTATTGGGTACTAGACTTAGTACCTGGGCGAGAAAATAATCTGTACAACAAACCCCCGTGACACAAGTTTACCTATATAACAAACCTGCATATGTACAACTTAATGTAAAATAAAAGTTAAAAAACAAGGCCAGGCATGGTAGCTCATGCCTGTAATCCCAGCCTTTTGGGAGGCCGAGGTGGGCGGATCACTTGAGGTCAGGAGTTTGAGACCAGCCTGCCCAACTTGGTGAAACCCTGTCTCTACCAAAAAAGGAAAAAAAAAAAAAAAGCCAGGTGTGGTGGTCCATGCCTGTAATCCCAGCTACTCAGGAGGCTGAGGCAGGAGAATTGCTTGAACTTGGGAGGCAGAGTTTGCAGTAGGCTGAGATCGCTCCACTGCACTCCAGTTTGGGTGACAAAGCGAGACTCTGTCTCAAAAAAACAAAAAACAAAGTTAAAAAACAAAACATCGGACACCACACACCACATGGCAGGATCCAGGATCCAATCAGATCAAGCTCTGGCATCACCCCACGGCAGGATCCAGTCAGATATTACCTTCCAGCATCACCTCATTGTGAGATCCAATTAGATCATGCCTCATTATTACCCTGTGCTTATAAAACCCAACCCAACCCCTAGCTCAGGAAAAGAGATTGAGCATTCCCTCCTTCCTTGCCAGTTGACTTTAAATAAAGCTTTTCTTATCTCAAAATATAAAAAAGAAAGTATCTCCCCTGGGCATGGTGGGCTCGTGCCGGTAATCCCAGCACTCTGAGAGGCAGAAGTGGGCAGATCAACTGAGGTCAGGAGTTCAAGACCAGCCTGGCCAACATAGCAAAACCCTGTCTCTACTAAAAATACAAAAATTAGCCAGGTGTGGTGCCTGGCTAATTTCCACGCCCGGCTAATTTTTGCATTTTTAGTAGAGACGGGGTTTTGCCATGTTGGTTAGGCTGGCCTTGAACTTCTGACCTTGTGATCCACCCACCTCAGCTTCCCAAAGTGCTAGCATTACAGGCATGAGCCACCACCCCCAGCCCTCTTCTGCCTGATCTTAGAGGAAAAACCTTCAGTCTTTCATCATTAAAAAAAAAAATTATTTTTCGAGACAGAGTCTTCCTCTGTTTTCCAGGCTGGAGTGCAGTGATGTAATCGTGGTTCACAGCAGCCTCAAACTCCTGGGCTCAAGTGATCCTCCTGTCTGAGCCTCCTGAGTAACTAGGACTACAGGCATGCACCACTACACCAAGATTTTTTTTGGTAGGGTCTTGCTTTGACCTTCCTTTGACCTTGCTTTGACCCTTGATTTGACCTTGCTTTGACAGTGTCTTGTAATGTTGCCCAGGCTTCTCTTGAACTCCTGGGCTCCAGTGATTCTACCACATTGGCCTCCCAAAGCAGTGGGATTATGAGCATGAATCATTGAGCCTGCCAGCCTTCTGTCACTGAGGATGATATAAACTGTGGGGTTTTTTGGTTGTTTTTGTTTTTGAGACGAAATCTCACTCTGTCGCCCAGGCTGGAGTGCAATGGCACAATCTCAGCTGACTGCAACCTCTGCCTCCTGAGTTCAAGTGATTCTCCTGTCTCAGCCTCCCGAGTAGATGGGATTACAGGCGTGTGCAACCACGCCTGGCTAATTTTTTGTATTTTTAGTAGAGATGGGGTATCACCATGTTGGCCAGGCTGGTCTCTTAACTCCTGACCTCAAGTGATCTACCCGCCTCAGCCTCCCAAAGTGCTGAGATTACAGGCATGAGCCACCACACCTGGACATTTTTTTTCATACATGGCCTTTATCATGTTGAGAGAG
This sequence comes from Homo sapiens, assembly GCF_000001405.40. Taxonomy (NCBI): domain Eukaryota; kingdom Metazoa; phylum Chordata; class Mammalia; order Primates; family Hominidae; genus Homo; species Homo sapiens. The sequence goes on along the minus strand of NC_000007.14, from coordinate 44,555,031 downwards.
TTACCTGTATTCCTTGTTTTCTGAGTGGTTTTATTATGAAAGGATGTCGGATATTGTCAGATGTCTTTTCTGCATCGGTTGAGAGAATCATGTGATTTTTTCCCTTCATCCTGTTAATCTGGTATAGTTCATTAATTGATTTCCATATGTTGAACCATCCTTATATTCCAGGAATAAAGTCTACCTGGTCATGATGTATACTCTTTTTTTGTTTTGTTTTTTTTTGGAGAGGGAGTCTTGCTCTGTGGCCCAGGCTGGAGTCCAGTTGCATGATCTCAGCTCATTGCAACCTCTGCCTCCCAGGTCCAAGTGATTCTTCTGCCTCAGCCTCCTAAGTAGCTGGGACTACAGGCATGTACCACCACAGCCGGCTAGTTTTTGTATTTTTAGTAGAGACGAGGTTTCACCATGTTGGCCAGGCTGGTCTCGAACTCCTGACCTCAAGTGATCTGCCTGCCTCGGCCTCCCAAAGTACTGGGATTACAGGCTTGAGCCACTGCGCCTGGCCAATGTGTATAATCTTTTTAATACGATGTTCAGCTTGGTTCGCTAGTACTTTTACTCAGTATTCATGTATATTTTATTCAATATTTATGAGATCTGTAGTTTTCTTGTAGTGCCTTTGGTTTTGATATCAGTATACCATAGGATCAGGATACTATGAACATGCCCTCATAGAATAAGTTAGGAAGTGTTCTTTCCTCTTCAATTTAGGGAAGAATTTGAGGAGGATTGATATTATTTCTTTTTCTTTTTCTTTTTCTTTCTTTTTTTTTTTTGAGATGGAGTTTTGCTCTTGTTGCCCAGGCTGGAGTGCAATAGCGTGATCTTGGCTCACAGCAACCTCTGCCAACTGGGTTCAAGCGATTCTCCTGCCCCAGCTTCCTGAGTAGCTGGGATTACAGACATGTGCCACCATGCCCAGCTAATTTTGTATTTTTAGTAGAGACGGGGTTTCTCCATGTTGGTCAGGCTGGTCTCAAATTCCGACCTCAGGTGATCCGCCTGCCTCAGCCTCCTAAAGTGCTGGGATTACAGGCGTTGAGCCACCATGCCCAGCTGATATTAATTCTGCTTTAAATGTTTGCTAGAATTCGCCAGTGAAGCCATCTGATCCTGGGCTTTTCTTTTGGGGGAGTTTAAAAATTACTGATTCAATTTCCTTACTAGTTATATGTCTATTTAGATTTTCTGCTTCTTCATGAATCAGTTTTGGTATGCAATGTCTAGCAATTTGTCCATTTCTTCTAGATTATCGTTTGTTATACAGTCATTTATAGTATTATATTGTATTTTTTATTTCTGTAAAATTGTAAAGTTCCCACTTTCATTTGTGATTTTGGTAATATGAGTCTTCTCTTTTTCTTAGTCACCTTACCTAAAGGTTTGTCAATTTTGTTGATTTTTTTCTTTTAAAATTTATTTTTCTGTATTATTTTATTTGTATTATAGATTGCTCCTTCAGAATATTTTTTTCAAGAAATCAACTTTTTGTTTCATAGCTGTTCTCTATAGTTTTCTATTCCCTATTTCACTTATCTCAGTTGTAGTCTTTATTATTTTTAAAAATTCTAGCTTTGAGTTTAGTTTTTCTTTTTCTAGCTCCTTAAGGTGTGCAGTTAGAAAATTTCAAATCTTTCTTCTTCTCTTCTCCTCCCCCTCCTCCTTCTTCCTCCTCGCCCTTCCTCCTCCTCCCCCTCCTCCTGTTGGGGTGATCAGACCCAACACCAGGTCGTGGGGGTGACAAAGTCCGGTGGAGTCAAAGGATTGAGACAAAGACAGTTTGAGAGATAAAGGTGGGACACCAAGGGGCCATCGTGATCATGGAGGCTGCGAAAGCCCTGCGCTCTGGGAGTCCACAGTATTTATTGGTAATCCAACAAAGAAACAGGTGGTGAGGCATGTTCTCACTCATAGGTGGGAATTGAACAATGAGAACACTTGGACACAGGAAGGGGAACATCACACACCGGGGCCCGTTGTGGCGTGAGGGGAGGGATAGCATTAGGAGATATACTTAATGTAAATGACGACTTAATGGGTGCAGCACACCAACATGGCACATGTATACATATGTAACAAACCTGCACGTTGTGCACATGTACCCTAGAACTTAAAGTATTAAAAAAAAAAAAAAGAAACAGGTGGTGAGAATGTGGAGGTCAAAAGGGCAGGCGCATGATCTACAGCTGTGACAGTTTAGCATTTATATGGAACATGTTCTGCTACTTGAGATAATGGGAATAGGAGCCTAGGAGGGCTAGAAGCAAGGAGCCAGCAAGTCTAGACACATTCCAGAGGACATTATGCAAGTCCTGCCTCAGTTTCCCTCCCAACACTCAGCTTTTTCCCAACATCCTCCTCCTCCTTCTTCTTTTTTTCTTTCTCTTCCTCTTCCTTTCTTTCCTCCTTCTCTCTTTTTTGTAGAGATGGGGTTTTGCTATGTTAATCCAGGTTGGTCTTGAACTCCTGGCCTAATATGATTCTCCTGCCATGGACTCCCAAAGTGTTGAGATTACAGGCATGAGCCACCACACCTGGCCCTTTCTTTAAAAAAATTTTTTTTTTTTAATTTTTAAAAATTTTTTTGAGACAAGGTCTTGCTCTGCTGCCCAAGCTGGAGTACAGTGCTGTAATCTCAGCTCACCGTAGCCTCGACCTCTTGGGCTCAAGTGATTCTCATCCCTCAGCCTTCCAAGTTACTGGGACTACAGGCACGTGCCACCATGCCTGGCGAATTTTTCCTATCTTTCTTGTAGAGACAGGGTTTAGCCATGTTGCCCGAGCTGGTCTCCCTCAATCCTGCCCCCTTGGCCTCCCAAAGCACTGGGACTACAGGCATGATCCACCGCGCCAGGGTGCTTTCTTCTTTTTTGATTGTGTTTATGGCTAAAAATTTTCCTCTTAGCACAGCTTTGCTGCATCCCATAAGTTTTGGTATGTTGTGTTTTCATTTTCATTTGTCTCAAGGTATTTTTATATTTCCTTTGTGATTTTTGCTTTGATCCATTGGTTGTTAAGCATGTGTTGTTTAATTTCCAAATATCATGAATTTTCAGGGTTTTTTTCCTGTAATTTATTTACTTTTTTTTTTTTTGAGCCAGGATGGAGTGCAGTGGTGTGATCATGGCTCACTGAAGCACTGATCTCCTGGGTTCAAGTAGTTCTCTCGCCTCAGCCTTCTGAGTAGCTGGTACCATAGGTGTGTGCCACCATGCCTGGCTAATTTTTGTTTTGAAACAGGGTCTCACTCTGTGGCCCAGGCTGGAGTGCAGTGGTGCGATCATGGCTCACTGCAGCCTTGATCTCCTAGGTTCAGGTGATCCTCCCACCTCAGCCTCCTGGGAAGCTGGGACTACAGGTGCACACCACTACACCAGCTAATTTTTTGTATTTTTAGTAGGGATGGGATGTCACCATGTTGCCCAGGAAGTTCTGAACTCTTGGGCTCAAGCAGTTCATTTCCCTCAGCCTCCCAAAGTATTGGGATTACAGGTGTGAGCCACCACACCCAACTTATTTTTATTTTTAGAGATGGGGTTTCTCTATGTTTCCCAGGCTGATCTTGAACCCCTGGGCCCAAGAGATCCTCCCAACTTCTCCTCCCAAAGTGCTGTGATTACAGGTGTGAGTCACCGTGCTCAGCCCCTTCTATTATCGAGTTCTAGTTTCATTCCATTGTGACTGGAAAATATACTTTCTATGATTTTAATTATTTAAAATATAACAAGGCTTGTTTTGTCGCCTAACGTACTGTCTGTCCTGAGGAATATTCCATATGCACTTGAAAGAAATGTGTATCCTGCTGTTATGGAGTGGAATGTTGTATATATACAAGTGTCCAAGTGTTTTATAAATGTTCAAGACTTCTATTTCCTTACTGGTCTTGTGGCTAGTTGTTCCATCAATTATTGAAAATGGAGTATTGAAGTCTCCAACTACTTATTGTTGCATTGTCTATTTCTCCTTTCAATGATGTAATGTTTGCTTTACATATTTTAAGGTCACATTGTTTGGTGCATATATATTATTACTTATTCTTGATGAATTGACCCTTTTAGTAATGTATAATGTCATTTTTGTCTTTTGTAACAATTCTTTATTTAAATTCTATTTTGTGGTCAGGTGCAATGGCTCATGCCTGTAATCCCAGCACTTTGGGAAGCTGAGGTGGGCAGATCACTTGAGGTCAGGAGTTCAAGACCAGTCTGTCCAACATGGCAAAACCCCGTCTCTACTAAAAATACAAAAAATTAGCTGGGTGTGGTGGGACACGCCTGTAATCCCAGCTGCTTGGGAGGCTGAGGCACAAGAATAGCTTGAACCCGGGAGACAGAGGTTGCAGTGAGCCAAGATTGTGGCACTGCACTCCAGCCTGGACAACAGTGAGACCCTGTCTCCAAAAATAAATAAAATAAAAATTCTATTTTGTCAGATATTAGTGTAGCAACTCCAGCTCTCTTTTGGTGACTATTTGCGTGGAATATCTTTTTCTATTCTTTTATTTTCAAACTATTTGTGTCCTCAGATCTAAAGTGAGTGTCTTAGACATCATATAGTTGGATCCTATCTCTAAAACAATGTATTCTGCATTCTCCAACTTTGACTACAGAGTTGAATCCATTTAAATTTGAAGTAATTACTGATAAGGATTTATGCCATTTTACCTTTTCTTTTCTGTATGTCTCATAGATTTTTGTCTTTCATTTTCTTCATTATTGACTTCTGTATTTATTTATTTATTTGCTTTTTGTTTTATTTTATTAATTTTTTGTAGAGACAGAATCTCACTATGTTGCCCAGGCTGGTCTTGAACTCCTGGCCTCAAATGATCCTCCTGCCTCAGCCTCCCAAAGTGCTGGGATTATAGACATGAGTCACCTTGCTTGGCTGGGTTTTAAAAATTGTTTTTGTAGTGACACATTTTGATTCTCTTTTCATTTCCTTTTGCATATATTCTATGTATTATTCTTCGTTGTTACCCTGGGGATTACAAATAAAATCCTAGAGTTATAAAAATCTAATTTGAATTGATACCAACTTAACAGCATACAAAACTCTACTCCTATACAGCTTTGTCCCTGCTTTAGGTTATTGGTGTCAAAAATTCCATCTTTACACATTGTTTGCTCAAAAATATAGAATTATGTTTTTTTGGCTGGGTGTGGTGGTTCACACATGCAATCTCAGTGCTTTGGAAGGTTGAGGTGGGAGGATTGCTCGAGGCCAGGAGTTTGAGACCAGCCTGGGCAACATAACAAGATCCCAGCTTTACAAAAAAGGGAAAAAGAAAGAGTGACTTGGCAGGCATGGTGGCTTAGACCTGTAATGCCAGTACTTTGAAAGTCTGAGGTGGGAGAATTGCTTGCCTCCAGGAGTTTGGGACCAGCCTGGGCAACACAGTGAGACCCCACCTCTACAAAAAATACAAGATTTTGCCAAGCGTGGTGGCATGTGCCTGTAATGGGATTCCAGCTATTTGGGAGGCTGAAATGGGAGGATCAGTTGAGCCCAGAGGTCGAGGCTGCAGTGAGCTGTGATTGCACTAATGCACTCCAGTCTGTCTCAAAACAAACAAAAAACACCCCAAAAAAACCCCAAAGTTAAAATAATTCTGGCTTTTATATTTACCTATGTAAATACCTTTATTGAGGATTTTTATTTCTTCAAACATCTTTGAGTTACTGTCTAGCATCCTTTAATTTCAACCTGAAAGAGTCCCCTTAGCATTTCTTATAAGGCGGGTCTAGTGGTAATGAACTCTCTCAGCTATTATGTATCTGAAAATGTCTTAATTTCTCACTTATTTTTGAAGGATAGTTTTGCTGAAATAGGATTTTTGGTTGATAATTTTGTTTCAGCGCTTTAAATATATCATGCTCACTGCCTTTTGACCTCCAATGTTTCTTATGAGTAATCAGCTATAATCAGCTGATAATCTTATTGAGGACACCTTGTATGTGATGAGTCACTTTTCTCTTGTTTTCAATATTCTCTCTTAGTATTTGCCTTTCAACTGTTTGATTATAATATGGCTCAATATAAGTCTCTTTGTATTTATATTCCTTGGCGTTTATTGGACTTTTCAGATATTTAATATTCATGTCTTTCATCAAATTTGGAAAGTTTTAGGCCATTATTTCTTCAAATAATCTGTCTCATTCTCCCTTTCTTCTCCTTATTGAACTCCCATAACACCCACGTTATTTTGTTTCATGGTGTACCATAAGTAGCAGTCTCTGTTCACTTTTCCTCACTCTTTTTCATGTCTGTTCCTCAGACCTGATGATTTCAATTGTCCTACCTTCAGGTTCACAGATTCTTTCTTCTGCTTTCTCAAATCTGCTCTTGAGCCCCTCTAGTGAAGTTTTTTATTTCAGTTATTATCCTTTTCAGGTCCAGAATTTCTGTGTGGTTCTTTTTTATAATTTCTCTTTATTGATATCCTCATTTTGTTCATGCATAGTTTTCCTAATTTACTTTAGTCCTCATCCATTTTTGCTCTTAGCTCTTTAAGATAGCTATTTTAAAGTTTTTTGTCTAATAAGTGTAATGTTGGGCTGCCTTGGACACAGTTTTTGTCAACTTTTTTTTTTTTTTCCTTTGAATAGGCCATCTTTTCCCATTTGTCTGACTTGTGATTTTGCTGTTGCTGTTGAAAACTGGACATTTGACTATTATAATGTGATAAGTCTGGAAATCAGATTCTCTCTCTTCCTCAGCATTTTTTTTTAATTTCTGAAGACTGTAGTAATGTTTGTTTTTATACTTTCCCAAGCTATTTTTGCAAAGACTATTCATTGTTTTTTTGTGGTCACCAAAGTGTCTGTTTCTTCAGCTTGTGTTTAGCCAGTGTTTTGACAGAGATTTCCTTGAATGCCAGGAGCTAAAAAACAACACCAACACACACACACACACACACACACACACACACACGTACACACACAAGCATACCTCTCCTATCTTTTGCAAATTGGGGTTGGGACTCTTTTAACACTTAGCTAGGCTTGTTCTGAGCCTAGGATCAGCCTGCGACAAAAGTTTCAGGGCTTTTCTGAACATGTGTTTTGCCTTGTACATGCATGCGGCATTCTCAATTTCCTGTATACATAGCCGTTTTATTTTTGTTTGAGTTGGATCTCACTCTGTCGTCTAGGCTGGTGTGCAGTGACATGATCATGGCTCACTGCAGCCTTGAACTCCTGGGCTCAGGTGATCTTCTTGTTTCTGTTTCTCGAGTGGCTGGGACTACAGGAATGCACCACCATGCCCAGCTAAGTTTCCCTTCCCTTCCCTTTTCTCCTCTCCCCTTCCTTTCCCTTCCTCCTTTCTTTTCTCTTTTCTTTTCTCTCTCTTTCTTTCCTTTTCTTTCTTCTTTCTTTCTTTCCTTTCTTTTTCTTTCTTTCTTTCTTTCTTTCTTTCTCTCTCTCTCCTCCCTCCCTTCCTTCCTTCTTTCCTTCCTTCCTTTCCTTTTTTCTTTTGCTTTTTTCTTTCCTCTTCTTTCTTCTTTTCTTTCTTTCTTTCTTTCTTTCTTTCTTTCTTTCTTTCTTTCTTTCTTTCTTTCTTTCTTTCTTTCTTTCTCTTTCTCTCTCTCTGTCTCCTCCCTGCCACCCTCCCTTCCTTCCTTCCTTTCCTTTTTTCTTTTGCTTTTTTCTTTCCTCTTCTTTCTTTCTTTTTCTTTTTCTCTTTCTTTTTCTCTCTCTCTTTCCTTCTCTCCCTCCCTCCTTCCCTTCCCCCTCCCTCCCCCTCTCCTCCCCTCCCCTCCCCATCCTGTCCTTGTGTGAACATAGCTCACAGCAGCCTTAACCTTGAGGGCTCAAGTGATCTTCCTGTGTCTCTTCCAAGTAGCTGGGACAGCAGGTGCCTAACCTCCGTCTAATTATTTATTTTTTTCTGCTCATCCTCTGTGGGTTGGACCCACTGCCGAACCAGTCCCAATGAGATGAACTGGGTACCTCAGTTGGAAATGCAGAAATCACCCACCTTCTGCACTGGTCTCACTGGAAGCTGCAGATGGGAACTGTTCCTATTCGGCCATCTTGGCCCCTTCCAATTATTTATTTTTTTGTAGAGACAGGGTCTCATCATGTTTCCCAGGCTGGTTTCAAACTCCTGGGATCAGGGCAGGATCTTCCCACCTCAACCTCCCAAATTGCTGAGATTACAGGTGTGAGCCACCATGCCCAGCCTGCTTTTCTATTTTGTTGTAGAGACAGGCTCTCACTACCTTGGCCAGGCTTGTCTCAAACTCCTGGCCTCAAGCAGTCCTCTTGCCTTGGTCTTCCAAACTGCTGTGATTACAGGCATGAGCCACTGCACCTGGCGGCTTCTTCTTCTTCTTTTTTTTTTTCTTTTGAGTCAATGTCCAGCCTGGAGTGCAATGGTGCGGTATGGCTTACTGCAGCCTCAAACCCCTAAACTCAGATGATCCTCCCACCTCAGCCTCCCAAATAGCTGGGACTACAGGTACATGCCACCATGCCAGCTAACTTTTTTTACATTTTATTTTTTGTAGAGATGGGGGTCTTGCAATTATTGCCCAGGCTGGTCTCAAACTCCTGGCCTCAAGTGATCCTCCCACCTTGGCCTCCAAAAGCATTGGGATTACAGGCATGAGCCACTGTGCTTGGCTCAAAGCTGCTTTAAAAATTTATGTACATATATATATTTTAAGACAGAGACTTGCTCTACTGCACTGGCTGTAGTGCAGTGGCACAATCATGGCTCACTGCAGTCTCAAACTTCTGGGCTAAAGCAATCCTCCCGCTTCAGCCTCCCAAGTAGCTGGGACTACAGTTGCATGCCACCACCCCCAGCTAATTTTTAAATTTTTTGTAGAGACAGGGTCTTGCTATGTTGTCCAGACTGGTCTCAAACTCCTGGGCTCAAGCAATCTGCCTGCTTCAGCATCCGCAAGTGTTGGGGTTACAGATGTAAGCCACTGCGCCCACGAGTTGCTGCTGAATATCCAAATTGTCTAAGCTTCTCCTCTGGGTTTAAAATGGTCTATGGCATGTCTCTACCTATAACCTCTTGCCCCAGGCATCTTTTCTGAGCAATGTCCTGATTTTAGGTAAGAGATACAGCATCTTGCATCAGTTCTTCCAGGATCCCCCAGACAAGAACAGATGCACGTAATAGTTTGCAAATAAGGCCTGCTCTCTTTGGAGGAGGGAGCTGAGAACTGTACTACTGTTGTCTCAATTCCAAAACTGTTGACTGAGTGCAGTGGCTCACGCCTGTAATCCCAACACTTTGGGAGGCCAAGGCAGGAGGATCACTTGAGGCCAGGAGTTTGAGACCAGCCCAGACAACATAGTGAGACCCTATCTCTACAAACAATTTAAAACACTAGCTGGGTGTGGTGGCACATACATGTAATTCTAGCTTCTCAGGAGACGGAGGTTGGAGGATTGCTTGAGCCCAGGAGTTTGAGGCTGCAGTAAGCCATGATTGTACCAATACATTCCAGCCTGGGCTACAGAATGAGACCCTGCTTCAAAAAGAAAAAAAAAAAAAAAAGACCAAGACTGCTGCCATGCTGGGGAAGGGGTGGGGCAAGACTAAGTAAAAACACCACAAAACTTTGCTACTGTTTTGAAGATGGCCTTTTTTAAATTGAGTGTTTGCCTGGTTGCTGTAGGCCTTTGTTTTCTAGAGTGACAACAAAGTTGGTTCTGACAGTTTGGCTTGTTTATTCAGTGTTTCAGTTTGGAAATGAGAGCTTGGAGCTTCCTAGGCCACCATTTTGCTGATGTCATTTCCAATGGCATTTTTTGCATCTCGACTTTTTCCTCGCGTTCAATGCTTCAGGACCACAAGATGGTTGCTACAGCTCTAGACCTTCCATCTGTCTAGTGTGGCGAAAAGTGGGGAAGGCTAGAATATCATGCCAGCTGCATACCTCCCCTTTCATGAGGGAAGAAAAAGCCTTCCCACGGGGATCACAGGGCCCCTGCTAGCTGCAAAGGGGTCTGGGAGAACAGGGAGAGCCTCTCTCACCTGAGCAGTGGACACAATCCTTCACCAAAGAGTGCAGGTTCTGATGGCAAGAAAGACAAAGGGGCCACCGGCAGGCTCGTTACCCCAAAGAGCGAGAAGTAGGGGATGTGATTACTTACATCTGTACCAGTTAGAGTGTTGTACACATATCCAGCCAAGGTACCTGTGGCCCAGGTCAGGTGACTGGCTTAGCAATTTCACCTACCTTCCTCTCAGCCCAGATCCCCAAATTCTTTGAATGCTGTTGGGATGCAGAACAGCAAGTCAGCGAGTGATTTTTTTTAATTTAATTTTTATGAGTACACAGTAGATTATATATTTATGGGGTACATCAGATATTTTGATACAGATATACAATGTGTCATAATCACATCAGGTTGTAAATGGAGTGACCGTCACCTCAAGCATTTGTCACTTCTCTGTTACAAACATTTTAATTACACCCTTTTAGTTATTTTAAAATGTACTGCTGATTGTAATTACCCTGTTATGCTATCAAATACCAGCTCTTATTCATTCTATCTAATTATATTTTTGTACCCACCAACCATCTCCGCTTCCCCCTACCTCCCCACTACTCTTCCCAGCCTCTGGTAACCATCGTTCTACCTACTGTCTATTGCCATGCGTTTGTTTTCATTTTTAGCTCCTATAAATGAGTGAAAACACATGAAGTTTGTCTTTCTGTGCCTGGCTTATTTCAGTGAGTGATCCTCATGTCTCCAGGGCTTGTCTGTACATGACTCACCTGGGGCAGCCTCTGCCAGGTGTCACCCCGGAGCCAGCAACAAAGGGCTGCTCTGCTGATGGCTGCCTCACCCCCGGCTGCTCCCTCAGTGAACTGGCACAGCTCTGGGCCCCTCTCGGGACCTTCTCAGAGTAGCCACATTTCAGACCTGTCTTATGATTCTAACATCAAACTTATAATATCAATCTTACTAATACCAATAGAAAGTGGAAAATGAGGTATTATCTGGCAGTCATTAAATTAGTAAGTTCTAATGACAAACATAATACACGATGAAGGTGAGACTGTGGGAAGATGGTGCCTTTGCGAGTTGCCCATGTCAGTGGTAAGAGTCACGGCCCTCGGGAAATCACCGAGTCTTCATTACCCAAGACTGGCATCAACCCTTCACCAAATTCCAATAACTGAGAATCTGATAATTACCCAATAAATCCTAGATTAGCCTGAGGAAAGAAATGAGCTGTCCACGTAAGAGTCGTAAACATTGGGCCGGGGCTGGTGGCTCATGCCTGTAATCCCAGCACTTTGGGAGGCCGAGGCAGGCGGATCACGAGATCAGGAGATCGAGACCATCCTGGCTAACATGGTCAAACCCTGTCTCTACTAAAAATACAAAAATGAACCAGGCATGGTGGCACATGCCTGTAGTCCCAGCTACTCGGGAGGCTGAGGCAGGAGAATCATTTGAACCCAAGAGGCAGAAGTTGCAGTGAGCCGAGATTGCGCCACTGCACTCCAGCCTGGCAACAGAGTGAGACTCTGTCTCAAAAAAAAAAAAAAAAAAAAAAGAATGGTAAACATTGTACTCTGACTCACAAATCTCATCTAGGGGAACTTGTTTTAAGGAAATAAATTCAAAGAAGGAGGAAACATTGTTAGGTGCAAAGAAGTCAACCAGAAACTTATTTATCAAAAATGAACTATTGGGAACCGGCTCGACAGTCAGCACCAGAAGAGGAGAAGATCCACGCGTTCTGTGGACCATAACCTAGTCACGGACGTGCTGATCAGAGATTGAAGGCAACAGGGAGGATTTATGTGAAAAGTCAAGAGAAAAAGCAGGATGCATGTACATATCATATGGTTACAGCTCGGCACGTGTGTCCAGAGGCACCGGCAGCTGGGTTGGGAGATCGGGTGTGAAATTTTCACTGTCATTCCGAGCCGGATTGTGCCGCTGTTATGCTGCGTGTGTTTCACAAATGACCCCAGGAGACCACATAGCTGGACTCTATCTCTCTGTGGTGCTAGACTGGGCACAGCTGGGCTCCAGGGGCTTAGCCTAGACAGCCCCCATGGGAAGAAACATATGAAAGGCAGGGTGGGCCTTTCATATCTTTGTTCTGACACAGCTCTGTGCATGCCGACAGTGTCTTCTTGTCGCAAGTGCCCACGGCCCTGCCTAAGGCCCTTTGACACTGAAGGTGCCCGCCACGTGCTGGGGCGAAATCTTCCAGGAATGTCCTCTACCAGTGACAGATGAATGTGGTGGAAAGCTGTCTGTGTCCTTATTCCTTGGAGGGGACCTTCTTGGGCACGTCCCCACCAGTTCCCGGAGGTCCCTGGGGGCAGGAGCAAGCTCTTGGATGCATTCTGGTCAGCTTTCTTCCATCCCCTGGCTCATTCCCCATTCACCGACTGCTGTCATCTGGGGTCATCTCCCCAATAAACTCTTTGCACTGGGATCCTTGTTTCAGGATCTGTTTCTGGAGGAACTAGATGACAACACCGGGAACAGAGGACCTAGAGAGGCAGCTTCATGGGTGGTGGGGTGTCCGCCTCTGCCGGCCAGGGACTTGGGAGCAGTGCTGGGAAGGTGCTGGATGGAGCTGTCACTCACAGGGGCAGGTCCTTGGCTGCTGACTGTCTTCCTCTCCACTATGGCTGTCTTGAGAACTTAGGGGTCAGCCTGACCCTGCCTTGGCCCCCTTCCTCTCAGCCTCTGTCTTCTCCTGCATGAGGCTGGGTGGCTCCCCTGTGAATCAGGCAGGGGTCCACAGAACACTAGAGACAGGTCCCTTCCTGCAGCTGTCTCCAGTAGGTGGCCACGCAGGAGATGTTCCCAACAAGCTGCCCTTATCTGCAGCTCAGCTTTGGTAATGGGGGCCCATTACCAAATGGGGGTAAAGGTCATGGCCCATCCTGGTGATAGTGAGAACCCAAGGTAGGCCTTGAAGATTCCTATCAGGAGGGAGCAGAAAGTGTGTACCACACCCCTGGGCCCAGGTGGAGCAGGGCTGCTGCTCAAGGCTCCCAGCCATGCTCTGTCCCTTGCTAGGGGTGACCGGTGGGACAGGCCTGGGCAAGGGACAAGAGGGAGAAGGTCGGGGGGAAGAGGGGATGAAGAGCAAAGTGAGCAAAGGAGAGTCTTCCACTATCTGGGGTCTCTGTCAACTGTCAGGCCCTAGAGTGAGCTGTTCTTTCCCTTTGCTTCCTGGAGGAGGGGACTTTTGTCACTGCGTCACTCCACCCTGCCTGCCCCTCCGTTATCAGGCTGTTAATATTAATTAACAACAGTTGCTAGGGATGACAGTGCAGAGGGTTCCTCTGAGCCCATTGCTGGCCCTGGTCCCAAGAGGGGGTAGGGCAGAGCTGGGGTCTGAGGCTGAGCCAGGGAGGGTGCGGAGGTTCCTCGGCCATGCTGAGCTCCTGAGGCCGGGTCCCAGCCAGTGCCTGGTCCCATCTGTGCCTCCAGGCCCTGGCACCAACTCCAGCAGTGTTAGGGGCTAATAGCGTGGTCTCTCCCCTAGCTGACTCAGCCCTCTGGCTTCGGTCGCTTTGGGAAGTGAGTGGAGACCCTAGCACCTGCGTGATGAGGCTCATCTAAAGCGGGGGCCTGTGGACTGGGGCCAAACAGTGGGAGTGGTGGATCATTAACCAGCAGGGCTCAGCCTCATTGGTCCCTAACCCAGTCAGGCCAGGGTTGTCATCGAAGGGGAGGAGGCTGCCTTAATGTGTGTTCAGCCCTTGGCTGTTCCTGAGGCCTGGCCTGGCTCCCCGCTGACCCCTTCCCAGACCTGGGATGGCGGAGGCCGGCCTGAGGGGCTGGCTGCTGTGGGCCCTGCTCCTGCGCTTGGTGAGTCCCAGGGCTTGGCTCCACCTCCCCTGCGGCCTCCAGTTAGGGACCCTGGGGCCAGCCGTGTACCAGGCGAGCGTTACTGGGTGACAGCAAGGGAGCCTCAGGGCCTGCGGGCTGGGCAAGTCTCTGGACACATGAGGGATGCCAGGCCCCACAGAGGAGGGGTGCAGGTGGAGGGTTTCCAGGTTACAGGCTTGAATGCACACAGGGGTGAAAGAGGCTGCTGGACTGGGGTGCTCCAAGTCCCTCCTGTCACTGGCCCTACTGTGGGGTCCAGGCCTGCAGTTGAGGGAGGTCTGAGGCAAGGAGGTGCTGGGATGGGGTTACCTGGTGAGCATCACCTAGGGAGGACTGAGCACTCTGGAGGCTGGGAGAAGATCCAGCGCTGGCACCTCTTAAGTTCCTCGCTTACTTTGTGTCTGGGAGGTGGGTGACAGCTTTTGGCCTCAAGCAGGTGGTGGTAGTGGTGGTGGGAGTCGGGGGGCCTCCTGAACAGACTCTCCATGAGAGACCCTGGCCTCTGGATGTGGTGTACAGTGTGGGGACTCAGGCTGACTTTGACGTGGGCAGAGCCCGGGACCTTGGAGTCAGCTTTGCCTCCTTACCCATCTCTGGCCTCTCCAGCATGACTTTCCTAAGCTGCAGGTCTATCAGGCCACCCCCAGGAAGAAAGGCCAGTGTTGTCACTCCAACACTGGCTGGCTGGCACATGCCTCCAGGAGGCTTCCTACTCCCCACACTCCCCGCTTCCCTGCCCCTGCTCCATGTCCTTCTTACCCTCACACCCTCCCTGGCTGCCTGCTGCCTGGATGGCACCCAGCTGTGTCAGGGCCCACGCGTGATGTTGCTGTGCTCTGCAGGCCCAGAGTGAGCCTTACACAACCATCCACCAGCCTGGCTACTGCGCCTTCTATGACGAATGTGGGAAGAACCCAGAGCTGTCTGGAAGCCTCATGACACTCTCCAACGTGTCCTGCCTGTCCAACACGCCGGCCCGCAAGATCACAGGTGATCACCTGATCCTATTACAGAAGATCTGCCCCCGCCTCTACACCGGCCCCAACACCCAAGCCTGCTGCTCCGCCAAGCAGCTGGTATCACTGGAAGCGAGTCTGTCGATCACCAAGGCCCTCCTCACCCGCTGCCCAGCCTGCTCTGACAATTTTGTGAACCTGCACTGCCACAACACGTGCAGCCCCAATCAGAGCCTCTTCATCAATGTGACCCGCGTGGCCCAGCTAGGGGCTGGACAACTCCCAGCTGTGGTGGCCTATGAGGCCTTCTACCAGCATAGCTTTGCCGAGCAGAGCTATGACTCCTGCAGCCGTGTGCGCGTCCCTGCAGCTGCCACGCTGGCTGTGGGCACCATGTGTGGCGTGTATGGCTCTGCCCTTTGCAATGCCCAGCGCTGGCTCAACTTCCAGGGAGACACAGGCAATGGTCTGGCCCCACTGGACATCACCTTCCACCTCTTGGAGCCTGGCCAGGCCGTGGGGAGTGGGATTCAGCCTCTGAATGAGGGGGTTGCACGTTGCAATGAGTCCCAAGGTGACGACGTGGCGACCTGCTCCTGCCAAGACTGTGCTGCATCCTGTCCTGCCATAGCCCGCCCCCAGGCCCTCGACTCCACCTTCTACCTGGGCCAGATGCCGGGCAGTCTGGTCCTCATCATCATCCTCTGCTCTGTCTTCGCTGTGGTCACCATCCTGCTTGTGGGATTCCGTGTGGCCCCCGCCAGGGACAAAAGCAAGATGGTGGACCCCAAGAAGGGCACCAGCCTCTCTGACAAGCTCAGCTTCTCCACCCACACCCTCCTTGGCCAGTTCTTCCAGGGCTGGGGCACGTGGGTGGCTTCGTGGCCTCTGACCATCTTGGTGCTATCTGTCATCCCGGTGGTGGCCTTGGCAGCGGGCCTGGTCTTTACAGAACTCACTACGGACCCCGTGGAGCTGTGGTCGGCCCCCAACAGCCAAGCCCGGAGTGAGAAAGCTTTCCATGACCAGCATTTCGGCCCCTTCTTCCGAACCAACCAGGTGATCCTGACGGCTCCTAACCGGTCCAGCTACAGGTATGACTCTCTGCTGCTGGGGCCCAAGAACTTCAGCGGAATCCTGGACCTGGACTTGCTGCTGGAGCTGCTAGAGCTGCAGGAGAGGCTGCGGCACCTCCAGGTATGGTCGCCCGAAGCACAGCGCAACATCTCCCTGCAGGACATCTGCTACGCCCCCCTCAATCCGGACAATACCAGTCTCTACGACTGCTGCATCAACAGCCTCCTGCAGTATTTCCAGAACAACCGCACGCTCCTGCTGCTCACAGCCAACCAGACACTGATGGGGCAGACCTCCCAAGTCGACTGGAAGGACCATTTTCTGTACTGTGCCAAGTGAGTCCATGGTGGGGCCCAAGCGAGGAGTGGGCTGGGGCTGGGGCTGGGCTGCCATGGCCTCCTGGGAACCTGGCCGGGCATACAGCTGGTCCTGAAGGACCAGAGGTAGCTATTCCTACGGCTCTGGCCTGGGGCCGCCCAGATGATTATCTCTGCCCCTCGTCCGGCCGCCATTTCCTTTGGTCAGAGTTCCTGCTCATGGCTGCAGGTTTGTGCGTGGCCATCGCTGGCCCTTCAACCCCGAGTCCACTCTGTCTTTCTGCAGATTTCTTGACATGTGGGAGCTCCCTGCCACACTCTTGCTTTAAGTCTGACAGAGGAGCCCGATTGGCAGAGTACATATTTATATTTGCTATGTTTTGCTTCTTGTTTCTGTGCCAGGGGCCGTAGGGCCATCAGTAACCCATGAGGTACCATGGTATGCATTGGAAAAGGTGCCCTCAGGCCAGAGGTCGTGGCTGGTCTCAGGCACCTGGGCCGGGTGTCCTGGGGTAGGCCACAGCCACACACACTTCTATTGATTGGGGTTCGGTCTTTGGTTCTGTCCACTCTGGTGTGCTGCCAACAAGATGCCAACAACGCTGCTGGGCCAAGGGGGCCAAGAGCCAAGGGCAGCAGCAGGGCCTTGGCAGTGGAGGCTCCTTGAGGTTGGAGTAGAGCAGAGGTCCTCAAGATGAACGTTTAGTACTCCATACTCCAGAGCAAATGAGAGTTAAAAGGGGCAAATAGCATCTTAGTGTTATTATGAAAACAGTTCTGACCTTACAGACCCTGGAAAGGGTCTCCAGGACGCCTAAGGGCCCCAGGCCACACTTTGAGAACCACTGGATTGGAAGAGAGTGCCGACACTTTCTGTCCCCTGCTACCTGGCTCTGCATCCCTCAGCTGGGCCCCAAGTTTGGGCTGCTTCCCAGAGTGTCTGTGCCAGGAACCCAAGGGCTCTCTCTTGGAAATAGCAGGAACGAGAGGAGCCATTGTTTGCTCTGGGGAGGCATCATGGTCTGACCTCAGACTCATGTCTGACGGTAGCTTTATAGTCCATTATAGGGTATTATCTTTATTTTGACTTCGGATGCTCACAACAACTCTCGGGTGGTCCAATTATCTCCATTTTACAGACAGGAAAACTGAGGTTCAGAGGGGTGTGGTAAGCTGCTCAAGGTCACACAGCAACCAGCACTCGCTTGCTGAGATCTGAGAGAGGGGGGTAGAGAGCTTTGCTCAGGTGTCCCACTGCATCTTCGCAATGACGGGCTTTGCAGAAAGGGCTAAGCTGAAGGACCTACAGACTTGCCTGAGGGCACCAGTCTAGTAAACTGTGAAAACATTGGCTGCTGGGCTCCAGGGTTCCAAATCTAACCTCAATACCTAAAGGGTTTCGGGGGCCCTAGGCAGGAGAAGGAGGCTGAGAGGGCAACGTTTGAGACAGCCCATGCCAGACCCCATGGCTCAAATCCCAGCTCTTCCACCCTCACGGGACTTCAGGTGTGACGCTCAATCCAGAGTCAGATAATGTCAGAGCCAGGAAGGTCAGGCCAGTGTGTGGAGACATGAGAGGCTCAGAGGGACAGGTCCCGGAGCAGCCCCTGCCTGCCACAGAGAAGGCACTCAGGGCAGCTCCAACTCACTCCGTGGGTGGGGGCCTGCAGGAGATCTTGCTGGATGGGAGCCATTTAGGACCCACTCGGCTGGGTCCTAAATAGCTAAATGGCCTAAATGCAGATAGCTGGGCTATCTGCAGCCAGTGTCCCCCACCCCACCAGCTCACCCTCCATAGTGCTGTGGGTCTGGGGTGGGAGGGGAAGGGAGGGGCCATAGGGACTGGGCAGGGCCAGGAAAGGCCCTTTCCCTTTGCGGTCATCTCCCTCTAGTGCCCCGCTCACCTTCAAGGATGGCACAGCCCTGGCCCTGAGCTGCATGGCTGACTACGGGGCCCCTGTCTTCCCCTTCCTTGCCATTGGGGGGTACAAAGGTAAGCTAAGTGGGCCCTGAGAGGAAGCCAAGGAAGATGCAGTATTGGGGCAGGAACCATAGACGGGAGGGTGGGAGTGGTGCTGGGGATTCTCGCGGCCTGGGGGTAGCCTGGCTTCTGGAAGCTGTAGGCCAACCCTGTCCTGTTTCCTCTCTCTGCCATCTCCTTTATCTTCTAGTAGTGTTACTCAGGCACTGTGGTTTTTCTGCCTGGGCCCAAAGGTCTCGCCTTTGGCTGAGAGAAGTGGGGTGTAGGAGGTAAGGCCATGTATCAGATGAGGAAGGAGTGGGGGAGAAGGAGCAAGGGGTGATGGGAGGGGTGCAGCTAGATAGGGGGAGGGAATATAGGGGTGCAGCTGGAGGGGGAGGGAGGCACGGGTGCAGCAGGAAGGGTCTGAGTATTTCTTATCCCAGGAAAGGACTATTCTGAGGCAGAGGCCCTGATCATGACGTTCTCCCTCAACAATTACCCTGCCGGGGACCCCCGTCTGGCCCAGGCCAAGCTGTGGGAGGAGGCCTTCTTAGAGGAAATGCGAGCCTTCCAGCGTCGGATGGCTGGCATGTTCCAGGTCACGTTCATGGCTGAGGTAGGGGCTGCAGGGTCCCTGGCTCTGGGGGTGCAACCCAGGTGGTCTTGGGTCAGTTCCTGTGTCCCCATCCTGGCCCTGGCCCTTCCTAAGTGACCCTGGGCAGTGGCTGCCTGCTCAGAACGGGGTGATTGTGATGGCTGTTCTTATAGCCTCACCTGCGATTATAGGGGGCCATCAGGCCCTATGACACAACACACAATTAGTGCCCAGTGACCGAGCTATTGAGAGCTGGCCTGGCTGAAGCAGGCACGGTCAGTGGGGGCTGGTCGGGTGTGTGTCCACAGCGCTCTCTGGAAGACGAGATCAATCGCACCACAGCTGAAGACCTGCCCATCTTTGCCACCAGCTACATTGTCATATTCCTGTACATCTCTCTGGCCCTGGGCAGCTATTCCAGCTGGAGCCGAGTGATGGTGAGAAGCGGGAGGGACACAGCTAAGTGGGCTAGCCCAGGACCCCAGGCATCTTCAGTAGGCCTTCTACAACTTTCCTAACCACAGCACCTCAGAACAGCAAAGTGGACACACCCAAGTGGCTGCCCCAAAGGGTAATACCTCTTGCAAGTGTTCTGTGCTGAAAGGTCAAGAGCAATTTTCTTTTCTTTTCCTTTCTTTTTCTTCTCTTTTCTTTGCTTTTCTTTTCTCTTCTCTTTTCCCTCCTACCCTCTCTTTCTCTTTCTTTTCTTTCTCTCTCTGTTTCTCTTTTTCTCTCTTTCTTTCTTTTGAGACAGGGTCTTGCTCTGTTGCCCAGGCTGGAGTGCAGTGGCATGATCTTAGCTCACTGCAACCTCAAAACTCCTGGGCACAAGTGATCCTCCTGCTTCAGCCTCCCAAGTAGTTGGGACTATAGGCACTTGCCATTGTGCCCAGCTATTTTTTTTTTTTTTTTGAGACAGAGCTTTGCTCTTGTTGCCCAGGCTGCAGTGTAACGGCGCGATCTCGGCTCACTGCAACCTCCGCCTCCTGGGTTCAACAATTGTCCTGCCTCAGCCTCCCGAGTAGCTGGCATTACAGGCATGTGTCACCACGCCTGGCTAATTTTGTGTTTTTAGTAGAGATGGGGTTTCTCCATGTTGGTCAGACTGGTCTTGAACTCCTGGCCTCAGGTGATCCGCCCACCCAAAGTGCTGGGATTACATGCGTGAGCTACCACGTCCGGCCATTTTTTTTGTTTTGTAGTTTTTGTAGAGATGGGGTCTCGCTTTTTGCCTAGGCTGGTCTCAAACTCCTGGGCTCAAGTGATTCTTCCTCATCAGCCTCCCAAAATGTTGAGATTACAGGTGTGAGCCAGCACACCTGGCCTAAGAGCAGTTTTCTGTCTGTTACATGCCATACCCTCACTTGCCCAAATGCAAAGCTAAGACTTAAAATCTCTTGCAATGCATGCTCAAGGAAGATGGAGTAGGCTCACCCATGCCTTTGGGTTTCCTGGACCTCCCCTTGGGAGGATGGCTCTGCAGAGGGGCTTTAATGTGAGATGTGAGCTCCTCACCACTGGGGGCAGTATCGGGCACCTGCAGGCACTGAGGGTGCCTGCCGGCTACTTTGTCTGGCCTAGCTGAGGCTGGTGGGCATACTGGGTAGGTGCTAAGTGGCTAGGGGGCTGAGCCTGTTTGCATTGCAGGTGGACTCCAAGGCCACGCTGGGCCTCGGCGGGGTGGCCGTGGTCCTGGGAGCAGTCATGGCTGCCATGGGCTTCTTCTCCTACTTGGGTATCCGCTCCTCCCTGGTCATCCTGCAAGTGGTTCCTTTCCTGGTGCTGTCCGTGGGGGCTGATAACATCTTCATCTTTGTTCTCGAGTACCAGGTAAGAAGGGAGGAGCTCTCCACACCCCCAACTGCCCACTCTTCTCCCAACCTCACCTCCTGGCCTGATGGGACTCTGGCGTGAATTTGCTGGGTCTCCCTGCAGACTCTTTCTGTTCATCGACACGCATGTTTACAATATCTGTAGAAACTAGAGTGTGTTGACATAAATGACTTCATCCTGCCTCTACCATCTGGAATTAGCTTTCTGTTAACCCCTTGCAATGTCTAGTAAAACCTCTCCATGTTAGTACATTACAGCCTCCTCCTGTCTTTATGCTGCTAGGTAGCATTCCATGGTAAGGATAAATCAGAGTCGATTTCACCTCTCCCTGTTGGTGAACAATTAGGGTTCCAACAGTGCTTGGAACAGGGATGCTATAGACATCTCAAATGCACCAACCATTTCTCCCAGCCAGACCCTGGAAGAAGAATATTGGCCATGGAGAGTATGAGAGTCTCTGATGATTCAGGAAGGTCAGAGCAGCTCCTCAGGCCTGGCTGCAGCTCTGGGCACTTGCCAACTCCCTGCTGGCCTTTGAGGGGCGGTGCCCTTGGAGGGCCCTGGCTCTTATCCCTGCTGTTCCCACACAGAGGCTGCCCCGGAGGCCTGGGGAGCCACGAGAGGTCCACATTGGGCGAGCCCTAGGCAGGGTGGCTCCCAGCATGCTGTTGTGCAGCCTCTCTGAGGCCATCTGCTTCTTCCTAGGTGAGCCTGGGTGAGACCTCCCCACTCGGCATTAGGCTTGCTGGGTTAGTGCCGGGGCCTAGGAGTTCCCAGAGGGCAGTGGGTATAGTGCAGATTCCCTTCCCCCTGCACCCTGTCAATGTCGGCTACCACTCTGCCCTTGAAGCCAGGGTGCCCTGACAGCCCTCTGCTCCCTCACAGGGGCCCTGACCCCCATGCCAGCTGTGCGGACCTTTGCCCTGACCTCTGGCCTTGCAGTGATCCTTGACTTCCTCCTGCAGATGTCAGCCTTTGTGGCCCTGCTCTCCCTGGACAGCAAGAGGCAGGAGGTAGGGGCAGCTGGGCCAGTACTGAGGGACCTGCCCCTGGGTTCCCACCATGGCAGGGAGATGGGGTGGCTTTACCACCACAGAGATGGCCCAGAGAATGGGGTGGGGGACAGGGGCATTGTGCCAGGAGAGTAATATTTAGGCCATGTATTCTCCAATTTCCTACAGAAAAATAAATTTGTTTTGACAATTTTTTAAATATAATCAAACCTCCTAAAGTGCATGATGTTGAGAAATAAAATACAGTTGACCCTTGAACAATGTGGAGATTAGGGCACCGACTGTCTAAGCAGTTGAAAATCTGCATGTAACTTTTTTTTTTTTTGAGACGGAGTTTCACTCTGTCACCCAGGCTGGAGTGCAATGGCGTGATATCAGCTCACCACAACCTCTGCCTCCCGGGTTCAAGCGATTCTCCTGCCTCAGCCTCCCAATTACTGGGATTACAGGCCCCCTCCTCCTGCACGCCTGGCTAATTTTTGTGTTTTTAATAGAGATGGGGTTTCACCATGTTGGTCAGGTTGGTCTCGAACTCCTGACCTCAGGTGATCTGCCCACCTTGGCCTCCCAAAGTGCTGGCGTGAGCCACCATGCCTGGTCTGCATGTAACATTTGACCCTTCTAAACTTAATTCCTACTAGCCTACTATTGACTGGAAGCCTTAATGATAACATAAATAGTCGATAACACATCTTTTGAATGTTATATGTATTATAAACTGTATTCTTACAATAAAGGAAGCAAGAAAAAAGAAAATGTTAGTAAGAAAATCATAAGGAAGAGAAAATCTATTTACTATTCACGAAGTGAAAGTGGATCATCATGAGGGTCTTCATCCTCGTCGTCTTCAGGTTGAGTAGGCTGAGGAAGAGGAGGAAGAGGAGGGCTTGATCTTGCTGTTTCAGGGGCGGCAGAGGTGGAAGAGAATCCAGGGATAAGTGAGCCCAGGCAGTTCAAACTCGTGTTGTTCAAGGGTCAGCTGTATAAATGAGAGGTCGACAGGAGTTGATCTGTTGGTTCCCATGATGGTGTAAAATTTAAAGATATTTTATCAAGATTAAAATAAAAGCAAAGAAAACAGCACACTGGTATGTCTCCATGAGGGCACTGGCACGGGCCACCCACAGAAGGTGACACTCCCTGGGGGCAAGAAGGTGGTCCCTGGGGCCTTGTCTGCTCTGGGACTACCTTGAGGGGGTGCCTCCCACTCCAGGCCTCCCGGTTGGACGTCTGCTGCTGTGTCAAGCCCCAGGAGCTGCCCCCGCCTGGCCAGGGAGAGGGGCTCCTGCTTGGCTTCTTCCAAAAGGCTTATGCCCCCTTCCTGCTGCACTGGATCACTCGAGGTGTTGTGGTGAGTGGGCCTCGAACCACACGAGAGCAGGGGCACTAGGTGGGGACCTCGCCTCAGGGAGAGCAGGGTTGGAGGTGGGGAGGTTGCCTAGGCCCAAATGCTGATACTTGGGGCTGGCACGCAAGTCTGCTCAACTCCAGAATGTTGCCCATGACACCCTGACTGACTTAAATTTGTGGGGAGATGGGGGACGGCTGTTGGGCAGGGTGGTCTCATGCAGCAGGTCCCTTCTCAGCTGCTGCTGTTTCTCGCCCTGTTCGGAGTGAGCCTCTACTCCATGTGCCACATCAGCGTGGGACTGGACCAGGAGCTGGCCCTGCCCAAGGTGAGCCCAGGCCCTTCTCAACCCTTAGGCCCCTGGGATTTGGGGAGGGGCAGTAGCAACCAGCAGGGATGGGTTGGGGGGTCCTCCGGCCAGGGGCTTGGCCAGAGGTGCAGAATTGTTCATTACTCTGGAGGCACCTCCAGCAGTCCTGGGGAGTGAAGCCACATTCGTGTATGAACAGCACAACAGCCAGGTGCCAGCCCCAGGCCACAGTAAGAGAGATGGCCCAGGCATCGGAGGGCTGTCCATGTGAGATGGCAGGCCACAAAGAATGACTGCCACTTTGCTGAGTGCCTGCCCAGTGTCCAGCCCTGCGAATTCTCTGGGCCTGAAGCCCGGGGAGGGCAGGGGTTCAGGGGAAGGAAAGCCCCGTGGTTGGAGGGGACCTCCAAGGTCACATAGGATTTGCAGAGGAAAGTGATGACAGACTCGCCAGTGGGAGGCTAGGGTGAGCCCAGGTGTGTTTCCTGGGCGTGGCAGCGACTGTGGGGGTGGGATGAGCTGGAGGCCAAGGGCATGGTCGGGGAGAGTGCTGATTGCCCAGCCTGGACCAGTAAGTGTGCGGGCCAACAGGCACAATGCATCAGCCAAGGCTGGGGACCCGGCTCCTCTGGATATGCATCAGCGGTGGCCATGGGCTGGTGGCCAAGAGGAAGCAGCCACAGACAACAAAGTCTGAGACACATGGTCAGACTGCATGAGCAAGCTCTAGGGAGAGGGAAGGCATCGAGGGGACTCGATGTCTAGGTCCCATCTGGGGAACTGTGATGGAGGTTTGGGCAAGGGTCTGGGTACTGGCAGGAGCCCCAGTGGAAGCAGCCAGGCCTGAGCCCACAACAGGGCTGAGTGGGGTGCGGCTGGGGTAGGTGTGTTAGGCAGTACTGGCCTGGGGTCCTGGAAGCCAGGTGAGGGAGGACAAGAGCAGATGGCTCAGGACTGTACTTTGGGTGACTTTATGGAGGGAGAGCAGGTGAGGAGTCACAGAATGAACCTGCCACCTGCAGAAGCCCTGGGGGCTATGTCACAGGGCTGAGGTGAAGAGGGTCTCTAGTGCCCCAAGAGCAAGAAGGAAGGATGTGATGGGCTGCCAGACCCTGCTGAGGTTTTATGTTGATGTCTTTTGTTTATTTTTCTGTTGGGGACATTTGTTTCTTACTGCTTTTAAAAATTTTATCATTTTTTTTCCGTTTTTTATTGTGGTAAAATACACATAATAGAAAATTACCATTATAACCATTTTTAAGTGTACAGTTCAGTGATATTAAGTACACTCATACTATTCAACTATCACCACCATCCATCTCCAAAACTCTTTCCTTTTTGCAAAATTGAAACTTTACCCAACAAACAGTGACTCCCCATTCTCCCCTCCCCTCAGCCCCTGACACAACCACCTTTTATTTATTTATTTATTTTGAAACAGAGTTTCACTCTTGTTGCCCAGGCTGGAGTGCAATGGTGTGATCTCGGCTCACCGCAATCTCCGCCTCCCGGGTTCAAGTGATTCTCCTGCCTCAGCCTCCCAAGTAACTGGGATTACAGGTGGCCGCCACCACGCCCAGCTAATTTTTGTATTTTTAGTAGAGACAGGGTTTCACCATGTTGGCCTGGCTGGTCTTGAACTTCTGACCTCAGGTGATCCACCAGCCCTGGCCTCCCAAAGTGCTGGGATTACAGGTGTGAGCCACCGCACCTGGCCTCTACTTTTTCTTTTTTTTTTTGAGATGGAGTCTTGCTCTGTCACCCAGGCTGGAGTGCAATGGTGCAGACTCGGCTTACTGCAGCCTCCACCTCCCAGGTTCAAGCGATTCTCCTGACTCAACCTCCTGAGTAGCTGGGACTACAGCCGTGTGCCACCACTCCCAGCTAATTTTTGTACTTTTAGTAGAGACAGGGTTTCGCCATGTTGGCCAGGCTGGTCTCGAACTCTGGACCTTGTGATCTGCCTGCTTTGCCCTCCCAAAGTGCTGGGATTACAGGCATGAACCACTGTGCCCGGCCCATTTACTTTCTGTTCTATGAGTTTGACCACTCTAGGCACCTCAGGTAAGTGAACTCATACAATATTTATTTTTTTGGCTGGGAGTGGTGGCTCACTCCTGTAATCCCAGCACTTTGGGAGGCTGAGGCAGGCAGATCACCTGAGGTCAGGAGTTTGAGACCAGCTTGACCAACATGGAGAAACCCCATCTCTACTAAAAATACAAAGTTAACTGGGCATGGTGGCACATGCCTGTAATCCCAGCTACTCAGGAGGCTGAGGCAGGAGAATCACTTGAACCTGGGAGGCAGAGGTTGTGGTAAACTGAGATCACGCCATTGCACTCCAGCCTGGGTAACAGAGTGAGGATTCGTCTCAAAAAAAAAAAAAAAGTATATTTTGTCTGATCTTAGTATAGCTACCCCTATTCTCTTTTGGTTACTATTTACATGGAATATCTTTTTTCTGTTCTTCCACTTTCAATCTATTTGTGTTTTTGGACCTAAGGTGAGTCTCTTGGAGACAGCATATAGTTAGATCACGTTTTGCTGTTTTTTAGCAGATGGGGGCTGCCTAGGGCACAGTATGCTGACTCTCACAATCTCGATCGTGTGTGTGTGTGTGTGTGTGTGTGTGTGTGTGTGTGTGTGTGTGTGTGTGTGTTTAATTCATTCTACCACTCTTTTTTTTCTTTTTTTTTTTTGAGATGGAGCCTCAGTCTGTCACCCAGGCTGGAGTGCAGTGGAGCGATCTCAGCTCACTGCAACTTACACCTCCCGGGTTCAAGCAATTCTCCTGCCTCAGCCTCCTGAGTAGCTGGGATTATAGGTGCATGCCACCATGCCTGGCTAATTTTTTTGTATTTTTTGTAGAGACAGGGTTTCACCATGTTGGCCAGGCTGGCCTCAAACTCCTGACTTTGAGTAATCCACCCACCTCGGCTTCCCAAAGTGCTGGGATTACAGGCGTGAGCCACCATGCCTGGTCCTACTACTCTCTTTTGATTGGAGAGTTTAATCCATTTACATTTACAGTAATTATTGATAAGGAGGGATTTACTTCTGTCATTTTGCTATTTGTTTTCTATATGCCTTGTAGATTTTTTGTTTCTCATTTCCTGCATTACTGACTTATTTTGTGCTTAGTTGATTGCTACTAGTGAAATTTTACATTTTCCTTCTCATTTTCTTTTGTGCATAGTCTACAGCTAATTTTATTTGTGATTACCATGGGGATTATCTTAAATGTGCTGAAGTTATAACACTCTAAATTTATGCCAACTTTGTTTCCATAGCATACAAAAACTCTGCCCTATAACAACTCCATCTTACCTCCCTTTCAGTTATTGATGTCACAAAATTATATCTTGAGCTAGCCATGGTGGCTTATGCCTGTAATCCCAATGCTTTGAGAGGTGGAGGCAAGAGGATTGCTTGAGGCCAGGAATTTGAGGCCAGCCTAGCCAACACAGTGAGATCCCATCTCTAGAAAAAATTTAAAATTTAGCTGGGCAAGATGGCACGTGCCTGTAGTCCCAGCTATGTGGGAGGCTTGCTTGAGTCCAGGAATTCAAGTATGCAGTCAGCTATGATCATGCCACTGTACTCCAGCCTGAGCAACAGAGAGACACCTTGTCTCAAAAAATTTTATTTTTCAGCTGGGTGTAGTGGCTCATGGCTGCAATCCCAGCACTTTGTGAGGTGGTTGGATCACTTGAGGCCAGGAGGTCAAGATTAGCCTGGCCAACATGACAAAACCCCATCTCTACTAAAAATACAAAAATTAGCCAGGCATGGTGGCACACAACTGTAAACCTAGCTACTTGGGAGGCTGAGACATGAGAATTGCTTGAATCTAGGAGGTAGAGGTTGCAGTGAGCTGGGATCGTACCACTGTACTCCAGCTTGGGCGACAGAGCGAGACTATGTCTCAAAAACTTTTGTATTTTTATGCATTATGTATCCAAAATCATAGGCTAATGATTTTTTTTGCATGAGTCTCTTAAATCATGTACAAAAAGGTGGAGTTATAAATCATAACATTTATAACTGCCCATTTATTTACCTTTGCCAGGGATTTATTTATTTATTTAAAGAGGCAGAGTCTTGCTCTGTTGCCCAGGCTGAGATGCAGTGGTGTGATCATAGCTCACTATAACCTCAAACTCCTGGCCTCAAAAGATCCTCTCACCTCAGCCACCTGAAGTACTGGGATTACAGGTGTAAGCCACTATGCCTAGCCAAGGGATTTTTATTTCTTCATACATCTTTGAGTTACTGCTGATGTCTTTTTTTTTTTTTTTTTTTTTTTTTGAGAAGTTGTTTTGCTCTTGTTGCCCACCCAGGCTGGAGTGCAGTGGCATGATCTCAGCTCACCGCAACCTCTGCCTCCCGAGTTCAAGCGATTCTCCTGCCTCAGCCCCCCGAGTACTGGGATTACAGGCATGTGCCACCACGCCAGGCTAATTTTGTATTTTTAGTAGAGATGGGGTTTCTCCATGTTGGTCAGGCTGGTCTTGAACTCCCAACCTCAGGTGATCTGCCCGCCTTGGCCTCCCAAAGTGCTGGGATTACAGGCATGAGCCACCATGCCTGGCCTGTCTAATGTCTTTTTATTTCAACCTACAGGATTCCTTTTAGCATTTCTTTCAGGGAAGGTCTAGTGATAACGAATTCCTTCAGCTTTTGTTTATCTGAGAATGTCTTAATTTCACCCTCATTTTAATTTTTTAAAATTTTTTATTTATTTTGAGATGGAGTTTCACTCTTGTCGCCCAGGCTGGAGTACAATGGTGTGATCTCAGCTCACTGCAACCTCTGCCTCCTGGGTTCAAGTGATTCTCCTGCCTCAGCCTCCTGAGTAGCTGAGATTACAGGTGCATGCCACCATGCCAGGCTAATTTTTGTATTTTTAATAGAGACGGGGTTTTACCATGTTGGCCAGGCTGGTCATGAACTCCTGACCTCAGGTGATCCACCCACCTTGGCCTCCCAAAGTGCTAGGATTACAGGTGTGAGCCACTGTGCCCGGCCCATTTTTATTTTTTAATTAAAACAATTTTTTTGAGATGGGGGTCTCACTGTGTTACTCAGGCTGGTCTCGAACTTTTGGGCTCAGGTGATCCTCGTGTCTCAGCCTCCCAAAGTATTGGGATTATAGGACGAATCACCTCATCTGGCATCTCCCTCATTTTTATTTTTAATTTTTAGTTTTTTTTTTTTTTTTTTGAGATGGAGTCTCACTGTCACCCAGATTGGAGTGCGGTGGTGTGATCTCGGCTCACTGCAACCTCCACCTCCCAGGTTCAAGAGATTCTACTACCTCAGCCTCCAAAGTAGCTGGGATTACAGGTGCATGCCTCCACGCCTGGCTAATTTTTGTATTTTTAGCAGAGATGGGGTCTCACCATGTTAGTCAAGCTGGTCTCAAACTCCTGGCCTCAAATAATCTGTCTGCCTCGGCCTCCCAAAGTGCTGGGATTACAGGCATGAGCCACCATGCCTGGCCTTCTCCCTCATTTTTAAGTGACAGTTTTGCTGGAATTAGGATTCTTCATTGACAATTGTTTTTTCTTCAGCACTTGTTTTTTGTTGTTGTTGTTTGTTTTTGAGACAGAGTCTCACTCTGTCATCCAGGCTGGAGTGCAGTGGCATGATCTCAGCTCACTGCAACCTCTGCTTCTCAGGTTCAAGTGATTCTCCTGCTTCATCCTCCTGAGTAGCTGGGATTACAGGTTTGTGCCACCATGCCTGGCTAATTTTTGTATTTTCAGTAGAGATGGGGTTTTGCCATGTTGGCCAGGCTGGTCTCAAACTCCTGACCTCAGGTGATCCACCTGCCTCAGCCTCCTGAAGTGCTGGGATTACAGGCATGAGCCATCATGCCCAGCATTCTTCAGCACTTTCAATCTACAAACCCACTGCCATCTGGGCTTCAAGGTTTCTGATGAGAAATATGCTGATAATCTTTTTGAGGATCTTTTGTATATGCCAAGTCACTTCTTTTTTTTCAATATTTTCTATTTTTTAAAAAACTTATTTTATTTTACTTTTTATTTTTATTTTTTAGAGGCAGGGTCTTGCTATGTTGCCTAGAATGGACTTGAAACCCTGGGCTCAAGCAATCCTCCCACCTCAGCCTCTTGAGTAGCTGGGACTACAGGTATATGCCACCATGCCTGGCTTGTCTTTGGTTTTTGACAGCTAAATTATAATATCCAGCTGGGTGCAGTGGCTTATGCCTGTAATCCCAGCACTTTGGGAGGCCAAGGTGGGTGGATCACAAGGTCAAGAGATCAAGACCATCCTGGCCAACATGGTGAAACCCCATCTCTACTAAAAATACAAAAATTAGCTGGGCATGGTTGTGCGCACTTGTAGTCCAAGATACTTGGGAGGCTGAGGCAGGAGAATCACTTGAACCCAGGAGGCAGAGGTTGCAGTGAGCCGAGATTGTGCCACTGCACTCCAGCCTGGCAACAGAGCAAGACTCCATCTCAAAAAAAAAAAATTATAATATCCGTTGGTGTGGGTTTCTTTAGTTTATCCTATTGGAGTTTATTGAGTTTCTTGAATGTTTATATTCATGTCTTTCATCAAATTTGGGGAGTTCTGGCCATAATTTTTTCAAATAATCTCACTTCCCCTTTCTCTTTTCTTCTGGAATTCTTACAATTCATATTTTGGTCTATTTGATGATGATGATGTCTGACAGGTCCCTTAGGCTCTGCTCTGTTCACTTTCGTTATTTTTTTTCCTTTCTCTTCTTCAGACTCAGTAATTTCAATGGTCTTATCTTCAGTTTGCTAATTCTTTCTTCTGACTGCTTTTGAATCCCTCTAGTGAATTTTTCATTTAAGTTACTGTACTTTTTAGCTCCAGAGTTTTTTTGCTCTTTTTTATGTTTCCTCCTCATTGATATTTCCATTTTGTTCATAAATTTTTCCTTGACTTTGTTTTCTTTTAGCTCTTTGAGCAACTTTAAGGCAATTGTTTTATTCATTTATTTTATTATTTATTTATTTATTTTTTGAGACAGAGTCTTGCTCTATCACCCAGGCTGGAGTGCAATGGTGTGATCTCGGGTCACTGCAACCTCTGCCTCCTGGGGTTAAGCCTCAGCCTCCCAAGTAGCTGGGATTACAGGTGCCTGCCACCATGCTTGGCTAATTTTTGTATTTTTAGTAGAGACAGGGTTTCACCATATTAGCCAGGCTGGTCTCGAACTCCTGGCCTCATGTGATCTGCCTGCCTTGGCCTTCTGATGTTGTGGGATTACAGGCATCAGCCACTGTGCCTGGCTGAGACAATTGTTTTGAAGTCTTTGTCTAGTAAGTCTGCTGTCTGGTCTTACCCAGGAACAGTTTCTGTTGGTTAATATTTTCCCTTTGAATGGGCCATGTTTTTCTTTTTCTTGGTGTGTTTTTGGTTGAAAAATGGACATTTGATTCTTATAATGTGGTAGCTCTGGAGATCAGATTCTCCTTCTTTCCCAGGGCTTGCTTTATTTTATTTATTGCTGTTGGTGTTTCTGTGCTGGGGATCAGCCAAAGGCACAGAGTTAATGTCTTCTCAGGTATTTTTGAGACTGCATTTTTCTCTGAGCATTTATGCAGTGTGGTGACTGTCTAAATATCCCTATATTTATGGTTGCTTTTGAATGTCCTTGTCCTTATATGTATGGTTCCCAAAAGGAGAAAAAGGGAAAAATGAAGGTGTCGGGGATAGGTGCTTACTCTTTAAATCTCCTGGAAGTCACTTTAGTAAGATGTGGAGGTGGTTGCAACAACGGTGGTGGGAGTTGCATTAGTGGCTGCCTGCCTGTGTATCTGTACCACCAATATCAGAAGTAATGATCAATTATCAGAACTCAGATCCTTGATATTTGAACTTATTTATTTATTTATTAGAGACAGGGTCTGGCTCTCTTGCTGAGGCTGAAGTGCAGTGGTGCAATCATAGGTCACTGCAGCAGCAAACTTCCAGGCTCAAATGATTCTCCTATTTCAGCCTCCTGAGTAGCTAGGACTACAGGCATGTGCCACCACACCCAGCTAACTTTTGTATTTTTTTTTGTAGAGACAGGGTGTCGCTATGTGCCCAGATCGGTCTCCCACTCTTGGGCTCAAGTGACCCTCCTGCTTGCCCTCCCAAAGTTCTGAAATTACAAGTGTAAGCCATCATGCCCAGCTGATATTTGGTGGATGGTGTCCTTGCCTACCTGGCTCCTGCAAGCTGTGTACAAGCTGCTTCTGGAAAGCATACACAGCTGCATGCCTTGAGGCTGGGAGTGGCAAATGGGTAGCTGCTACTGTACTAAAGCTGAGATTGCCTGAAATTAACCACAATTTACTGTCCAAGCCTTATCCTGGAAGCTTCCAGCCCTCAATAGACTCCAGAGTTCCAAAATCGTTACACTAGGGCCGGTGTGGTGGCTCATGCCTGTAATCCCAGCCATTTGGGAGGCCGAGACGGGTGGATCACTTGAGGTCAGGAGTTTGAGACAAGCCTGGCCAACATGGTGAAACCCCATCTCTTTTAAAAATACAAAAATCAGCTGGGAGCGGTGGCACATGCCTGTAATCCTAGCTACTCAGGAGGCTGAGGCACAAGAATCGCTTGAACCCAGGAGGCGGAGGTTGCAGTGAGCAGAGATCGCGCCACTGCACTCCAGCCCAGAAGACTCCATCCATCTCAAAACAAAACAAAACAAAACAAAAACAAAATAGTTATACCAGACAAATTGTTGTCTAGCTGGGGAGAGGGATTCCTGACACTTCCTACTGTGCCATTTTCCCTAATGTCACTCTGAGCCTTTATGTTATAGAAGGGAGCAGACCATGAGGATGCCTGGTGCATGGCTTTGAGGGTGTGCACACTGACATTTATATGTGCACACAAATATGGGCCGTTGTCACAGGCCAGCTTGTTAGACGGTGGCTGTGCCATATTGGGGGTGATAGGAAGGGGTACAATTATGTGTCTGTGCATGTTTGTGTGTGTCAGTGTGTGTTCATGTGAGGTGATAGGTGTTGCTCTGTGTTTGTACCTGCATAAGTGTACTTCTGTTTGCACCTGTGATTATACCTATTCTGTGAACCTTGGAGTATGTTCATCTGGGGGTACACCTAAAACTGTGTTCCGGTGTAACTGTACAGTGCACATACATCTTGAGGGTACCCCTGAGTGTGTGTGTCTGTGCATGTCCTTCTCTATATGTACCTTGTGTGTGACCTCTGAGCATGTACATCTCTGTGTATATTTTGTGTACTTGTGTGCATGTACCTCTGTGTACCTCTAAGCATGTATCTACGTGTATATCTCTGAGTGTCCCACTGAGCACATCCCTTTGAGTGTGTAACTGCATGTGTGTCTCTGAACATGTTCCTCTGTGTGTTCCTCTGATCATGGACCTCTGAACATGTGCCTTTTAGCATGTACCTCTGTGTGTACCTTCGAGAGTGTGAGCTGGATTGAGCCCTTTAGGGGTGTGCATAGCGAACCAAAGCTCACTGACCCTCCTCCACTCCTAGGACTCGTACCTGCTTGACTATTTCCTCTTTCTGAACCGCTACTTCGAGGTGGGGGCCCCGGTGTACTTTGTTACCACCTTGGGCTACAACTTCTCCAGCGAGGCTGGGATGAATGCCATCTGCTCCAGTGCAGGCTGCAACAACTTCTCCTTCACCCAGAAGATCCAGTATGCCACAGAGTTCCCTGAGCAGTGAGTTCCTGGCCCGCCCCAAACCCCAGCCTACTCCCTGTTTGAGTCCCTCCAGTCCTCTCCAGTCCCCTCTTCCTGATGTTCTATCCCTGTCCTGCTGCCCTGCTGCCTTGCTGCCGTATGCCTGGGGAGGGCTGCGTGGGGGTTGGGCCACGAGAAGGACCCACCACCCTGCCCAGCTGGCCTTTTCACCCTTCCTCCCACCTGCCCCTTAGGTCTTACCTGGCCATCCCTGCCTCCTCCTGGGTGGATGACTTCATTGACTGGCTGACCCCGTCCTCCTGCTGCCGCCTTTATATATCTGGCCCCAATAAGGACAAGTTCTGCCCCTCGACCGTCAGTGAGTGTGGGGCCATGGGGACTCACTGTCCACCACAGCTCGGGCAAACTGAGGCAACAGAAAGGAGAGGACTGGAGAGGCTCCCTCAACCTCTCCCACGCATCCTGCAGGGTCTGTCGGGGGCATGGGTGCAGATGTGGCCTGAGGGACAGGCACTCTGTGAGAAGCACCTGTGTGGGTGACCGTGCTGGCCCGTGGGCATCACACATGTATACTGCTGTGTACTGTGCCCCCATTTTCAGAGCACATGGTGCTCCCGGGTGGCAGGGCAGTGGGGAGTCAGGAGGGGAGAGCTGCTGAGGTTAGCACATGGCCCTGCCGCCCAAAGCAGTGGCATTTGTAGGTGGAGAGGCCTTTGTGGGGCCTGTTTTTCTGCCCCAAACTTCCTTTCCCCTTCTGCCTGTAGGTGCCCACAGTTTCTATAGCCAAGAGGAGAACTTCTCCCACAAATGACAAATGCAAATCCCCCTAGAAGCGACTGGTTGAGGCTGGAGTGCCCAGGACCTTTGATGGGATTGTTGGGGAAGGAGGGGCACAAAGCAGGAGCTGCTGGCCCTGGGGTGTCACTGCCCAGACCCCTGCTTTCTCTGCAGACTCTCTGAACTGCCTAAAGAACTGCATGAGCATCACGATGGGCTCTGTGAGGCCCTCGGTGGAGCAGTTCCATAAGTATCTTCCCTGGTTCCTGAACGACCGGCCCAACATCAAATGTCCCAAAGGGTAAGCTTGGGAGGGCCTTCTGCTGGGGAGGACAGACATGTGGGACACAGGATGGGGTTGAATATAGAGAGGCAGGAGGAGGCTATCAGGGGCCTCTCTGGGGTGGCTGTGGGCTGGGCAGATGAAAGAAGCTTCGTCCCTGGCTAAGCCTTTGCCCTGACCTTCTTGCAGCGGCCTGGCAGCATACAGCACCTCTGTGAACTTGACTTCAGATGGCCAGGTTTTAGGTAAGCATGGCCTTGCCTGGAGGGGAGGACATAAATCGGTTGCTCTGGAGGGCCCCCGAAAACCCCAGGGAACAGCCTGTCACATGTTGTCTCCCTCCTTTGTCAGGAGGTTCTCACTGCGCTGGCCCTGTCAGCAGGGGTCTTGTTTCCCAGCTCCACATCTCAGACTTCACCCCTTCTCTCACTCCCAAGTCCATGGTCAGTGCTAAGTTTGTGGAATTGATTCAGCAGTTGATACCATACTTGGGAGTTCTCCACACCCTGGCTAAGCACCTTTCTTACCAGCACAAATTACACCCAAAGGGCAGCTGGTTAAATGAATTAGGATGCTTGGCACAGCACAATCCTAGCAGTCATTTAAAGTAACAAGAGGCTGGGCGCCTGTAATCTTAGCACTCTAGGAGGCCAAGGCGAGAGGATCTCTTGAATCCAGGAGTTTGAGACCAGCCCAGGCAACAGTAGGGAGACCCTCTTTTTTTTTTTTCGAGACGGAGTCTCGCTTTGTTGCCCAGGCTGGAGTGCAGTGGTGCAATCTCGGCTCACTGCAACCTCCACTTTCCGGGTTCAAGCGATTCTCCTGCCTCAGCCTCCTGAGTAGCTGGGACTATAGGAGCATACCATCATGTCTGGGTAATTTTTGTATTTTCAGCAGAGATGGAATTGCACCACGTTGGCCAAGCTGGTCTCAAACTCCTGACCTCAGGTGATATGCCTGCCTTGGCCTCCCAAAGTGCTAGTATTACAGGCATGAGCCACTGTGCCCGGCCTCCTCTACAAAGTAAAATTTAAAAAATTGCCCGGGTGTGGTGGCGTGTGCCTGTAGTTCCAGCTATTCAGAAGGCTGGGCGGGAAGAATGCCTGAGTCTGGGAGGTTGAGGCTGTAGTGAACTGTGATCGCAACACTGCACTCCAGCCTGGGCAACAAAGTGAGACCCTCTCTCAAAAAAAAAAAGAAA
This sequence comes from Homo sapiens, assembly GCF_000001405.40. Classification (NCBI taxonomy): domain Eukaryota; kingdom Metazoa; phylum Chordata; class Mammalia; order Primates; family Hominidae; genus Homo; species Homo sapiens. The sequence goes on along the minus strand of NC_000007.14, from coordinate 44,519,808 downwards.
GAAAAAAGTAACAAGAGAGATGCAGTTGGACTGACAGGAAAAGGACCCACAACATGCTGTCAGCTTATACAGCAGATGGCAGAACAAGACAGCCATCTGTGTAAAGGAGCTGGCCATAGCTCCGTGCAGACATGCTCGGTGTAGGGGCCCTAAGGGAGCTCGTGCTGGAGATGGACATGGGGGTCGTCGGTGGGTGGGGGAGTTTTTGAAGGATGATCTCACTTTGTACTGAAATAATTCATAGTTTGAACTGCTGGCTGAAAGCTGCCTCAAGTTCGCTCACCCCACCCTTCCAGCTATGAAGTTCCCATGTTTCCAGAAGGGCAATGCACCCTGCCCAGCCCTGGTAGCTGAGCACAACAGGCTCTGTGAGGCCAGTGTGGTGGGGCTGGTGTGGACAGATGGGAGTGGATGTGTCAGTCAGGGAATGAGGAGCAGGGCCTGGAAGGAGCACACAGTAGAGCCAAGCCCCCATAACCGGGGGCAAGTCTGCACCATCTCTGACCTTTGTCTTCTTGTGTGTGCACTAGGTTAGTCTAGAGCAGCACTTCCCAAAATGAGGTCCCCCAGCCAGCAGCATCAGCATAACCTGGAAATTGTTCAAAATGAAGTTCCAGCTAGGTGCTGCAGCTCACGCCTATAATCCCAGTACGTTGGGAGGCCAAGGTGGGAGGATCACTTGAGCCCAGGAGTCTAGTCTGTCTGAGACCAGCCTGGGCAAAAAAGCCAGATATTGAAAGAAAAGAAGAGAGAAGAAAAGGAAAGAAAAGAAAAGAAAAGAAAGAAAGGGAGAAAGAGAGAGAGAGAAAGAGAGAGAAAGAGAAAGAAAGAAAGAAGGAAGGAAGGAAGGAAGAAAAAGAAAGAAAGAAAGAAAAAGAAGAAACGCAAGTTCTCAGCCCTCACCCAAGACTTTGCAGACCCCGAATTGCTGGGCTGGGCTGGGCATTTGTGTGTGAACTACCCTCCAGGTGGTCAGAGGCCTGGTGGGAAGTTCTCCAGGCACCTCCCCTGCTCTGAGATTGTATGTATCCAAGAACATTTCTCTTCTTTTTTCTCCACACCTATGTAGCACTATTGTTTCTTTTTCAGATACACATGCTCACTGTACACAATAAAGAAATAACTTTTTTTTTTTTTTTGAGACACAGTTGCCATTCTGTCACCCAGGCTGGAGTACAGTGGCACAATCTCGGCTCACTGCAACCTCTACCTCCTGGATTCAAGTAATTCTCCTGCCTCAGCCTCCCTAGTAGCTGGGATTACAGGCACATGCCACTATGCTCAGCTAATTTTTGTATTATTAATAGAGGCAGAGTGTCGCCAAGAAACAACCTTTTTGGGCCAGGTGCGGTGGCTCACACCTGTAATCCCAGCAGTTTGGGAGACCGAGGCCGGCGAATCACTTGAGGTCAGGAGTTTGAGACCAGCCTGGCCAACATGGTGAAACCCTGTCTCTACTAAAAATACAAAAATTAGCCAGGCATGGTGGCATGCACCTGTAATCCCAGCTACTTGGGAGGCTGAGGCAGGACAATCACTTGAACCCGGGAAGCAGAAGTTGCAGTGAGCCAAGATCGCACCACTGCACTCCAGCTGCGGTGACAGTGAGACTCTGTCTCGAAAACAAAAACAAGAACAAAAAACCCTTTATTGTATAAAGGTCTTAATAACCTTAATTTCTTCTTTTTTTTTTTTGAGATGGGATCTTGCTCTGTTGCCCAGCTGGAGTGCAGTAGCATGATCTCAGCTCACTGCAGCCTCTGCCTCCTGAGTTCAAGAATTCTCCTGCCTCAGCCCCCCAAGTAGCTGGGATTACAGGGGTGTGCCACCACGCCTGGCTAATTTTTGCATTTTTAGTAGAGACAGGGTTTCACCATGTTGGGCAGGCTGGTCTTGAACTCCTGACCTCAGGTGATCGACCTGCCTTAGCCTTCCAAAGTGCTGGGATTACAGGCATGAGCCACCACACCCGGCCAATAACCTTAATTTCTTAAAAGTCATTAAGAAATAACCTTTATCTGGCAGGAGCCCTAAGCCACAGCTCTAATAATCCAACCGTTCTCATTTTTCTGTCTTCCTTTCTAGTCCTTTCCTATAGGAATATGCAAATTAAAAACCAATTAAGTTAATTTTAAAAATCCAATGCATATCTTGAAACCATACAGAGAAGAATCTCGGTTCACTAGGGAGATCTCTGTAGGCTTCACTCATCAAAGGTCAGGCCTGGGTCTCCCACAGCAGTGGGGCCAGCTATGGAGTTTGCAGGGCTGGTGCAAAACAAAAATATGGGCCTCTTGCACAAAATTTACTAAGAATTTCAAATGGTGGTGGCAGAGCCCTGAACCCCGCTTGATCACATGCCTGTGCCACTGCGTCTGCGGTGTTCTGAAGTTGTCCTGGAAAGGGCTCTGACCTTTGCCCTTCCATCTTCTGTGTGCCATGGCTGTCCAGCCTCCAGGTTCATGGCCTATCACAAGCCCCTGAAAAACTCACAGGATTACACAGAAGCTCTGCGGGCAGCTCGAGAGCTGGCAGCCAACATCACTGCTGACCTGCGGAAAGTGCCTGGAACAGACCCGGCTTTTGAGGTCTTCCCCTACACGTGAGGACCTGAGTGGCTGGGCTGGAGGGAGGTGGGGTATGGTTGCTGGAGACTGGAGGTTAGGGTGGAGGGCTTGCAAGGAGTTGCATGAGATGAGGACCAGTTTTAGGTCAGGAGGCTCTGGCTGCAGCCTTGGGCCTATTTCTTAGGCTGGTTTGTACCCCAATATAAGCCTGCCTGACCCTCAGCATTCTCCTTCTGAAGTGGGGTGTCCCACCCACCATGAGGGCCCCAGAGGCCTGAGCCTGTGACCATGCTCTGTGCTCTGGCAGGATCACCAATGTGTTTTATGAGCAGTACCTGACCATCCTCCCTGAGGGGCTCTTCATGCTCAGCCTCTGCCTTGTGCCCACCTTCGCTGTCTCCTGCCTCCTGCTGGGCCTGGACCTGCGCTCCGGCCTCCTCAACCTGCTCTCCATTGTCATGATCCTCGTGGACACTGTCGGCTTCATGGCCCTGTGGGGCATCAGTTACAATGCTGTGTCCCTCATCAACCTGGTCTCGGTAACCCAGCAGACACAGGCACCAGGGGGCCTCTGGAGGGGTGGTTGGGGATCCAGCCTCATAGAATACTCCTAGTTCTTTTTTGTTTCTTTTTTTAGAGGCAGGGTCTTGCTCTGTTGCTCAGGCTTGAGGGCAGTGACATGATCACAGCTCACTGTAGCCTCGAACCCTTGGGCTCAAGCGATCCTCCTACCTCAGCCTCCAAAGTAGCCAGGACTACAGGCACGTGCCACTGCGTCCAGCTAATATTTTAATTTTTGTTGTAGAGACAGGGTCTCACTTTGTTGCCCAGGCTGGTCTCAAACTCCTGGGCTCAAGTGATCCTCTCACCTCGGCCTCCCAAAGTGTTGGGATTATAGGCATGAGCCACTGCACCCGGCCAAATACTCCCAGTTCTGTCTAGAATCTAGATGCCTGCCCCACGCTGGTCCTGGTGGAGGCCTCATCTCCCTAGTTCCTTCCCCACCTCTGCCTTTCTTGGCTTATGCCCCCTCTCTGCCCATAGGCGGTGGGCATGTCTGTGGAGTTTGTGTCCCACATTACCCGCTCCTTTGCCATCAGCACCAAGCCCACCTGGCTGGAGAGGGCCAAAGAGGCCACCATCTCTATGGGAAGTGCGGTGAGTGGAGAGGAGTGGGCCACCCTGTGCCCCACTCGACACCCTGTGCCCTGCCTGATGCCCTGTGCCCTGCCTGATGCCCTGTGCCCTGCCTGACACCTGGCTCTGAACCCCCCAGGTGTTTGCAGGTGTGGCCATGACCAACCTGCCTGGCATCCTTGTCCTGGGCCTCGCCAAGGCCCAGCTCATTCAGATCTTCTTCTTCCGCCTCAACCTCCTGATCACTCTGCTGGGCCTGCTGCATGGCTTGGTCTTCCTGCCCGTCATCCTCAGCTACGTGGGTGAGTGCCCAGGCCTGTTCCTACCAGACTGTCATGATTATGCTGACGACAACAGTAACAGTGCATGCTCACCACAAAAGCTCAGGAAGTGCAAACGAGCCATGGGCAGATGTCAGAAGCCAGGACTATGACCATGTGGCAATTCTGTCTTGGAAGCTACTATTATTCATTTAATGTGCTGTGAACATCTTTTTTTGTCAGCTATGTATGTCTCAAACAACGTTTCTGTGGCCCTGTACACTGTGGATCTTCACTGCACTGCTGTTGGACTTTTAAGCATGCCCTTCAGCAAGAAATATATTTTACACAGAGAGGTGACATGCACGGGCACACATAGACATGCCTGCCTAAAACAAATGCTTCACTAAATAATATTAATACTTCCTTTATACATGTGAAGCATTCTGATATTGCTGGTTCCATTCTATTATTATTATTAATATTTTTTGGAGACAGGGTCTTGCTCTGACACCCAGGCTGGAGTGCAGTAGCATGATCACAGCTCACTGCCACCTTGACTTCCCAGGCTCAAGTGATCCTCCCACCTCAGCCTCCCGAGTAGCTGGGACCACAGGTGCACACCACCATGCCCAGCTAATTTTTTATTTTTTGTAGAGATGGGGTCTCCCTATGTTGCCCAGGCTGGTCTCAAACTCCTGAGCTCAAGTGATCCACCATGGCCTTCCACAGTGCTAGGATTACAGGTGTGAGCCACTGCGCTTGGCTTTTATTTTACTTTAAATTTGTTATTTATTTTATTTTACTTTACATTATTTTATTTTTATTTTTTGAGATGGAGTCTCGCTCTGTTGCCCAGGCTGGAGTGCAGTGGTATGATCTCAGCTCCCTGCAACCTCTGCCTCCCAAGTTCAAGCCATTCTCCTGCTTTAGCCTCCCAAGTAGCTGGGATTACAGGTGCGCACCACCACGCCTGGCCAATTTATTTATTTATTTTTTATTTTTAGTAGAGACGGGGTTTCACCATGTTGGGCAGGCTGGTCTCGAACTCCTGACCTCAGGTGATCCAACCGCCAAGGCCTCCCAAAGTGCTGGGATTACAGGCGTGAGCCACTGTGCCCAGCCCTATCATTAATTTGTTTTTAATTATTTTAATTATTTTTATTTTTATTATTTTTAGACAGAGTCTCTCTCTGTTGCCCAGGCTGGAGTGCAGTGGCGCAATCTCAGCTCACTGCAACCTCTGCCTCCTGGGTTCAAGCGATTCTCCTGTCTCAGCCTCTCGAGTAGCTGGGATATCGGTGTATGCCACCATACCTGGCTAATTTTTGTATTTTTATTGGAGACAGGTTTCACCATGTTGGTCAGGCTGGTCTCGAACTCCTGTGGCCTCAGGTGATCCATCTGCCTTGGCCTCCCAAAGTGCAGGGATTACAGGCGTGGGCCACCGCACCCGGTCTCATTAATATTTTGAAATGCTGGCCAGGAGTGGTGGCTCATGTTTGTAATCCTAGCACTTTGGGAGGCTGAGGCACATGGAAGCTCAAATTGAGCCTCCCAGGATGAAGGTGTTTCTGGCTCTCAGGGTGGGCAAGCTGGGAGGAGTTCAATTTTACCTCCCACCAGATGGTAATAATATTATTAGAGGACATTTATAGAGGGGTGTGTTTGTGCATCAACATATGTGTCTGTAATTCTCTTACTACCCCCGAGGCAGGTATTATTATCCTTCCCATTTTACAGATGAGGGAACTGAGACACCTGCCCCAGGTTACAGACTTGGTCAAAGGTAGTAGGGGTTGGAGCCCACACAGCTCTGTGGTTCCTAACCATGTCTCTTGTGGGGACTCCCTGACCCTCTTGGAAGGAGTAGAGTGTGTGCGCTGGGGGTGGTGGATGAGACATAAGAGAGGGGCAAGGAGGAGCAGTCGTGGGGTGTGCTTGGACAAAGGATATCCAGGGCCTTGGAGCTGCAGGTGGTGGCTATTCCTTGGAGGTTCCCAAAATGCTTGGGGGATGGAGGGACCAGGACATCCCTGAAGCTTGGGCTGTGAACATAGTGACCCTGGAAGGCACATGGCACAGATCCCCCCTGGGACCCTTCCTGCCCTGGGTTTGTTGTACAGAACCAGGAATAGCTTCTCACCTGTGTCCCCTGCCCACCTCTCTGACTGTGGTTCTCTGTCTCTCCGCAGGGCCTGACGTTAACCCGGCTCTGGCACTGGAGCAGAAGCGGGCTGAGGAGGCGGTGGCAGCAGTCATGGTGGCCTCTTGCCCAAATCACCCCTCCCGAGTCTCCACAGCTGACAACATCTATGTCAACCACAGCTTTGAAGGTTCTATCAAAGGTGCTGGTGCCATCAGCAACTTCTTGCCCAACAATGGGCGGCAGTTCTGATACAGCCAGAGGCCCTGTCTAGGCTCTATGGCCCTGAACCAAAGGGTTATGGGGATCTTCCTTGTGACTGCCCCTTGACACACGCCCTCCTCAAATCCTAGGGGAGGCCATTCCCATGAGACTGCCTGTCACTGGAGGATGGCCTGCTCTTGAGGTATCCAGGCAGCACCACTGATGGCTCCTCTGCTCCCATAGTGGGTCCCCAGTTTCCAAGTCACCTAGGCCTTGGGCAGTGCCTCCTCCTGGGCCTGGGTCTGGAAGTTGGCAGGAACAGACACACTCCATGTTTGTCCCACACTCACTCACTTTCCTAGGAGCCCACTTCTCATCCAACTTTTCCCTTCTCAGTTCCTCTCTCGAAAGTCTTAATTCTGTGTCAGTAAGTCTTTAACACGTAGCAGTGTCCCTGAGAACACAGACAATGACCACTACCCTGGGTGTGATATCACAGGAGGCCAGAGAGAGGCAAAGGCTCAGGCCAAGAGCCAACGCTGTGGGAGGCCGGTCGGCAGCCACTCCCTCCAGGGCGCACCTGCAGGTCTGCCATCCACGGCCTTTTCTGGCAAGAGAAGGGCCCAGGAAGGATGCTCTCATAAGGCCCAGGAAGGATGCTCTCATAAGCACCTTGGTCATGGATTAGCCCCTCCTGGAAAATGGTGTTGGGTTTGGTCTCCAGCTCCAATACTTATTAAGGCTGTTGCTGCCAGTCAAGGCCACCCAGGAGTCTGAAGGCTGGGAGCTCTTGGGGCTGGGCTGGTCCTCCCATCTTCACCTCGGGCCTGGATCCCAGGCCTCAAACCAGCCCAACCCGAGCTTTTGGACAGCTCTCCAGAAGCATGAACTGCAGTGGAGATGAAGATCCTGGCTCTGTGCTGTGCACATAGGTGTTTAATAAACATTTGTTGGCAGAAATGGTGTTTTATGTCACATGTCCTACCCTGGCTTCCTCCTCTCGGTTTAAGATAATTTTTGTGAATGACACAAATAATACATGTGTGGGAGAGTGATTTGTGGAGATACTAGTCTGTGTTTTGTTCTATTTCTCCTCCCTCTTTTCAAGAAAGTAGCCAGGCCATTGTGTGCTCATGCCTTACAAGGGCCTTTGAGGAGTGGGAGTAATTTCTCTTCAAACTGGGAGGGCACAGAGCCTGAGAGTCAGTCAGGAGTAGGATGTGCAGCCCCTCCTTTTCTGGAAGAGACTGTGAAGTAGGCAACACCTGGAGGAGCTACAGGAGAACCACGGTGCATTCAAGGAGGGAAGAACCCACCGTACAAACAACCAGCTCCCAGGAGGGCCCCAGGCCAGGGCAGTGGGTGGAAATGTCAAGGAACATTCCAGATCCCCTCGAGTCTTTCTGCCCCATGCTGGGTCCAGCCCTTGTTTGGCTGAGGGGCTGCTGTTGCTTTGAGGCTCAGAGGGACTGTCAGCATGTAAAGGGAAGACAAGCAAAAAGGGGTGGAAAGGAGCTGGCGTTTCTGGAGCCTACTATCTACTTTTGGGTCCTCATAAGAGCCCCATGTGCCAGCATCATTAGCCCACCTTTGGGAGGGTTGCTGGCTGACCATGATGGACAGGAGGTTTGGTGAAGGGACAGCTACGAGGGAATAGAGGCTGAGGAGAAATCGCACAATTCACCCTGTTAAAAACTCCACAGGTGCAGAATAAACAGATAGATTTGAGGAACAAAATAGCTTTTGACAGCAGACATTTCAAATCAGAGGAAAGGGTAGATCCTTCAGTAAACGGTGTGAGAGTAGTGAGCAAATTATTTGGATCAAAATAAAGTTATATCTATACTTCACACAATACACAAAATAAAAGTACAGACAGATTAAAGCACTAAACACAAAAATGAAACTATACAACTATCGGAAGGAAACACAGAAGAGTATGTTATAATCTTGGAGGGGGAAAAGTTTCCTAAGCACAAAGTCCAGAAGCCATAAAGGTAAACACTAAGGTATGACCATATAATAATGGAAAACATCTGAAAACACACAAAAAATTAAAGAAAGTTGAAAGACACATATGAGCTCAGAAAAATAGTTGCAACATATTTAACAGCAAATAAAATCAAGAAAACACAAAGAGTGCCAATAGTGCTCCTGCAAACATGGTGAACACTCCTAAAACCCACTGGACTTTCTGTAAGAAGTGTGGGAAGCACCAGCCCCACAGAGTGACACAGGACACATTTCCCTGTATGCCTAGGGAAAGCCATGTTATGACAGGAAGCAGAGGGGCTATGGTGGGGAGACTAAGCCAATTTTCCAGAAAAAGGCTAAAACTACAAAGAAGATTGTGCTAAGTTTTGAGTGCATGAAGCCCAACTGCAGATCTAAGAGAATGCTGGCTATTAAGAGATACAAGCATTTTGAACTGGGAGGAGGTAAGAAGAGCAAGGGCCAAGTGATCCAGTTCTAAGTGTCATCTTTTGTTTTATTATGAAGACAATAAAATATTGAGTTTATGTTTAAAAAAAAAAAGAATATACAAAGAGAGTCCAGGTACGGTGGCTCATGCCTGTAATCCCAGCACTTTGGGAGGCTGAGGCAGGAGAATTGCTTGAGGCCAGGAGTTCAAGACCAGCCTAGGCAACATAGCGAGATACTGTCTCTACAAAAAGTTTAAAAGTTAGCCAGGCTAGCTATTTGGAAGGCTGAGGTGGGAGGATTGTTTCAGCTCGAGTTTGAGGCTGCAGTGAGCTATGATGGCACCACTGTACTCCAGCCTGAGTGAAAGAGTGAGCTTCTGTCTCAACAAAAAAAAAAAAAAAAAAGAATATACAAAGAGAGGAAGGAGTGCAGGGGGGAGGTCTGGGTTATGTGGCTAACCTTCCCATTAGAAACAAGACATTCTAGCTAAAATAAATCTTAGCCGTGTGTGTGTGTGTATGTGTCTGTGTGTGTGTATGATGCATACAAGTTTAGGGTGTTTTAACCTTCTTGATAAATTGAGACTTTTATAGTTTGAAATGACTATAAAAATATCCCTTTTTATCTCTAGTATTTATTTTTGTCTGTTTAAGAGATGGGGTTCTCACTTTGTTGCCCAGGCTGGTCTTGAATACTTGGCCTCAAGGGATCCTCCTACCTCAGCCTCCCAAGTACCTGGAATTACAGGTATGAGCCACCATGCCAGTCCTATCTGTAGTATTTGTTCAACTGTATAATGTTATTATACACACACACACACACACACACACACACACACAGACACACACACACATATAAAATAACATACGGTTGAACAAATTTTATACTTAATAGTCAAACATTGAAACCCTTTCCCCTGAGATTGGGAATGAGACAAAGTTGCCCACTTTTACCCAACATTGCACTGGAGGTCTTAGCCATTGTAATAAGGCAAGAAAAAGAAACTAAGTTTATAAGGATTAGAAATAAATAAAATTGACATCATTCACAGATAACATAAATATGTATAAAAAAGATTCAGTCTGGGTGCAGTGGCTCATGCCTGTAACCCCAGCAATTTCTGAGGCCAAGGCAGGAGGATCACTTGAGGCCAGGAGTTCAAGACATAGCAAGACCCCACCTCTACAAAAAAAAATTTTTTTTAAAGATCCAAAAGAATCTATATATAAACTATTGGAATTACTCTAACAAAAGGTGGTCAAGAAAACTATGAAAAATAATAACTTTGTATTTTAATTTGTATAATATTGAGAGAAATTAACTGTCAAAAGAAATGGAGGAATATACCATGAATTGAGGGCTCTATACTACAGAGATGTCAATTCTCTTCAAATTAATTACTAGTTTCACTGTAATTTCAATAATAACCCCAGAAAATTTTTTGTGGAAACTGATAAGCTGATTCAAAAATTCATATAGAACCACAAAAGATGAAAATTCACGAAAGCAATCTTGAAGAAAAACAAAGTCAGAGAACTTACACTACTAGAAATCAAGATAATATAAATATATAGAAATAAAGATAGTGAGATTTTGGCACAAGGAAGAACAAATAGAAAAATGGAAAGAATAGAAAGTCCAGAAACAGATGATACCCACAAGGACACATGATTTATGATGGAGGAGGCATGCAGAGCATTGGGTAAAGGAGGTTTTTCAATGTAGGATGCTGACCTAGTTGGGTATCCACACAGAAAGAAATGAATCATGACCCTCTCCCCCAAGATACACAAAAATCAGTTCCTGATAGATTGTCAATCTAAATGTGAAAGATAAAATGATAGAGTTCTAAAAGGTAACATAAAAGAGTATCCCCAAGACTGAAATAGGAAAAACTTTTCTTAGGAAACAAAAGCCTTACTTATAGAGAAAAAGATTGATAAATTGAACTGTATTGGAATAAAAAAAAACTTCTGTTCTTCAAAAGACATCCTTAGGAAAGATAAAATTCAAACCATAGAGAGGAAAAGATATTTGCACATATCTGAAATACACACATATCTGAGAAAGGGCCTGTGCTTAGAATGCATAAAAAATCTCCTACAACTCAGCAAGAAAAAGACAGACAACCAAAAGAAAAGCTAGGCTGGCTACTCAAATAAGCAAATGGCCAATACAAGTTCCTCAATTTTGTCAGTCACCAGAGCAAGGCTGAGTAAAAGCACAGTGAGAGTTCTTCCTCTTCTCTTCCCTCACAATTTGGCCTACAGGCCATGGGGTAAGGTGGGGCCAGGCAGCACATGTGGGGTGTCAGAATCCAGGTGGTGTGGGGAGCGTTTCCACATTGGATCTGAGGGAGGAGAGGAGGGCATTCCACACAGAATAGGAACTACATAGGCCCAGTATGGGGCTAAGATGTCAGAACTGAGCTCTGATGTGCCTTTCTCCATGAGCAGAGGGACTGGATGCTGGAGATGGAGGGTGGAGGAAAGGTTCAGAGCCATCTAGAGATGGCAATTCAGAGGAAATGGGAGGGCAGATAGTCTCACTCTTCACAGTGAGGCAGAGTTTCCAAGCTGGTTTTGTCACTCCTTTGCTGGGCCTCTTTGGGTAACATATTTGACTTATCTGGGCTTTAGTTTCTTTTTTGCTTTTTTTTTTTTTTGAGACAGAGTCTCACTCTGTTGGCCAGGCTGGAGTGCACTGGTGTGATCTTAGCTCACTGCAACCTCTGCCTCCCGGGTTTGAGTGATTCTCCTGCCTCAGCCTCCCGAGTAGCTGCAACTACAGGCGCCTGCCACCATGCCTGGCTAATTTTTGTATACAGATAGGGTTTTGCCATGTTGACCAGGCTGGTCTTGAACTCCTGACCCGAGGTGATATGCCTGCCTCAGCCTCCCAAATTGCTAGGATTACAGGTGTGAGCCACCACACCTGGCATGGGTTTGGTTTCTTTACCTGTAAAAACTGGGATAGTTTAGCTGGGCACAGTGATGCTAATTGTTGTCCCAGCTACTTGAGAGGCTGAGATGGGAGGATCACTTGAGCCTAAGAATCGCAGGTCAGCCTGGGCAACATAGCAATACCCCATCTGTGAAAAAAAAAATTAGTGGCTGAGCACAGTGGCTCACTCCAGCAATCCCAGAACTTTGGGAGGCCAAGGTGGGAAGATTACTTGAGCCCAGGAGTTTGAAACTGGTCTGGGAAACACACAGAGACCACAATCTCTGCATTAAAAAAAAAATTAGCTGGGTTGGTGGCACTCACCTGTGGTCCCAGCTACTTGGGAGGGTGAGGTGGGAGGATAATTTGATCCCAGGAAGTGGAGGCTGCAGAGAGCTGTGATCATGCCACTGCACTCCAGCCTGGGTCACAGAGTGAGACCCTGTCTCAAAAAAAAAAAAAAAAATTAGGAAAATTTGCCCTGACTCCCCACGTTTTTTTTAAAGGATGAAATGAGATATTATATGTGAAAGCATCTAGTACTTGTGACATAGTAGGTGCTTAAAAAGTGTTTCCACTTCACTTCTGCCTAAAACCCAGTTCAGTTCCTGAGTTCCAGATATCTAACTGTGATGAGAAGAGACGCAGCCAGAGGTACCTCAAAGATAGCAACACCCCCCTCCGCCCCGATACCTGATGTACTGAAGTCAGAAATTTAAAAAAAAACCTTGTTCTTCCTTCAGTTTTAAGTTCAGTATACTGATGAACTATCGGTCACATTTGACGATTTACTTTAAAAATAAACAGGCTTCCAAATTAACCTACTTATATGGTTTGTCTGTGTCGCCACCCAAATCTCATCTTGAATTCCCACCCGTTGTGGGAGGGACCTGGTGGGAGGTAATTAAATCATGGGGGCAAGTCTTTCCTGTGCTGTTCTCGTGATAGTGAATAAGTCTCAAGAGATCTGATGGTTTTAAAAAGAGGAGTTCCCTTGCACAAGCTCTCTCTCTTTGCCTGCTGCCATCCATGTAGGATGTGACTTGCTCTTCCTTGCCTTCCACCATGATTGTGAGGCTTCCCCAGCCACATGGAACTGTAACTCCAATTAAACCTCTTTCTCTTGTAAATTGCCCAGTCTAGGCTATGTCTTTATCAGCAGTGTGAAAACAGACTAATATACTTACCTTGGAAAGGCCTTGTGATCCATGGTGACATCTTGTCCCTAAGGAAAGCATCTTACCATGAGTTCCTCAAATTGTTGATGTACTGATTAATGTGTAACCCTCTGACACTGGGAAGAACACTGATTTATTTCTGAATCATAAAGTTTTATTGATTGTCTTGCATGTAGACATTTTAGCTTGTATGTTGCAATCTGTATCCAACAATTGTAACCTCTGTATTGTACCCTCAAATGAAAGAGGAAAAAACTCTTGTATGAGGAGTCCCCTCCCTTCTCCTAAACTTTCCTATAAAAGCCTTCTACCTTGTAACAGACTGGAACATTCCTAACATTGTTGGTGTGTTTCCTAAGCGGATTCTCACATTTGGCTTCAAATAAACCTTGATCAAATTAGTGCTGCCTCAACAGCCTTAATTTCAATCAATAGTACAAGCCTCTGTTTTTCTATTTAATCACTACTTTAAAGGTAACCTTTGGAAAATATTTAGGCTCTTTACAAATTTAATTAATTGAACATATTTTAACTGCATTTATAAAGGTAATAGTCTCCATTTTCTTCCTAAATACTCTGCATAAGAAACAAAATCTTCCCATATACTTAACTCTTTTAAACCTAATAAATTAAATTTATGGAATATCATTAATATAAAGTTTTTATAGATGTTGTAACACTGCACATAGATTTAGCAACATTTCAATTTACAATCTTAAGCTTATATGAAATACCATTTTAAATTGGAATTATACAATTCTTACACTAATAGACCAAATACTTTAAATGTTACAAGCATATAAAATACGAAATATACAAAAATTTCCCCCCATCACACAAATATTCTTACTAAGGTTTTGCTTCTTTGAAACCTTTCTATACACATTGTATTAGTCTGTTTTCATGCTGCTAATAAAGACATACCCCAGACTGGGTAATTTATAAAGGAAAGAGTTTTAATTGACTTATAGTTCAGCATGGCTGGGGAGGCCTCAGGAAACTTACAATCATGGCAGAGGGGGAAGCAAACATGCCCTTCTTCATATGGCACCAGTGGAGAGAAGAATCAGTGCCCAGTGAAAGGGGAAGCCCCTTATAAAACCAGCAGATCTCGTGAGAACTAAATCACTACCACAAGAACAGGATGGGGGAAACCGCTCTCATGATTCAACGATCTCCACCTGGTCCCTCCCACAACACATGGGGATTATGCAAACTGCAAGTCAAGATGAGATTTGGGTGGGGACACAGTCAAAACCTATCAACCTAACATCCTTTTCCTCTCCCCTTCCTTCCTTCCTCCCTTCCTTCCTTCCTTCCTTCCTTCCTTCCTTCTTTCCTTCCCTCCCTCCCTCCCTCCCCCTCTCTCTCTTTTTTTCTTTTTCTTTTCTTTCTTTCTCTCTCTCTCTCTCCCTCCCTCCCTCCCAGGCTGGAATGCAGTGGTGCGATCTCGGCTCACTGCAACCTCTGCCTCCCAGGGTTAAGCTATCCTCCCACCTCAGCCTCCTGAGTAACTGGTGGGACTACAGGCGTGTGACACCACACCCAGCTGATGTTTTTGTATTTTTAGTGGAGATGGGGTTTCAGTATGTTGTCCAGGCTGTCCATACCCATTTTTAAGTGAGTTATAAATGGGGTTCAAAGGTCATACTCCCCTTGAGGAAGACAATCATCATCTCAGATAACCAAGGTTGCCTATGCAGTAAGGAAGAAGTAAGTCATCATTCCGGGTAACTAAATTTACCTAAGACCAAAGACATCAGCTGAGAGTGAGACCTGGAGTCTCAGGCATCGGGAGTAGTTATCTCACTGCTAACTAAGTTTACATGGTGAGTCAAAAGACCCAGAATACCCAACACAATATTGAAGGAAAACAAAGTCAGAGGACTAACACTATCTGACTTCTAGACTTACTATAAAGTTATAGTAATGAAGACAGTGAAAGAACTGGTAAAGAACAGATAAATAAATCACTGTAACAGAATATAGAGTCTAGAAATAGACCCAAATAAATATAGTGAAGCAAAGGTAGACTTTTTTTTTTTTTTTTTTTTTTTGAGACAGAGTCTCTCTCTGTCACCCAGGCTGGAGTGCACTGGTATGATCTTGGTTCAATGGGACCTATACCTTTACCATGAGAATCACTGGGTTCAAGTGATTCTCATGCCTCAGTGTCCTGCATAGCTGGGACTAAAGGCCTGCAAACATGCCTGGCTAATTTTTGCATTTTTAGTAGAGATGGGGTTTCACCATGTTGGCTAGGCTGGTCTCAAAGTCCTGACCTCAGGTGATCCACCCGCCTTGGCTTCCCAAAGTGCTGGGATTACAGGTGTGAGCCACCATACCCAGCCAAAGGGCAGTCTTTCCAACAAATGATACAGATACAACTGGACATCTATGTGCAAAAACATAAATTTAGACACAGACTTTGCACCCTTCACAAAAACTAACTGAAAATGGATCATAGACCTCAATGTAAAATTCAAAACTATAAAACTCCTAAAAGACAACATAGGGTAAAACCTAGATGACCTTGGGTGTAGCGACCTTTTGATACAACACCAAAGACATAATCCATGAAATAAATAACTGATAAACTGTAATTAATAAATTTTTTTTAGCAGTAATAGAATGATGAGTGTTATTTCATTAAAATTTAAAACTTCTGCTCTGCAAAAGACAATGTCAAGAAGAAGAAGACAATGGCCAAGTGCGGTGGCTTATGCCTTTAATCCTAGCACTTTGGAAGGCCAAGGCGGGTGGATCACTTGAGGCCAGGAGTTTGAGACCAGCCTGGCTAACATGGTGAAAACCTGTCTCTACTAAAAATAGAAAAATTAGCTGGGCGCAGTGGTGCACACCTGTAATCCCAGCTACTTGACAGGCTGATGCACAAGAATCGCTTGAACCCAGGAGGCAGAGGTTGCAGTGAGCTGAAATTGTGCCACTGTACTCCAGCTTGGGCAACAGAGCGAGACTCTGTCTCAAAAAATATATAAATAAATAAAATTTAAAAAGGATGAGAAGACAAGCCACTGCCTGGGAGAAGATATTAGCGAAAGACACATCTGTGCTGGCTTCAGCAGCACACATACTAAAATTACAATGGTACAGAGAAGATTACCATGGCCTGTGCACAAGGATGACATGCACATTTGTGAAGTGCTTCAGAATATAAAAAAGAAAAAGATCTATCCGATAAAGAACTTTTATTTAAAATCTAAATGGACTCTCCAATACAATAATAAGAAAACAAATAACTCAATTAAAAACTTAGCCTTACCAAAGAAGATGTACAGATGGCAAACAAGCATATGAAAAGATGCTACATGTCATATATCATCAGGGAAATGATAATTAAAACAACAATGTGATACTGCTACACATCTATTAGAATGTCCAAAATCTGGAACACTGACAACATCAAATGCTGGTAGGGATGTGGAGAAGCAGCAACTCTCCTTCATTACTGATAGGAATGCAAAATGGTACAGCCACTTTGGAAGACAGTTCTTCAGTTTCTTCTAAAACTAAATATATCTTACCATATGATCCAGCAATCACATTTCTTGGTATGTACCCAATGGAGTTGAAAACTTATGTCTACACAAAAACCAACACATGGGTGTTCATGGCAGCCTTATTCATAATTGTCAAAACTTGGAAGTAACCAAGATGTCCTTCAGTAGGTGAATGGGTTAATCCCCACAATGGAATATTATTCAGCATTAAAAACAAATGAGCTATCAAGCTAAGCTATGAAAAGACATGGAGGGGCCGGGCACGGTGGCTCAAGTCTGAAATCCCAGCACTTTGGGAGGCCGAGGTGGGCAGATCACAAGGTCAGGAGTTTGAGACCAGCCCGGCCAATATGGTGAAACCCTGTCTCTACTAAAAATACAAAAATTCGCCGGGTGTGGTGGCAGGCGCCTATAGTCCCAGCTACTCAGATGGCTGAGGTAGGAGAGGAGATTCACTTGAATCTGGGAGGCAGAGGTTGCAGTGAGCCGAGATCACACCATTGCACTCCAGCCTGGGCAACAAGAGCGAAACTCCATCTCAAAAAAAAAAAAAAAAAAAAAGAAAAAGAAAAAGAAAGAAAAGAAAAGAAGTGGAGGAACTTCAAATGTATACTACTAAGTGGAAAAAGCAAATCTAAAAAGTCTACATCTGTCTGATTCCAACTATATGACATTCTGTAAAAGGCAAAGCTATAAACACAATAAAATGATCGGTAGTTTCTAGGGTTTGGGGTTAGGGGAGTTGAATGGGCAGAGCACAAAAGATTTTTAGGCCAGGGAAACCACTCTATATGATATTATAATCATGGATGCATGTCATTATACATTTGTCCAAATCCATAGAATGTACAACACCAGAGTGAGCCCTAATGTAAACTAAGGATTCTGGGTGATATTGTAACAAATGCACCATTAATTGTAACAAATGTATCATTTTGTACCTTCTGATGGGGAATGTTGAGAATGAGAGAGGCTATGCATGTGTGGAGGCAGGAGTGGGTATATGGGATATCTCTGTATCTTCCTCTCAATTTTGCTGTGAACCTATAACTACCTAAAAAAGTCTTTTAGAAAGCCCAGTAGTTTTTTGCTTCTCTTTATGGGTTGGTTTCCTTCTCTCAAGTGAAAAATGGGCTTCCTCCATGTAGCAGATGATATGGCTTCTCTCATCCCAGAGAAGAGAGTTCTTTCTTGTCAATTACAGCCAGAAAAATCTCCAAGAAGGATTTAGATGGTCCTAGTTTGCTCCCTCCCATCCCTCTTCCTTTGGATCTCAGATCAGAAGTGACTTCTACTGGGATGCTGCCCTGTTACCCCAGTCTTGGTCGGGTCCCTGTTATGTGCTCCCACTATACCATATCCTTCTCCTTCCTAGTCTTCATCACAGTTTGAAGATGAAAATTCATTGGTGGGGTTACATGGCTCCCCCATGTCTGATTCCTCCTCTAAACTGTAAGCTATAGGGGGCAATGACTTTATTTTTTTGCTTACCATTGTGTTTCTAGCACCTAGCATCTGGCACATAGGCACACAATAAATATCCATTAAATAAATGACTGAAATAAACAGAGGGCTCTTTTGCTCTGATTACTCTGAAGAGCAATTATTACATAGCAGTGACAGCTTAGTGTATTCTCAGAAAATATTCTTTTGTTTTAAAACCACTTATTTTTCTGGCCAGGCATGGTGGCTCACGCCTGTTATCTCAGCACTTTGGGAGGCCGAGGTAGGCGGATCACAAGGTCAGGAGATCGAGACCATCCTGGATAACATGGTGAAACCCTGTCTCTACTAAAAATACAAAAAAATGAGCCGGGCTTGGTGGCGGGCGCCTGTAGTCCCAGCTACTAGGGAGGCTGAGGCAGGAGAATGGCGTGAACCCAGGAGGTGGAGGTTGCCATGAGCCAAGATCGCACCGCTGAACTTCAGCTTGGGCGACAGAGCGAGATTCCATCTCAAAAAAAAAAAATTTTTTTTTCTGATAATAAACACAACAGACTGGGCACAGTGGCGCATACCTGTAATCCTGGTACATTGGGAGGCCAAGGTGGGAGGATCACTTGAGTCCAGGAGTTCAAGACCAGCCTGGGCAACATTGTGAGACATCATCTCTATTTAAAAACAAACAAACAAACAAACAAACAAACAAACAAACACTCCTTAAATCCCCACACACTTATGACAGAATAATTGTAAGACAAAGAAAAGTACAGTTAAGAAAACAAAAAACAAAAATTACTTATATCTGTAACCCAGAGATAACCACTGTGTGTGTGTGTGTACAATCTTTTTAGCCTTTCAAAATATACATTCTGTCACATATAGTTAACATTTTATTTTGATTGGTTTAAACATAGTATACCTTTTGCCACTTAGTTTAGTTTTTTTTTTTTTTTTTTTTCTTGAAGACTGGGCCTTGCTATTTTGCCCAGGTTGTCTTGAACTCCTGGCCTCAAATGAACCTCTTGCCTTGGCCTCCCAAAGTGCTGGGATTACAAGTGTGAACCACTGTGCCCAGCCTAGTTTTAATGTATTTCACTTTACATTTAAAGTGGGTTTCATTTAAGCAGCATACAGTTGGGTCTTGCTTTTTTAGTCAATCAGAAAATCTCTTCCTTCTAATTGAAATGTTTATTGACATTTAATGTTACTGTTATTTTAAATATATTTTCCATATTCAGAAGCAGCGCTGTCATAATCTGGCTTCCATTAAAAAAAAGTTTTCAGGTATTTCTTTGCTTTGACAAGGTGCTCCAGTCCCTTGTTTGTCTTCTGGGCCACCATCTCCACAGTCCAGTCTCTGATGTGGAGGGAGAGAGTGCCTTTTCCTTTTGACCCCAAAAGAGCTTTTCTGAGTAGGCTATGATTATCAATATAGCTTTAAATCTGTAATTGGGTTATTGTTCTGCTTTTTCTGCCTGCTTTTGAATTTATTGAGTAGTTTGTATGATTCTACTTTATAACCTTTGTTGGCTTATGTGACCACTCTGTTTTTTTAATTTTTATTTTTAGAGCTTTCTTTACAGTTTATAGATAATCTCTAACTTACCACAGTCTATCTTCAAATAAATTATATAACTTCACATGCAGTATAAAAATCTTACAACTGTATCCTCTCACTTCGTCCCTCTTGGCCTCTGTATTATGGTTATAATACACTTTACTTCTACACATTATAAACCTTAGGATGTCATGTTACTAATTCTTTTGCTTTAAGCAGTCAAGTATATTTTAAAGAGATTTTCAAATTAATAAAAATAGTATTTTATATTTGCTCGCTTAAAAAAACTTTCCAGTGCTCTTTATTTCTTTGTGTAGATCAGAATTTTCATCTGATGTAATTTTCCTTCTCCCTGAAAGACATTTAACTTTTTTTTTCTGTAGTTCAGGTCTACTAGTGATGACTTATTTCAACTTTTGTATGTCTGAGAAAGTCTATTTTTCATTCATTTTGGTAATATATTTTTGCTCAGGGCAGAATTCTAGGTTGACATTTTCTTTAAACATTTTACAGATGTTTCTACATTATCTTTTGACTCACATTGGTTTGAGAGGTCTGCCGTTATTCTTATATAATCCTGTGTACATAATTTACCTTTTTTCTCTGGCTACTTATAAGATTTATCTTTATCAGTGCTTTTAAGCAATTTGACTATTATGTTCCTTGGTGTAGTTTTATTTATGTTTCTTATTATTGGGGGTTCACTGAGCATCTTGGCTCATGGGTTTTTAGTTTTAATAAATTTGGAAAATGTTCAGCCACTGATTCTTCAAATATTTTTTCTGTTCCCCACCCTAGCCTTTAGGAACTCAACTACATGTAAATTAGACAAGATGAAGTTGTCCCACAACTCACTGATGCTCTATTTTTTTTTAAGTCTTTTTTTCTCTCTTTTTCAATTTAGGTGGTTTCTATTGCTATTTTTTCAAGTTCAATAATATTTTATCTATTTCTTTCTCCCTCCCTCCCTC
This sequence comes from Homo sapiens, assembly GCF_000001405.40. NCBI lineage: Eukaryota > Metazoa > Chordata > Mammalia > Primates > Hominidae > Homo > Homo sapiens. The sequence continues at coordinate 44,499,456 of NC_000007.14, read as the reverse complement.
CCTCCCTTCCTTCCTTCCTTCCTTTCTTTTTTTTGAGATGGAGTTTTGCTCTTATTGCCCAGGCTGGAGTGCAATGGCACGATCTCAGCTCACTGCAACCTCTGCCTCAGGTTCAAGCGATTCTCCTGCCTCTGCCTCCTGGATAGCTGGTACTAGAGGGATGTGCCACCACGTGTGGCTAATTTTTGTATTTTTAGTAGAGACGGGGTTTCACCATGTTGGTCAGGCTGGTCTTTAACTCCTGACCTCAAATGATCCACCCACCTTGGCCTCCCAAAGTGGTTGGATTACAGCTGTGAGCCACCGCTCCTGGCTGTACTTCTAATCTGTGGTACATCTCATTTGGTGTATTTTTCAGGTAATACATCATATTTTCACTCCTAAATAATTGATTTCTTTTTTTTTATGTCTTCTCTTTAGTTAACATGCTTGCTATGGTTGAAATGTGTCTCCCAAATTCATGTGCTGGAAATGTAATCCCCGATGAAACAATGTTGGGAGCTAGGGCCTAATAAAAGGTGATTGGATCATGTGGGTAGAGCCCTCACGAATGAATTAATGTTGTTATTACTACAGTGAGTTAGTTACCACAAAAGTGGGTTGTTATAAAGTCAGGCTGGCCCCTGGTGCCTCTATCTTGTGTACTCACTTGCCCTTCTGCCTTTTGCTTTCTGCCAAGGGATGACTAAACAAGAAGGCCCTCAACAGATGCTGGCATCAAGTTCCTGAACTTTCCAGCCTCCAGAACCATGAGCTAAATAAACGCCTGTTATTTATAGATTACCTGGTCTGTGGTATTGTTATGGCAGCAGAAAACGGACTATGATAGAAAATTGGCACTGAGAAGTGGGTCTGTTGCTATAACAAATATCTGAAAATGTAAAAGTAGCTTTGGAACTGGGTAATGGGTAGAGACTGGAAGAACTTTGAGGAGCATGCTAGAAAGAGTCTGGTATAATGCCATAAATGGAACATTAAGGGTGAGGTCTCAGAAGAGAAGAGATACAGGGAAAGTCAGAATCTTCTTAAAGATTACTTCAGTGGTCATGACTGTTGACAGAGATATGGACACAGTCTCTGATGTGGACAGTAAATGGCCTTTACTGTCTATATTTCTACGAACATTAATAGTAAATGGCCTTTACTGTCTATATCTCTACCACCATTAACAGTAAATGGCCTTTACTGGCTATATTTTCTACCAACATTATATTTAATATTGGTAGAGGCCATTCTGATGAGGTCTCAGATGGAAATGAGAAACAAGGTATTGGAAAATTGAATAAAGAGCATCTTTGTTATAAAGTAGTAATAGTGGAACTGTGTCCATGCCTGAGAGCTTCATGGAAAGTGGAATTTGAATGACAAACTAGGATATCTGGTGGAAGAAATACCTAAGCAGTTAAGCATTCAGACTGCTGCATGGCTATTTTAAATCACATATAGTGAGATACAAGAACAAAGGAATGACTTAAAGACAGAATTTATAATTTAAAAAGAAGCAGAGTGAAAGATTTGGAAAATTTATAGCCTGGCCATGTAAAGTATAAAAAGGTACATTTAGGAGAGTGAACTCAGGGTGTGGCCCAGAGACTGCTTGCTGAAGAGATTAGCATGAATAGAAAGGAGCCAGATGCTATTCACCAGTAAGCCTTGGCAATGTCTACATGGTGCTAACTCTGCAGGGATGGGTGCATAGGTGGTGGGGTCACAGTAGCTTCCACTTGGTTTTCAAAAGATATATCAAACAGCTTGAGGCCCAGGAAGAGACTTATTGCAGGGGAAGAGCCACCATAGAGAGTCCCTACTAAGGCAATGCTTAGCAGGAATGTGTGGTCAGAGTTGTTACAGAGAGTTCCCACCAAGGCGATACCTAGTAGAGCCCAGAACTGTAGACCTACCCTTGTGTAACCCCAGCCTGGGAGAGCTGCAGTCATGAGACTCCAAACCAAGAGAAAGCCATGGAGACCTGGCTGCCTGAGGCCTTGGAGGCCCAATCCCCAAACCAGTGTGCCCAGGAACATTACTGGAGAAACAGCTAAAAGCATCTGCCCTCCTGAACCCCATGTGAGAGTCTCAGCTGGGCCAGAAGGGGCCCAGCCCTACACTATCTCCTCTTACTCAGTTTTATGTCTGACCTCTAGAGCTCAGGCAGGCACTTTGCCCTAACATGTCCACTTACTTTTTAGGGGAGGGAACAGGATTGTGGATGATTATCACTTTTTAAAATACATTTTTGGCCAGCGCAGTAGCTCACGCCTGTAATCCTAGCACTTTGGGAGGCCGAGGCGGGCAGATTGCCTGAGCTGGGAGTTTGAGACCAGCCTGGGCAACACGGTGAAACCTCGTCTCTACTAAAATACAAAAGAAATTAGCCAGGCAAGGCAGCGTGCACCTGTAATCCCAGTTACTCAGGAGGCTGAGGCAGAATTGCTTGAATCTGGGAGGCAGAGGTTGCAGTGAGCCGAAATCGCGCCACTGCACTCCAGCCTGGGCGACAGAGGGAGACTCTGTCTCTAAAAAAAAAATAATAATAAATAAAATACAATTTTTAAGAGTACATTTTAAAATAAGTTTTAGATTTCCAAAATAAATTGCAAAGAGACTACAGAGTTCCTGTATAGCTCACATCCAGTTTACCCTATTATTAACTTATTACATTAGTATGGTTCATTTTTCACAATTAATAAATACTGATAATTACTACTAACTAAAGTGCCTACTTTATTTTGACTTCCTTAATTTTTACCTAATGTCCTTTTTCTGTTCCAGGATCCTACCCAGGACCCCACATGATATTTAGTTGTCAGGTCACCTTAGGCTCTTCTTGGTTGTGACAGTTTCTCAGGCTTTCATTGTTTTTGATGACCTTGACAGTTTTGAGGAGTACTTGTTAGGTATTTTGTAGAATGTTCCTCAAATGGGGCTTGTCCAACATTCTTCCCATGATTAGACTAGGGTTATGGGTTTTTGAGAGGAAGACCACAGAGGTAAGGTGTCATTCATAGCATATTAAAGGTGTATACTATCAAACATGACTTATCATTGTTGATGTTGACCTCGATCACCTGGCTGAGGTCATCCTCGTCAGGTTTCTCCCCTTTCCACGCTCTACCATTAGGAAGAGTCACTACATGTATCCTAGACATAAGAAGTAGGGAGTCATGCTCCACCTCCTTGAGGGCAGACTAGCTACATAAATAACTGGGAATTCTTCTGAACAGAAAATGTGTCTATTTTCTTCCATTTCTTTATTCAGTATGAGAAATATCTCTATATATCATATAGGTATGTATATATCAATATATTTATATGTATATCGGTATGGACTCACAGGTATTTGTTTTATATTTTGGGTTCTAATATAATAATACCTTATTTTGCTGCTCAAATTGTTCCAGCTTTGGCCATTGGAAGCGCTTTCCTTTGTCATACCCCCATCATTGTGTGGTTTTTTTTTTCTTTGCACTTCCTTTACTTTGAGACACCACCCACAAGATGCTCCAGGCGCATCTTGTATATTTTCTGTGCCAGTCCTAGAATCAGCCATTTCTCCAAGAAGCCCTGGTTCCTTCTATTGGAGAATATCAGAAACCAAGATCTGGGTGGAAGGTATGCTCGTTGTTACTGAAGCATTGTTGCTTCTAGACCTTCTCAGCTGAGAGCAAGTAAATACATGTATGTACACTCACCTGCATATATACACATTTCTGTAAACAGTTCTACACATAGCCATCTGTATCTATAAGGATGAATTTCTAACTCTGATCTATTACCACATGGATCATTCTAGCCTCCTTCCCCGCTTATTTATAACTCTCTCACTCCACCAGTGAGAAACCTGGATCCCACCACCCTCCACCATTTACTTAATTGCTCATTTCCACTATACATATCTAGCGGTTTCAGAATTGATAACCCATACCCCTGTTAGGAATAATTGTATCAACTAGATTTCAGTGTTTATATACAGTTCCTTTTGTCTTTAGTCTTACAGACTCTGCTCATTTCCAAAGTTACTTAGGACAGCATCTCTTTCTATCATCCCTTCAGTGAGGTTGTTTCATACATCTGTGACACAGTTAGATTGTTTTGTCACATTCTGCAACCCATTCTGGGATCCCCCAATCTCCTAAGTGATTTTTTAAAAGACTGCCTATATTAAGGTTTACTCTTGGTGCTATAAATTTCTATGGGTTTTGACAAATGTGTAGTGTCACGTATCTATCATTATTACTACTAATTATTATTATTAATAATTATTACTATTAATTACTAATTATTACTATTAATTACTAATTACTAATTATTGCTATTATTACTAATAATTACTATTAATAATTATTACTATTAATAATTATTACTATCATTATTCTATGATAGTAATTACTATCATATAGAATAATTTTACATCCTAAAAAATTCCCTGTGCATCATTCAACCTTTTTTTCACACGCAGACCCTGACAACCACTGATCTTTTACTGTTTCTACATTTTGCATTTTTCAGAATGTCATATAATTGGGTGGTAGCATTTTTTGAGTGGTTTCTATCTCTTAGCAATACGCATTTAAGATTAAGCCATATCTTTTTATTGATTGACAGCTTATTCCTTCTTACTGCTGAAAACAGTACTTCATTCTATGAATGTACTACCTTTCGTTTATCCAGTACCTGTTGACGGCACCTGGTTGCTTCCCATTTTTGGCAATTTTGAGTAAAGCTGCAATAAACATTTGCATGTAGATTTCTGTATGGACATAGTTTTCAAATAAGCTGGGTAAATACATAAGAGCATGATTGCTGGACTGTGTTATGACATTATGTTTAGCTTTCCATTCAATTTAAAAGATATTTTGGCCGGGCACGGTGGCTCACGCCTGTAATCCCAGCACTTTGGGAGGCTGAGGCGGGTGGATCACAAGGTCAGGAGATCGAGACCATCCTGTGAATGGTGAAACCCCGTCTCTACTAAAAATTCAAAAAATTAGCCGGGTGTGGTGGCGGGCACCTGTAGTCCCAGCTACTCGGGAGGCTGAGGCGGGAGAATGGCGTGAACCCAGGAGGCGGAGCTTGCAGTGAGCCGAGCTGAGACTGTGCCACTACACCCCAGCCTGGGCGACAGAGCGAGACTCTGTTTCAAAAAAAAAAAAAAGATATTTTATTTACTTTTTGAATAGGTAATGCATGTATATGGTATCAAATACAAAAGTAAGTTTTTCTCCTGTTTTATAGTGTTTCCCTCAATTTCCCTTCTCCAGATGCAGCGTCTGTTCCATTTCTTCCTTTAGGTGCTAAAGAAAATTATTCAAAACTTTGAATATAGCAAGAAGATGACTGCATGTGCTTCCAGTTATACTGAGGAATTATATAACAGGCTCACCCGAGATTCATTAATTCTCTAGGGCAGTGATTCTCAGAGTGTAGTATGTGGCCCTGGGGGGCCTCCAAGGTAAAAATAACAATACTATGATGTTATTTGCTTTTTTACCATGTTGACATTTGCAATGATGGTGCAAAAGCAATGGCAGGTAAAACTGCAAGTGTCTCAGCAGGAATCAAGGCAGGCCATTGTCCTAGCTTCCTGCTGTCACAAAGTACCATAGACTGGGTGGCTTAAACAACACATGTTTATTCTCTCACAGTCTTGGAGGCCAGAAATCCAAGACCAAGGTGTTGGTATCTGGTGAGAATTCTCTTCCTAGCTTGAAGCAATCTCACTGTGTCCTCACATGGCCTTTCTTCTGCATGTGTGCAGAGTGAGATCTCTAGTGTCTCCTTCTCCTCTTATGAGGATACCAGTTCCATTGGGTTAAGGTCCCACCCTTATAACCTCATTTAACCTTTAAGTATCTTTTAAAGGCCCTTCTAACCACCAATGTGACTCCAAATATAGTCCCATTGAGGACTGGGGCTTCAACATATGAATCTGGTGGGGGGCAGGCACATTCAGTCCATAACGGCACCAAACTCGACTAGTATGCACTGCCTTACACTTACAGGTTAAAAATGTTCAGTTTCACTTAAGAATGCTCCTGATAGCATTTAATTATTAATTTTATTAAAAGTTGTTTTATTAAAAGTTCTCCACTTGAGAACAAGTCTTTTTAATAGTGCATGATTAAAAGAGAAGTACACATAAGACATGTCTGCCTCATACTGAAGCAAAATGGTTGCACTGATGCAAAGCACTTGTGTGATTGAGTTGCCAATTGAACAAGTCACAGAGCATCATTTTTACTTGAATGACAGAATGAAGTGAGCCTGTCTCTTCAAGGAAAATAATTGATTGTATCTACTTCCAATAATAAAGTTCAAGTTTTTAAGCTAAAATTAGAATTCAAAAAACCCATATCCCGCTTCCATGAGCTTGAGTGCTTGTCAATAAAGACAGACTTCTCTGATGAGTTTAGTGGTAATTCTAACAAATGTTATTTTTTGATATTATATAATGAAATGATATTAGAAACCAAGATCTGGGGGCAAGATATGCTCGTTGCATAAAACGAGTGAACATTTGGAAGAGCTGCATAACACAGTGGACCAACATTTTCAAATGACTAATTAATACATGATGGTATAAAATCATGCATTTATTAACGATCCATTCAAAGTGAAAGACCAATCGATATTAATGTAACAGAGTATGAAAAGTCTATAGATACAGTTTTAGATTCCATATGGCAAGTAACCTTTAAGAAACTACCAGTTACAGGGCTGGGTGCAGTGGCTCACACCTATAATTCCAGCACTTTGGGAGGCTGAGAGGGGAGGATCGCTTGAGCCCATGAGTTTCAGACCAGCCTGAACAATGTAGGCCCAACCTCGTCTCTATAAAAATAATTTAAAAATTAGCCAGGCACAGTGGCATGTGCTTGTAGTTCCAGCTACTCAGAAGGCTGAGGCAGGAGGATTGCTTGAGTTCAAGAGTTCAAGGCTACAGTTAGTTATGATCACATCGTTACATTCCAGCCTGGGTGACAGAGGGAGACCCTGCCTCTTAAAAATAAAAAAAATAGAAACTATCGCTTGTAGAAGAATTTTGATGTCATTTTAAAGACAAATAGCCACATTTATTTGAAAAGACAAAATATTCCTCTCATTTGCAACTGTCTGTGTGAGGTTGCATGTTTTCATATACTTCAATGAAAACAACATAATGCAAATTATGTTGCAGTGAATGCAGATGTGAGAATCTTGTGGTCTTCTTTTTTTTTGTGGAGACGGAGTCTAGCTCTGTCGCCCAGGCTGGAATGCAGTGGTGTGATCTCGGCTCACTGCAACCTCTGCCTCCCGGGTTCAAGCGATTCTCCTGCCTCAGCCTCCAGAGGAGCTGGGATTACAGGCACCTGCCATCACGCCTAGCTAATTTTCGTATTTTTAGTAGAGACAGGGTTTCACTGTGTTGGCCAGGCTGGTCTCGAACTCCTGATCCTCCCGCCTCGGCCTCCCAAAGTGCTGGGATTACAAGCATGAGCTACTGTGCCGGCCAAATCTTGCTGTCTTCTAGTAGGCTCATTAAAGAGATTTGCAAAAATGTAAAACTATGTTACTCCTCTCACTGAACTTTTATTGCTTTGAAGAACATTATTTTTTGCATAAAAGTATGTTAACATGTAATGTGTTTTATGGTCATTTAAAAATGATTAAATAAATATTTAAACATTTTATGTTTTAATTTCTAATGTGGTAAATATTGATAAGCATAACCCATATCAACAAATGTTCTTTGGAATGTTCAACAAATTTTAAGAGGATTAATGGTCCCTAAATCAAGAGTTTCAGAACCACTGTTCTAGGGCAATTTACCTGAGTTGGATTTTATTTACAATTCATTAAAGCTTATACACTATGAAGACATGTTAACTTGCATGTTTTAATCTAGAAGAGGTGCAAATCATTTCTATACACTAGAAATGATAATCTATGGTTTTATCATCTTGTAGAACACCAGCCAGCTTTGTATCCAACCTAATCTTACTCTAATGCTTTGTCAAAATGTTTAATCTCCACTTCCTCAAAATGCTTTTGAACCAGCTTTACCATATCATTGTTAATTTGCTGAAGAAATCTTGGATATGTGTTCATGATATATTTGTATGAGTGTCATGCTTTTTACTTTTTTAAGATTATACTTTGACAGACACTAACAACATATGTATATATGACGTATATATGTATATACATACTATACACACACATACACGTACATATTTCACAACGATGGCATACGGATTCTCTATTCTGAATCTAGCTCTTTCCACTTAATATACGTTGAATGCACTCTTTATTTTCTTCGTCATCTTGACTTTCTTCTGATGCAACGCCCTGAGTTTAACTCACAGATCTGTTAATAAGAAACCCATACATCCCACATATACGCATTTTCCCGTCTCTGGCTCACTAACAAAAAGCTTACCCTAGCCCCATCTTTAACCATAGGTTCCAAATACCCAGGCTGGAATTCAACACAGAAATAAGAAAGGATCCACAGACAACGTGACAAAAATCCGAGCAGTCACGTGACACTGCACGCCCCATAATTTTTTTCCGCCCGCTTCAAACATGGCGGTCAAGCCCTCGCAGCGCAGCAGAAGCCACGGGCTTCCTTCCGCGTAGGAACCTCCTTGCTGCCCTTGTCGGGCTCTTTTGTCTAAGACCACCTCAAGGCAAAGCCCGTGGGGCAGCTGGGTCTGGGGAAAACAGCCCGGGGCCGCGGGGGCCGAACGAGCACGGACCGGAAGTTCCGCAGCCGCGCCGTCCGGCGGAGCCGTTGGCTGCGGACGCCGGAAGTGGCCAGTCGGCAGGTCTGAGGCGGCGCTGTGTGTGTGAAGCGTACCTAGGGCGGGAGGCGACATGGAGACAGGGGCGGCCGAGCTGTATGACCAGGCCCTTTTGGGCATCCTGCAGCACGTGGGCAACGTCCAGGATTTCCTGCGCGTTCTCTTTGGCTTCCTCTACCGCAAGACAGACTTCTATCGCTTGCTGCGCCACCCATCGGACCGCATGGGCTTCCCGCCCGGGGCCGCGCAGGCCTTGGTGCTGCAGGTGAGGCGGGCGGGCCTGCGGTCTGGGGAGCCGCCGCCCCCGGCCTGCCCTGACTCCTGGCGCCCGCTCCTCCAAGCTCTCCCAGCCTGTTTCCTCCTTTTCCTGGTGTCCTGGGGTTGAGCTTGTGAGAATGGCTTCAGTAATTTGAAGCGCGGATTGGATGTCAGCTTATTCCGCTGAGGTGTTCGCTCCGGACGTCCTGAGGTTTCAGAAGTAGTAAGCCGACTGTTAAGAGCCCTACTCAGCACCCGCCAGCGCGTACCCCTCACGGTGCTGGGGGCCGCTAGTCAGGGAGCGAAATCCATGCAGGCCAGACAGAAGGAAGGACATTTACAGCAACAGAAACGTGCATGCCCCAGAACTACCAAAGACTTGAGCTGGCGGGGATGACGGAGGCATTGTGTTGATCAATGGGTGTGGTCGCTTGTTTGAAATGTGACTTCCCAGGTCAAAGACTGTCAATGTAGTGCTTATTAAAATTTCTATTTGAGCTTAATTCCGTACCCTCCAGGTTAAGTTTATTGTATGTTGGAAACGCTGTCAATACTCATTCAGTGAAGTTGACTGGGCACTTTTGAATGTAGTGGTAAGCAACCTTTTGCTGAATGTAGTTTACACTCTTAGTTGCCGCAGGTGAGGGTGATACGGGTGTTTAAGTAATGGTTTCTCTCTCCTTGTGACACAGTTAAAGAGAGAAAACCCAGAAAGTAATAGAAAACTTTTTAAGGGCAATTATTTGATGGAGCCCATTGTAAAGAAAGGAAATAGAAATGATGGTTGAGAAGTGAAGTTTTTATAAGAGAGGTGGGACTTCTGATGAGATTAAAAGAAACTATTCAGCCAAGTATTAAGCCTATTTGTAGAAACCCAAGAAGATAGAAATGCTGATGATACCTCCCTCAGTTCTCTAGATGTTACAGTTTATAAAATGCTTCAGATGTTTCCTCCTGAAGTCTTAATGCATGCTGCAGGTTGGTAAGATGTTACTTTCCTCAGCAGAAGCCAAAGCTTTGAATGTCTTGGTAGCTACCAGGGTAATAGGGCCAAACGAGGAATGGGGTTCCATTAGGATTCAATTTCAGAACTTAAGGCTATTCCTCGTCCTTGTCAGTGGCATAAGTGCCATCTTAGTGATGAGAGAGCTGTTGGAGGTGGCCTTTAGCAGGATCTTATGGCAGGTTAATGAAGTCTTGCCATTTGATCTTCAGTGTCTCTGTGAAACAGATAAGTTTCAAGTTTACGTACCAATTCAGCAAGGTTAAGTGATTTGACCAAGAACACACAGCCAGTTCACCGTAGAGCTGAAACTAAAAATTTCATTTTGTGGATTCCAAATCTTCCTGTTCTGTTGTTTAACCATTCCATAGTAGGATGAGAACACTTTTGTCTAGATTGATTGTAGTTTGCAGAAAGATGTGGAGGAGAAAGGAGTATATACTGAGTAATATGTATAGTATCAGATGTTTTATATTCTGGGGTCGTTATCTTATTTAACCCTTAATATAACCTGAGAGGTTGGTCTTTGTTTCACAGATGAACTGACAGAGCACTCATTAACCTGGTAACTCATTTACCTGGTAACACCTCTTACAAGACACTTCCATAGGTTAGGATTTGGTGACCAGTCTAATGAAGTAGTGGAGATGGGGAGCAGGGATGGAGGAAGGGGAGGGATGGGTCAAAGATGATCCAAGGTTTCAACTTGGGTGACTGGAATAGTGATAATGCGTTAACTGAACTGTCACCTGGGTTTAGGGGAAAAAGTTCAGTTTTAGACAGGTTGAACTTGAAGTTGCAGGTAGGAGTCCCTGCCCATAGGCTATTGGAATTACTGGACTAGATCTTTTGGGAGCTAGAGCAACTGGAGTGGTCCGAGGGAGAGAGAAGAGCCAAAGGTGAAGAACAGGCCTTGGGGAATAATCTTGGTGGAGAGCAATAAGTTTCACAGAAACCAAGGGGACAACAGTCTCCAGCAGATGCTTAAGAGAGGTGTCATGTTTTCTGGAAGTGGTTCTCAACCATCAGCATCGCTTAAGGAACTTTTTTCTTTCTTTTTTTTTTTTTTTTTTTCCTGGAGATGGAGTCTCACTCTGTCGCCCAGGCTGGAGTGCAGTGGCATGATCTCAGCTCACTGCAACCTCCGCCTCCTGGGTTCAAGCAATTCTCCTGCCTCAGCCTCTCGAGTAGCTGGGACTGCAGGTGTGCGCCACCACGCCCGGCTGATTTTTGTATTTTTAGTAGAGATGGGGTTTCATCATGTTGGCGAGACTGGTCTCAAACTCCTGACCTTGTGTTCTGCCTGCCTCGGCCTCCTAAAGTGCTAGGATTACAGGTGTGAGCCACTGCGCCTGGCCAAGGAACTTTTAAAAGCACATATTCCTGGATATTTTGGTTGGGTAGATCAGGGTGAATCCTGGGAACCTGTTCTTTTTTTTATTTTTTTATTTTTTATTTTTGAGATGGAGTCTCATTCTGTTGTCCAGGCTGGAGTGCAGTGGCGCAATCTTGGCTCACTGCACCTCCTCCTCCCAGGTTCAAGTGATTCTCCTGCCTCAGCCTCCCGAGTAGCTGGGTTTACAGGCATGTACCACCATGCCTAGAGAATTTTTGTATTTTTAGTAGTAGAAATGGGGTTTCACCGTGTTGGCCAGGCTGGTCTTGAACTCCTGACCTCAGGTGATCACCCGCCTCAGCCTCCCAAAGTGCTGGGATTACAGACATGAGCTACTGCACCTGGCTGGAACCTGTTCTTTTATCCACAAAAGCTCATTTGACAGGAGGTTTGTAAAGGTGATTTCAGTATTGACAAGGGTTTTATTGTGGGGTGGGACAACACTGAATGAGACTGAGTGACTTGGTACCAGCATAACATTATTTCTTCGTGGTAGTAGGTGATCTCCTGACCTCCCCACTCCTACTCATCTGCCTCTTAGGGTTTTTTTTTTTTTCTGTCCCTAACTTGATGGCATAAGACTCCTTCCTGGGGTCTGCCTCTCCACCCCCACCAGATGTGGGATGCTTGGTGTCTCTGCTGAATATAGGCAGAGAAGAATTTGGATGGGAGTGCTGGGCTGCATCATTGTGGAACTTCAAAGCGTTCCCTTAATATTTTGGGGAGTACAGTGTTGGTGTAGAGTTAGGCAGCTCATACGTTTCCTTTTAAAAGTTTGCATAGCCTGGATACACAGCTTGAAGAACCTCAGCAGGAATGATGTATGTGAAAATTGCATTCCATTTTATAATACATTAGTATGTTTTAAGACAAAAATCGTTTAGACTGACAAGCCATTCATTATAATCGATAATGCTGTTTTTTTTGGAGTCCACTTTGAGAAGTGCTCCTTTGTAGAAGTCCTTGAAACTAGAATCAGGAAAGCTAGCTACATCCTGTTCCTTACATAAATTGTTGAGAAATCTTGGGAGAGTCACTTCACCTCTTGTCAGCTGAGAAGATTGATTGGAGGTTACAGATTAGAGTTCTCTTCCAGCCCTATGTTCTGTGACTCTAGAATGAGTACTGAGAACATGTGATAGTTGGGAGGTTGGCAGTGGTAGCACTTCCTGGTGGTGTGAATGGGTAGGTCAGAGAAGGCTGGATGTACTGAGTGAGCAGAGGCAGCTGCATGGTGAGGACTATCAAGTCTGGGGGTTCTGTGTTCGAAGTCTCAGGTGTTAGGAGAGAGAGATCTTGTTGCTTTGCTTTTGTGGAGTTAAGATGAAGATCTGGAGTATCAGCAGGATGAGCAACTCTGAAAGCATGGACTCAAAGCGGTAGAGACCCTAATGTTAGAATGAAGTCAGGGCTTCAGGTTATCTGCAGAAGTAAAAATGGTTCTGGTGTTGTTTCCAGTTTTTAACCTTTTAGGATTTTATTGATTTTTTTTTTTCCCCTCTGCCTACATCATCATCTCCCCACACTGTTTGGTGTGTGCTGCGTAGTTTTTTACTTCTTTTGCCAGCAGGAGCTGGGGCAAGTTACGTAACCTTTCCAAGCCTTATTTTTTTCTCATTTTTGAAATGTTGATGCTGTCTTCTTCACAGTATTTTTGTGAGGGTTTTGAGAGAATGTTTGTAAAATAATTTGACACAGTTAGTCTGTTAGCACCCTTTTGACTGCCCGCGCAGTGCACAGAACATTGTTATTTAATACCTGTCCGCATTCTAGCCCTTTGGAATCTGACTCCCACCCATGTCCCAGGTTGCTGTCTCAGCCTTTCCTTCCTCCAGTTATTGCAAGAGCTTTTGCCCTTCCTTGACAAGCCTATTCTTAGAGCTGTGGCATTTCCTCCAGTGGTTCCCTGTGGAAGATGTGCCTCTCATTCAGGGTCTAACTGGGATCCTCCTTGTTCCAAGAAGTCTCCCTAGATTTCTTTCGCCAGACATGCTCATTCCCACCCATACCCTGACAGGGAATTGAGGGCCTTGTCATGCCCCCTCTTGTATCAGAGTTTTCATGTGTGGGTATGTCTTGACTGTACTTTTTTGGTAGAGAGGTCCCAGCACCTTCATGGGTGTGACTGTTTCCCAGAAAATGTTAAGAACTTGTTTACACACCAGAATTTTGAGTTCTTAGGAGGCAGCAGAAATCATTTTGATGTTTTTTGTGCGTGCGTGTTTCTTGCACACTGTAGGCGCATAGTAGATGTTTGTTGAATTGAATGTCCATGCAGTGTGGTGAAAAACAGCAGCAGTCCTGTAAACCTGGTTCCATTTTGGGAATTGAAGTTCAGCCATATTTTCATGTTTCATTTGTGAGTCTGAATTTTGGTGCCTTTATAACCCACAGTTGTACCAGGACCGTGTATTCTTTGCATTGTGAACAAGACTGGGGTCTGTAAAATAATGACAACAAAGACCATCTAACTGTACATCTTTTAGGTATGTAAATATTGTTAGCCTTGGCTTATAAGTTTCTGATTTTGTTGATTTTGGAATCCTCCTGTTAAACACTGTTTACCTGTCAGCTTTTGGTGAAGTGGCAGTGCATTTCCATTTTGCCAGTGGGAAAACTTGTCAGTTTCTGACTTTTAGTTCTCTCCTTCACAGATTTTACGACATTTCTACAAGATATGTGGTACAGTATTGGGCAGATGAACTGATTGCTGGATTGGTGTTTGATTTTAGGTATTCAAAACCTTTGACCACATGGCCCGTCAGGATGATGAGAAGAGAAGGCAGGAACTTGAAGAGAAAATCAGAAGAAAGGAAGAGGAAGAGGCCAAGACTGTGTCAGCTGCTGCAGCTGAGAAGGAGCCAGTCCCAGTTCCAGTCCAGGAAATAGAGATTGACTCCACCACAGAATTGGATGGGCATCAGGAAGTAGAGAAAGTGCAGCCTCCAGGCCCTGTGAAGGAAATGGCCCATGGTTCACAGGAGGCAGAAGCTCCAGGAGCAGTTGCTGGTGCTGCTGAAGTCCCTAGGGAACCACCAATTCTTCCCAGGTGGGAATTTCTACTTTGCAGCTTCCTTCTTTCTTGCGTAACATCTGGTGTTTGGGTTTCTCCATAATTTATTCTTACTTTGTAACACATTAATTCTTGATCTCAGTATTTATTTAGCTCTTCATGTTTGTAAACTGCTGCATTACAGTCTTTCAGTTATGTAGGATGGGAGGTCAGTTGGCTTAAGGTCAGTTCCCTCATTTGGTAAGGTCAGTAGTCATACAACCATTTGAGATCCAGAGCCAAAATTAGAGCACTTGACTCCTCTCACAAAGACCTAACTTTATCTGTGTTTAGAGGCTTAGCCTCAGCAGCTCGATTGTTTGTGTTTTTCTCTCTGCAGGAGCACTGCTAGGATTTGCTCATGATGCCTGAGGTATAATGGACACCTGAAATGACAGTCTGTTTTAGGTGACTGGATTCACATCCTCGCTATGCCGCTTCCTGAATGTATTACCTTGAACAAGCAGTATAACCTTTCTGTGTCTCAGTTTTCTTCTCTATAAAATGTAGGTGATAATAATAGTACCTGTCTCATAGAGCTGTTGTGAATTTTAAATGAGCCGATAGTCAAGCAGCTAATGAGCAGTAGAGCTTGAATATGACATGAGGTTTCCCTGAATCAAGCCTCTTGCTTTATGTACTTGTACTCACTTTTTAGGAGTTATGTTTTGTGGGTGCTCTAAACTTAGTTATACAGTCCTTCCTTACAGTCTGAGTGAGAGGAGCTGATCCCTTCTTGTGTGGGAGTTGTAGTAGTGTCTGCAAGACAGCCACGAGCCTCCTGGCCTGCTTTGTTTTTTTGGAAAATTCACTCTCTTCCCTCCTTGATAGGATGGGTCACCTGTGTGCCCCCAAATCCCTGCCACCTTGAGTTCTCTTCTGTTTTTCTCACTCCTTTACTCTCTTTCTGACGTGTTTTGGGGGAGATTGTGTGTGTGCGTGCACACTTTTTAATAGAGACCGGATCTTACTCTGTTGGCCAGGCTGGAGTGCAGTGGTGTGATCATAGCGCAATATATGAATTGAACTCTTGGGCTCCAGCAATCCTCTCGCCTCAGCCTCCTGAGTAGCTGGGACCATAGGCATGCACCACCACATCTGGTTAATTTTGTAATTTTTTGTAGAGATGTCTGCCACTATACCTGGCTAAATTTTAAAAATATTTTCTTGCTGTATTGCCTAGGCTGTGGGGGAGTTTTTGTTTTTTTTTCTAGTTAATGAAGCAAAGTGAACAACTTGGAATGGCTTATAAAATATGGAGTAAGAGAAAATAAGTTTTGTAAAGACAGGAGGGGCAAGATTGCAGAGTCTTAAAGTCCAGGCTAACTAATGGAGTTCGAAGAAAACAATTGTTTGATGGCAGAACCAAGCTGATGGAGAAGGGGAGCAGCTCTTGAATATGGAGCTCTGGATGAGAAGGGGTGAAATAAGGATTTAGAGATTGGAAGTGGGGAGTATAGGGTGGAAGGCAGACATCTGATATTTCCTTGCAGATCTTTTTAAAATATTTTTTATAGTGCAGATCTGCTGATAGTGAATTCTTTCAGCTTTTTTGTCTGAAAATGCCTTTATTTCATCTTCCATTTCTGAGGATATTTTTGCTGGATATAGAATTGCAGGTTGACACTTTTTTTTTGTTTTTGTTTTTCTTCAAACATTTTAAAGACTATCATTCCATTGTCTTCTAGCTTGCACTGTCTCTGATGAGAAGTGAGTAGACATTCTTTGTTCCCCTGTGTGTGAAATATCCCCATTCTCTTGTTATATCAGTTCCTTGAAGTTATTATCATTAGTTTGAGCAATTTGATTAAGATTTACTCATGCATGATAGTCCTTGTGTTTATACTATTGGGAGACTTTTGAGCACACACACACATACACACACACACACACACACTTAGGAGGTCTGTTTTCTCTTTGTCCTTCCTTTGGAATATTTTCTGTTGACCTGTCTTCAACTTTACTGTCTTTTCTCCTTTGGTGTCTAATCTGTAGTTAAACTCATCTAGTAACTTCTTAATTTCAGATAGTTTATTTTTTAGCCCTGCAGGTTCCCCTTGATTGTTTTTTATGGCTTCAATTTCTACCTTGGTTTTCCTTTAAATCCTTCAATATACTTACAATAGTTTAAAGTCTTTATCTGCTAATTCCATTATCTCTGTGATTTCTTGGTTTGTTTCTAGGGATTGAGTTTTCTCCTGATTTTGGGTTACATTTTCTTTTTCTTTCAAATGTCTGATAATTTTTTATTGGATGCTAGACATTAATGGATGTTATGCTGTCGAGTCTCTGGGTTTT